>NC_000008.11:29860102-30163132 GCF_000001405.40 Homo sapiens | reverse complement strand
AGAGACGGGGTTTTTTCAGGTTGGTGAGGCTGGTCTCGAACTCCCGACCTCAGGTGATCCACCCACCTCAGCCTCCCAAAGTGCTGAGATTACAGGCATAAGCCACCGTGCCCGGCGACCTCATCTCTTAAAAAAAAAAATATGGAATGATCTCCAAGCTATATTGTTAAAAGTAAAAAAGAGTGAAGTGAGAAAATGGACAGTATGTAATATGCCATTATTTTTGTAAAGGTAGGAAGAAAAAATATACATTCAAACTATTTAACAACCAGCAAGGTAATACTAACTTAGAAATTTAAAATTTACAAATGTTTCTGTTTACTCTCATATATATATATACATACACATATATGAGAAACTTTTTACCAAGTAATATAAATTGTAGTACAAATTCTTCAAAAGACTCTAATAATTTCCATATAACTTATTGATGCTTTTTTATATTCTGCTGTTATCTTTTGTTTGACAAAGCTGTATGTAAACACTGACCCTAGCTGAACCATGAGCTGACATGAGGAAGTACATCAAATGACTTCTCCATTACAGTGATAGTTATTAGGAAACTTCTTTTCATTAATAAAAGAATTTTTCTAAATGGCAATGACATTCATGGTGTTAAATCTGCTCTCAGCTACTATGAAATAACACTAACATTTTAGATATTTTGTCTTTGTAATTTTGTTTGGATTTTTCAAAATTTTGATTTCCAATTGTCACAGTATACAGAAATACAATAGTTTTGGGCTGGGCATGGTGGCTCACACCTGTAATCCCAGGACTTTGGGAGGCCAAGGTGGGTGGATCACTTGAGGTCAGGAGTTTGAGACCAACCAGCCTGGCCAACATGGCAAAACCCCGTCTCTACTAAAAATACAAAAATTAGCCGGGCATGGTGGTGGCCTGTAGTCCCAGCTACTGGGGAGGCTGAGGCAGGAGAATGGCATGAACCCAGGAGGCGGAGCTTGCAGTGAGCCGAGGTAGCGCCACTGCACTCCAGCCTGGGTGACTGAGCGAGACTCCATCTCGAAAAGAAAAGAAAAGAAAGGTGTAAATGTTTGTGCAAGAATGCTTATGTAAAAATATTAAGGCTGGGCGTGGTGGCTCACACCTGTAATCCCAGCACTTTGGGAGGCCAAGGCTGGCGGATTGCGAGGTCAGGAGATCGAGACCATCCTGGCTAGCACGGTGAAACCCCGTCTCTACTAAAAATACAAAAAATTAGCCGGGCGTGGTGGTGGGCGCCTGTAGTCCCAGCTACTTGGGAGGCTGAGGCAGGAGAGTGGTGTGAACCCAGGAGGTGGAGCTTGCAGTGAACCAAGACTACGCCACTGCACTCCAGCCTGGGCGACAGAGTGAGACTCTGTCTCAAAAAAAAAAAAAAAAATTAAAACACAATTTTATCTATTCTATCTATTTTTAAATACCATATGCATACATCTAAGCAAAGACTGGTAAGTAACAAAGTAAAAACCTCTTCCCCCCTCCCAGGTTGGACATCACTGAATGAGAAGAAGCACAAAAATCATGAAGAGAAAGGGAGCAGGTAAGGCTGGGAGGAAAAGCAGGATCAGCCCATGAATAAGCTTGTACACCATGACCAGGGATTTGAATTTGCACCTGTAGGCAAGAAGTCACTGAAGGATTCCTATTCCCAAGCCAACAATGTCACCAAATGGTATGCAGATAATTGACACTTGTATGAAGAAGTACTTGGTGGTGGGGGGGGTCAGGGAGGCAGTTGGTCTAATCCTACAGAGATAATGCAGGCCTGAAATGCTGTATTAGTCCATTTTCACACTGCTCTACAGAACTTCCCTGAGAATGGGTAATTTATAAAGGAAAGAGGTTTAATTGACTCACAGTTCCACATGACTGGGGAGGCCTCAGGAAACTTACAATCATGGCGGAAGGTAAAGGGGAAGCAGACACCTTCTTCACAAGGCAGCAGGACAGAGAGACAGTGTGAGCGCAGGAAAAACTACCATTTATAAAACCATCAGGTTTCACAAGAACAGCATGGGGGAACCACTCCCATAATCCAATCACTTGGATTACGGGTCCCTCCCTCAACAGGTGGGCATTATAATTCAAGATGAGATATGATGGGGACACAGGGCCAAACCATATCAAATGCACTGGTAGCACATAGGAGAAGCTGCAGGTATGTCTAGGAAATAGAAACAAGACTTGGCAACAAACACATTTAATAAAAATCTGGTTTCTAGGCAACGTTGAAGGTAGGTATTTCCCATTCCTTGTTACAGGCCCCATGGACCACAAAGTGCATACAGTCGCATCCCTCAGTACCCAGTATCTGTGGGAGATTGGTTCCAGGACCAGTCCTCAGATGTTCAAGTCTCTGATATAAAATGCTGCAGTGTTTGCATAAAACCTATACACATCTTCTCATACTTTGTCATTTCTAGATAATTTACAATACCTAATACAATGTAAATGCTATGTAAATAATTATACTGTATTGTTTACAGACACAATTTTTTTTTCCTATTTTCGATCTGAGGTTGGTTGGATCCATGGATGTGGAACCCATGGATATAAAGAGCAAACTATATTTGCTTTCTTCTCTGTGCAGGGGAAGTAAGTTTGACTAGTGTATTGGTCTGTTCTCACACTGCTAATAGAGACATACCTGAGACTGGGTAATTTATAAAGGAAAGAGGTTTAATTGACTCACAGTTCAGCATGTTTGGGGAGGCCTCAGGAAACCTACAACCATGGCAGAAGGGGAAGCAAACACGTCCTTCTTCACATGGTGGCAGGGAAGAGAATGAGTGCCCAGTGAAGGGGGAAGCCCCTTATAAAACCATTAGATCTCATGAGAACTAATTCACTATCATGAGAACAGGATGGGGGAAACGGCTCCCATGATTCAATTATCTCCACCTGGTCCCTCCCACAACATGTGGGAATTATGGGAACTACATTTCAAAATGAGATTTGGGTGGGGACACAGCCAAACCATATCAACTACAGAAGGATGGGTGTGAGGGGCATGGAGTGAAATAAGGAAACTGGTGCCATCTTGTCCCCTTCCTGGGAAGGGATGATTCCTGATGGAGAGGGAAGCTCAAATTCCAGGGCTCAAAATCAGCTGCTGTGACTCTGCTTCACTTATGCCAGAAAAACAACCAAAACCAGCCTGGGTCACATGGTAAAACCCCATCTCTACAAAAAATACAAAAATTAGCTGGGTATGGTGGCTTACACCTGTACTCCCAGCTACTTGGGGGGCTGAGGCGGGAGGATCGCTTGAGCCCAGGAGGTAGAGGTTGCAGTGAGCTGAGATTGCACCACTGCACTCCAGCCTGGGTGATGGAGTGAAACCCTGTCTCAAAAAAAAAAAAAAAAGAAAACTAATCAAAAGTCTGGAGCTAGGGAGCAAGGTCAAAGCCTCTAGGTTTCTGATCTGGAAAACTAATGGCACCATCTGAGAATAGCCTATGGGAGGAGGGGTAGATTTTAGAGAAAAAAGTCATTTGGCTAAATTTTAGATAAACTCAGTCTGAGGTATCTATGGAATGGTCACCAGATATATCCAATAAGCGACTGAAAATACAGATTCTGAAGCTCATAAGAGAGTTCTAAAAATACAGCTCTGAGAGTCAGAAGGGTAAAGATTCTTTCATTAACATGTCTCTCCATCATTTCTATGCCAGAATCTTCCCCCCAAGTATTCCCTAATATACATGCAAAGTAAGATGAAAACTATTTTTAAGATTGTACCAACTTCCCTACTGGTGTGATGAACTAAAAAAAAAAGAAGACATACACAAATTTTTCTTCCACAAATTAGGGTGGACAAACCTTCACACCGCCATGAATTTTTAAAGCTCTAAGTAAACAAAAAAACATGTATCAAATAGAAAAAACTAATAATCCCTGAGTCTATCTTCAAGAAATGGTTTTGAGAATAGACACAGCTCCAGCTGTTTCCATCATTTTGTTAGGCTCTGACTTTTTATAAGGCGTAAGTCAATGAAATCCTACCAATGGTCCTTCTGGGTGATACAGCCTGTCAAGAGTCAATCTGGGCCAGGTGCAGTGGCTCACGCCTGTAATCCCACCACTTTGGGAGGCCGAGGTGGGCAGATTCCTTGAGGTCAGGAGTTCGAGATCAGCCTGGCCAACATGGTGAAACCCCATCTCTACTAAAAATACAAAAATTAGCCAGGTGTGGTGGTGGGTGCCTGTAGTCCCAGCTACTCTGGAGACTGAGGCAGGATGATCGCTTGAACCCAGGAGGCAAAGGTTGCAGTGAGCAGAGATTGTGCCACTGCACTCCAGCCTAGGCAACAGAGTGAGACTCCGTCTCAAAAAAAAAAAAAAAAAAAAAGGAACCAGGCATGGTGCAAAGCTTTCACTGCACTCCAGCCTGAGCGACTCTGTCTCACAAAAAAAAAAAAAAAAAAAGTCAATCTACTGAAATAACAGAAAATATGTAGCCCTCCTGCTGTATTGAAGAAGAAAGATTTTAGTAAGATTAGAAGAAAATCACCTGGTCTAACCCTCTCATATTATAGAAGAAAAAACTGAAATTCAGAGACTAGAAATTTCTTGGAGCAGAGTTCATTCCTGGGGCATCACTGTCCTGAAATCAGTCATCTGTCTTCTAGTTGAAAGTTTTCTGGAAACATCCTGTCACTCCAGATGTTTTTCCATGATAAATGAGCGACACTGTCCTTGAATGTATCACCAGCTGTAAATGTCATTTCTCTGATACTTTTCATTTAAAGTGGGTTTTTTTTGTTAAAATATGCAATTTTATTAAGCCCTGGTCAAATACATTAGCCTCTATAAAATGTCTCTTGTTTTAGACCTTATTTCTCATTGCAATTTTCCATTTCCTCAGCTTCCTTCTCATTATGAAAAGAGCATTATCTAACATTGAACTTGTCCTGGGCAACTGAGAGTAGGAGAGACTCACAAATGCCCCCTGCCTTCAGTTTTACGCCCAAGGGAGAGATCCCAGGTAATGCTTGCGTCACAATCAGCACACTTCTCAGTGGGGCAGGCCACTAGGCCAACTAAAACGTGGTCCCGATATCTCTGCAAGGACCCCTTGTATCTCGGAGTGGTGGGAGCAGAGAGGTGAGCCGGCAGATGGGAGGGCAAGACTTAACCTCAGATCTGTAAAAGTAACAAGTCAACAATACCTTAATCTTCACTGTAAGCTACTATCTACTGCTATCTACTGCACATAATATTTATAGTACATCTGTTCCTCTTTAGCTTATGAAAAAAGATTACAGAGTATCTACTTAAATGGAAGAAAAATCTACATTTTAATTTATGGCACCAGAAACAATGTCAGTTTTCTTTGTCAAAAATAGTCAGCAGAGGGAGCTCAACACTGCTGCTGTTCGAAATGGCTTTACTTATGCACTTGTCTCATCCCAGCCACCAACAGCCACCAACAGCCCCCAGCAATGAAGACTACCGGAGAAGAAGCCAAACTTCCTGTCCCCACATGTTTACAAAGGAGCTTGTCCACTCCACGCCTGGCAAAAAATGTCACAGTTCTAAGCTTATACACTATTGGTGGGAATATAAATTAGTTCATCTATTGAAAATAGTATGGTGATTTCTCAAAGGACTAAACACAAGTACCATTGGACCCAGCAATCCATATAGAGCTACCAATCCAAACGGAACTACCATTCGACCCAGGATCTACTCAAAGGAAACCATTGTATTAAAAAGACAACTGCACTCCTATGACTATCACTGTACTATTCACAATAGCAAAGTATGGAATCAACCTAAGTGTTCATCAACGGATGACTGGATAAAGGAAATGTGGTGTATCTATACGATGGAATACTACAGAGCCATCAAAAAGAAAGGAAACATGTCTTTTGCAACAACATGGATGGAACTGGAGGCCATTACCTTACGCGATAACTCAGAAATAAAATCAAATGCACATGTTCTCACTTTTAAGTGGGAGCTAAAATGAGTACACATAAACATAAAGAGGGAAATAACAGACACTGGGGACTCTAAAAGCAGCGAGGGTAGGAGGGGTTTGAGGGCTGAAAAATTACCCATCTGATACAATGTTCACTATTTGGGTGGTAAGTACACTAGAAGCCAACTTCACCATTACGCAATTTATCTATGCAACAAATCTGCGCAAGTACTCCTTGCATCTATATAATGTGTGTGTGTGTGTGTCACAGTTCAAGTCCAGGCGCGGCCCCCCTTTTGACAGCGACCGTAAATCCCTTTACACACCCCACCCTCCAGAGACAGGAAGGGCCTGGGGTGCGGCCAGCACTGGCGTGGGGGTCTCGCAACATGCAGCAGAGAATCCAGCGCCAAGCCGTGGGGTACAGCGGCGCCAAGCACCGCCGATTATGCGGGAGAAGGGAGCCGGCCTTCCCCAGGAAAAAGCTGACGTCACCCTCCCCTCACAGCCCCCCCCGCCCTCCCGGCCGGGAGACCCCCTCTGCGCAGGCGCATGTGGGGAGGGACGGCCAGACAGGAACAAAAACCTTCCAGGCAGCGACTCCGCGTCCCTTCTCAACCCTCCCCGCCCCCACTCCGTCGCCCCCTCCCTCAGTGGACGCCAGGTCTGGGCTTCAGGTACCTTCGGCCCGAATGCCCAGGATGAGACACCTTCTGAGTCGCCACCATTGGCGACCAGGAACAGGTTCCACCCCTACGGAAAGCTGAGAAAAGGCTTTTCTCAAGCAGCAAACCCACCTCTTTTGAGTCTTCTCCGCCATGGTACGGCCCCAATTGGAACGTAGATCGACACCACCGCCTGGGTAGAGCGATAATTCCACATGCGATTGGAGAGCCTGGCAGGGTTGGGGGAGGGGCGGAGCCGGGGTGGGGCGGGGACCCGGAAGCTTGCGACTCTTGTTTGCGTCGCGTCTGGGCGCACAGGACTGTACTTTTGGTAGCGGTGCGGGGCCGCCCGCGGACTTTAGCCCTGCATAGAGATGGGTAGACCCTAATTTGGAACAGCCATTGACTGGGCACAGGCCAGCACTTTGGGAGGCCGAGAGGCCGAGGCAGGAGGATCGCTTGAGGCCAGGAGTGCCAGACTGCGAGACTAGCCTGGGTAACATAGTGAGACCCTCTCTTCAAAAAAAAAAAAAAAAAAAAAAAAAAAAAGCCTGTCACGGTGGCCTGCGCCTGTACCCCAGCTACTCGAGAGGATCGCCTGAGCCCAGTGAAGCTGCAGCGAGCTGTGAGGATGCCACCGCACTCCGGCCTGGGCTAAAAAGCTAGATCGTGTCTCTGATAAAAGAATAAAAGCTGTTTATTGCAATCCAGTCCGCGTCATTATGCCCTCATTTTACCCACTCGCGTAGGCGTAATTACACCCTAAAGGTATTTCTCTGACCTCGCCGATGTCCTTTTCAGCCTGTCTTTCTCTACTCATTAGGGCTCCTTCTGGCCCTTTTCTCGCTCTATATGAGTGCATCCTTCCTATAGGTTAAGTGCCCTCTACCTGTTTGCTCTCTAATGAATGTCTCTGGTTCTGCCCTCTGTGCCGATCTTCACACCTGACATTCGGTTGACTAATTGACATCTCCGCTCAGAGTCGTATCGAACCTAAAACTTACAGAACATGACTTTCGATTAACACTGCCGTCCTCCCTGCAACCTGCTGCTTTTTTGATCCACACCATTTGCCTAGCTGCTCAAGCCAGACACTCAAGAGTCACCCTGGCACTCCTCACCCCTACATCTGTAATAGATCTGCAAGTTCTGCTTGTCCTACCTCGGGTCTCATGCTTACACTTTTGTCTACCGGACCATCTCTCTAATCTCAGCCGATGTGTCTCTCCCAGTTGTTCACTCATTCTGTACTTGGCCTCTGAAATCACACCTCCTCATCTCCCACCCCCAACCCTGATCCAAGTAGTTCTCTTGTAGTCAAAATCATCCTTTAAAAGACAAATTGAGGCCAGGCGCGTGGCTCAAACCGGTAATCCCAGCACTTTGGGGGGCCGAGATGGGAGGATCGCTTGAGGCCAGGAGTTGGAGACCAGCCTGGTCAACACAGCATGATCCCGTCTCTATATATTTTTTCTATAATGTATTTTTTTAATGGAAAAAAATTAAAAATAAGAGCCAAATTCAGTTATTTCCCCTTCCTCTTAAAATCTAAAATCCAAACTGCTTTCCATAACCTATCTCTGAGCTACATCCAGCCCCTGCCTACTTCTCTCTTTCTCTTTCTATGTGTTCGATCACACCCTCATTCTCCAAAAAAGCAAAGCTGACTCTCCACCCCCAACCGCTTCCACTTGCCCCCACCCTAACACCTTCTGACCCTTTATGTCTCGGATGTCACATACTCAGTTTCCAACCAGAGAAACAGAACTAGTAGTAGATGGATATCAAAAGGCTTATTGTAAGGAATTGGCTTACATGATTGTGGAGCCCCAGCTAAGCAAGTCCAAAATCTGTACACTAAGCTGGAACTCTCATGCAAGGGGTGAGGCTGTTGTTCACAGGAGGAATTTCTTCAGGGAAGCCCATCTCAGCTCTTATGGCCTTCAACTGATTGAATCAGGCCCACCCAGATTAGCTAGGATAATCTCTCTTCCTTAAAGTGAACTGATGATGGGCTTTAATCACATCCACAAAAATACCTTTACAGCAGCATCTAGATTAGTGTTTGACTAATGACTTGGGAATGTAGCCTAACCAAGTTGACACAAAAAACTGACCATCACACTCAGGGAAACCCTCCTTGACTGTCTTAGTTCTTTCTGGCTGCTATAACAAAATACAGTTGGCCCTTTGTATCTGTGGGTTTGACATCTGTGACTGGTTGACAGCAACCCACGTTGGATCAAAAATTTGGGGGAAAAAATTACGCAAGTTTCCAAAAAGCAAAACTTGAATTTGCTGCATGCCAAGTGCTACATTGAAGCCACATGAATGAAGTGATATGTAGGAATTGTATTAGATATTCTGAATAATATAAAGATGATTGAAAGGATATGGGAGGATATGCATCAGTTAGTTATATGCAAATACTACACCATTTTATATCAGGGGCTTGAGCATCTGCAGATTTTGGCATCAGGGTGTCCAGGAACCAGTTCCCCAAGCATACTGAGGGACAGTTATACCTTAGACTGGGTATAGTAGTCCTTTCTTATCCTCGGGGGATACATTCCAAGACCTCTAGTGGATGCCTGAAACCACAGATAATACTGAACCCTCTATATACTATGCACACATTTCCTTTTCCTCATTAACAGTTTCATGGGTAAAAGATTTATTCTTACCATAGATCTTAGCAACCTCAGCATATAGTTTTTTTTCTTTCCTTTTGAAATCAAGAAGTTTTCACATTTTCACTTAAAGCATTTTACAGTTTCTCTTTGGCAGATCCAAATCACCTGCATCGCTACTTTTGTGCTTTGGGGCCATTATGAAGTAAAATAAGAGTGACTTGAACACAAGTACTCTGATACTGCAACAATGTATCTGATAACTGAGAAAGCTTTAATGGGCAGGTAGTACCAACAGTGTGGATACAAAGGGATGATTCATGTTCTTGCCTAGAGAGAGCAGCATGGTACGAGAGTTCATCATGCTACTCAAAATGGTGTGCAATTTAAAACTCACAAATTGTTTATTTCTGGAATTTTCTATTTAATATTTTTGGACTGATGTTGACTACAGGTTACTGAAACCACAGAAGATGAAACCATGGATAAGTGCGACTACTGTTATTTATAAACAAAGACATTTATTGCTCACAGTCCTAGAGGCTGGGGAGTCCAAGATCAAAGCGCTGGACATTCTGTGTCTGATGAGAGCCCTCATCACCTAATCACCTCCCAAATGTCCCACCTCTTAATTGCCAAGTAGTCAATAAAATATCAGATGTGAGGCTCGGCAGAGAGGACAGAACCTTGAAGGTATTATTTCAACATATGAATTCTGGAGGGACAAAAACATTCAGACCATAGCACCATCTAATCAAAAATAGGCTACCCTTCCTATTCTAATTATTTTCTCTGTGGGGTAAGGATTGCACTCATCACCAGCTATACTTACTTATCTTACCATTTCCTCCAAAGACTTAAGTTCCATGAAGTTAGAGCCATGTGAGTTTTGTTCCCACTCTTTACTCAGCACCAACCACAGTGCCTGGTGCATGGTTGATATTCCTCTAAACTTGTTGAATAAGTATATGAATGAATTTAGAGTGTTTTGTCACTGCCAACCATGTAAACACCTATCCATTTTCAAGCAATGTGTATTTATATTAATTTGAAAGACTTCTATGGCATACTTATAAAGGATCATTTTATCAGTATTAGGTACAGTGTCTAGGGCCTATAGGCTTTTTGGGGATCAACGAACTGTTTGAAACCTGAAAATAAAATGTACTGATTCCAGAATGTAAACCGTACAGGTAGGAATTAATTAATGCTAAGGCCAGGCACAGTGGCTCACGCCTGTAACCCCAGTTCTTTGGGAAGCTGAGGCAGGTGGATTGTTTGAGTTAGGAGTTCGAGACTAGCCTGGGCAACATGGCAAAACTCTGTCTCTACAAAAAATACAAAAATTAGCGAGGCATGGTGGCACGTGCCTGTAGCCCCAGCTACTTGGGGCCTGAGGTGGGAGGATCACTTGAGTCCGGGAGGTCAAAGTTGCAATGAGCCAAGATCATGCCAGTGCACTCCAGCCTGGGCAACAGAGCAAGAGCCTGTCTCGATAATAAAATAAATAAATGCACACATACTTTTTTTTTTTTTTTGAGATGGAGTTTCACTCTTGTTGCCCAGGCTGGAGTGCAATGGCGTGATCTCGGCTCACTGCAACCTCCACCTCCTGGATTCAGGTGATTCTCCTGCCTCAGCCTTCTGAGTAGCTGGAATTATAGGCACCTGCCACCATGCCTGGCCTTTTTTTTTTTTTTTTTTTTTTTTTTTTTTGGATTTTTATTAGAGACAGAGTTTCACCATGTTGGCCAGGCTGGTCTTGAACTCTTGACCTCAGGTGATCCACCTGCCTCTGCCTCCCAAAGTGCTGGGATTACAGGCATGAGTCACTGTGTCCAAACCCACACGTACATACTTAATTCAATGTCTACAAAGCAACTTTTTTCTTAACTAATCAACTGCAATTCAACTCTTCTATACCTAGAAATTATATTTGATGTGGGATTTGGTTTCATTCAATATGTTTAATATGATGTTATCTTATTTAGTTCCTTAGGGAGCCCTCTTCTTCCCTGTTGGGAATAGGCCCCCAAAATCTGGTCATAAACTGGCCCCAAAACTGGCCATAAACAAAATATCTGCAACACTGTGACATGTTCGTGATGGCCATGACGCCCACGCTGGAAGATTGTGGGTTTACCAGAATGAGGGCAAGGAACACCTGGCCCACCCAGAGCAGAAAACCCCTTAAAGGTGTTCTTAAACCACAAACAATAGCATGAGCGATCTGTGCCTTAAGGACATGCTCCTGCTGCAGATAACTAGCCAAACCCATTCCTTTATTTCAGCCCATCCCTTTATTTCCCGTAAGGAATATCTTTAGTTAATCTATAGAAACAATGCTTATCACTGGCTTGCTGTCAGTAAATATGTGGATAAATCTCTGTTCGAGGCTCTCAGCTCTGAAGGCTGTGAGACCCCTGATTTCCCACTCCGCACTCTATATTTCTATGTGTCTGTCTTTAATTCCTCTAGTGCCGCTGGGTTAGGGTCTCCAGGACCGAGCTGGTCTTGGCAAGTGGCGCCCATACGTGGGGGCTCAAACCCAGGTCGAAGAGTCATCAGAGCAATGGTTGGAGAATGTGGAGCTAAGCTGGAGGACACCCAAGTACTCTTAAAGCAATCCCCGTGGTGGGTAAGAAGGGGAGCTCAGAAGCATCAGGGTAACAATGGGACAAGTGTGGGCTCTGGTTCGTTCCACTTTGGAACCTTTTCACACTGATGATGAGGAAGGAGAGTATAACGAGATAACAGAAGAGGTTACAGAGGAGGTTTATTTGCCAGCTAAAGCTAAAGTGGCAAAGGAGGGAGAGGTTCATCCCTACCCTTCTGCACCCCCTCATTATTATTTTGAAGAAAAAGAGTGGCCTCACCCTCCAGATCTTTCTTTTCTGGAGGACACTGAGTGAAAAGTAGTTGCCCCAGTGACTGTTCGAGCAGCGCCTCCAGCGACCACTCTCAGTTCTATTCAGGCAGGAATTCAGCAAGCTAGACGAGAGGGTGATATAGAGGCTTGGCAGTTCCCTGTTAGAATACACCCACCTGATCAACAGGGAACTATTACAGCTACATTTGAGCCTTTTCCTTTTAAATTACTCAAAGAATTTTAAACAAGCTATTAATCAGTATGGACCAGGTTCTCCTTTTGTAATGGGACTGTTAAAGAATGTTGCTGTTTCCAGTCGGATGAGTCCTACTGACTGGAACACTCTTACTCGAGCTGGTCTAATTCCCACTCACTTCTTACAATTTAAAACTTGGTGGGCAGATGAAGCTTCCATTCAGGCTGCTCGCAACACCCAGGCCCAACCTCAAATTAATATAACTGCAGACTAACTTTTGGGGGTCAGCGGCTGGGCTGGTTTAGATGTAGAAGTGGTCATGCAGGATGATGCCATAGAACAGCTTAGAGGAGTGTGCATTAGAGCCTGGGAAAAAAAATCACTTCAGGTGGAGAGCAATAACCTTCCTTTAGTGCTGTAAAGCAGGGACCAAAAGAACCATATGACGATTTTATAGCTCGGTTACAGGAGTCTCTTAAAAAGGTAATTGCAGATTTGGCTGCTCAAGATAAAGTGTTGTGGTTATTAGCTTTTGACAATGCTAATCCCGATTGCCAGGCTGCTCTGCCACCTATTAGAGGGAAAGCACATTTAGTTGATTATATCAAGGCCTGTGATGGTATCGGAGGTAATCTGCATAAAGCTACTTTGTTGGCACAGGCAATGGCAGGACTGAGAGTGGATAAAGGAAATACTCCATTTCCTGGAGAACTGTGGGAAGCATGGTCATACTAAAAAAGAATGTAGAAAAAAATCAGGAAGTCAGGCCACCAGATGGGGGAAAAAAGAAAACTGCTGAGCCTGAAGTATGTCCAAAATGCAAAAAGGAAAACATTGGGCTAACCAGTGTCATTCTAAGTTTGATAAAGATGGGAACCCGATTTCGGGAAACACCCTGAGGGGCCCATCCCGGCCCCATTCCAAACCAGGGCATTTGTGGCTCAGGCCATTCCCTCACCCCGTACAATGTCTGTCCCCTGCCACAGCCGGTAGTGCCGCAGTAGATTTATGCTGCACAAAAGCTGTGAGCCTTCTGACTGGGTAACCCCTGCAAAACGCCCCAACAGGAGTCTGTGGACCCTTGCCAGCAGCGATGATAGGATTACTTTTAGGAAGGTCTAGTTTAAATTTAAAAGGGGTACAAGTACAAACAGGAGTCATTGATTCAGATTACAATGGGGAAATTCAAATTGTTATATCTACTTCCGTTCCCTGGAAAGCAGAGCCAGGAGAACTCAGAGCACAGCTCCCGATTGTGCCGTATGTGGGAATGGGGAAAAATGAAATTAAATGAACAGGAGGATTTGGAAGCACGAATAAGCAAGGCAAAGCAGCTTATTGGATAAATCAAATTACTGATAAATGTCCTACCTGTGAAATAACTATTCAGGGAAAGAAATTTAAAGGTTTGGTAGATATAGGAGCGGACATTTCAATCATTTCTCTACACACTGGCCATCCGCGTGGCCAATTCAACCCACTCAATTTAACATAGTTGGAGTTGGTAAAGCCCCTGAAGTATATCAAAGTAGTTATATTTTGCATTGAGAAGGGCCCGATGGACAACCTGGGACTATTCAACCAATTATAACTTCTGTACCTATAAGTGTATGGGGAATAGATTTGTTACAGCAATGGGGAGCACAAGTTCTAATTCCTGAACAATTATATAGCCCTCAAAGTCAACATATAATGCATGAAATGGGGTATGTCCCTGGTATGGGACTAGGAAAAAGTTTGCAAGGTTTAAAGGAACCGCTTCAAGTGGAAAGACAAAGTTCCCACCAAGGTTTAGGATATCATTTTTGATGGTGGCCATTGTTAAGCCTCCAGAATCTGTACATTTAAAATGGTTAACAGAGTAGCCAATTTGGATAAAACAATGGCCGCTAAGTAGAGAAACTTGAGGCTTTAGAGGAATTCGTTACTGAACAATTAGAAAACGGGCGCATAGCTCCAATATTTTCCAGTTTTCGTAATTAAGAAAAAATCAGGTAAATGGAGAATGTTAACTGACTTAAGAGCCATTAATTCAGTTATACAACCTTAAAATAATAACTTGGGGTAGACGTTATGCTTGTGTTTCTCCAGGACCAAATCAACAGCCGATTTGGATACCATCAAGACACCTGAAAACTTATCATGAACTAGATGCTGAGGAAGAGATTCTGGGAGGATCCTGAGGACCCCCCAATTACAGCCACGTTGAGAGTGATGCTGAGGAGGACCCCAATTGTCACGAGCAACACCCATCAAACACAGCCACCCACCTGAGGACAGATCAAGAAGCTGTCACAGATGGCAGAAGAAAACTTGAGAAAAGCGGGACAACCAGTCACAATGAGTAATTTAATGGTAGCTATGATGTGGTGATCACCATTGCCGTAAGTATTCCTTCAACAAGGGCTGACACAAAGAACAATTATACTTATTGGGCATATTTATCAATCTTGGCTGGCAATAATGCCTGGATGTAATCAGTCTATGACACAGTTACACATGCTTTCTGACCTCAGTATTTACCATAATAAATCTGCTCCTATAACTGAGGCATACCACCCTCAAAAACCTATTTGTAAACAGAATTGGACCTGGCCAGAATTAATGGACGTACTTGTTTGGGAAGATTGCATTGCAGAACAGGCAGAGGTGCTGTGCAACGATTCCTATGGAATCATTATTAATTCGTCCCCAAGGGGATGTTTAGCTTGAATTGCACCTCTCAGTCTGCATGCCATGGCCACACTATATTCAGCTGGTCTGAACAAAACAGTCAGATGGTAGAAACGGTAAGAAGTATGGCAAGAGTTCCTATTATCTGGAACCATGGTGGTATAGTGGCACCTCAACCTCAAATGATACGTCCCACTGTAGGAGCTAAACATAAGGATTTGTGGAAACAATTAATAGCTCTTAATAAGATCAAAATTTGGGAAAGAATAAAAAAGCATCTAGAAGGACACTGTACAAACTTGTCTTTGGATATCACAAAATTAAAAGAACAAATATTTAAAGCATCCCAGGCACACCTGACATTAATGCCAGGAACTGGAGTGCTTGAAGGAGCTGCAGACAGATTAGCAGCTAGTAACCCATTAAAATGGATAAAAACACTTGGATGCTCTGTGATTTCAATGATGATTGTGCTTTTAATCTGTGTTGTTTGTCTTTGTGTAGTCTGCAGATGCATATCCTGACTCCTGTGAGAAGTAGCTCACTGTGACAAAGCTGCCTTTGCTTGTATTGTTTTGTAAATCAAAGAAGGGGGACATGTTGGGAATAGGCCCCCAAAATCTGGCCATAAACTGGCCATAAACAAAATATCTGTAGCACTATGACATGTTCGTGATGGCCATGATGCCCACACTGGAAGGTTGTGGTTTTACTGGAATGAGGGCAAAGAACACCTGGCCCACCCAGGGCGGAAAACTGCTTAAAGGCATTCTTAAACCACAAACAATAGCATGAGCGATCTGTGCCTTTAGGACATGCTCCTGCTGCAGATAACGAGCCAGAGCCCATCCTTTTATTTCGGCCCATCCCTTTATTTCCCATAAGGAATACTTTTAGTTAATCTAAAATCTATAGAAACAATGCTTATCACTGGCTTGCTGTCAATAAAGACGTGGGTAAATCTCTGTTTGAGGCTCTCAGGTCTCAGCTCTGAAGGCTGTGAGACCCCTGATTTCCCACTCTATACGCTTTATTTCTGTGTGTGTGTCTTTAATTCCTCTAGTGCTGCTGGGTTAGGGTCTCCATGACCAAACTACTCTCGGCATTCCCATTAACTGTTTTATTGTTGCCTAAGACTTTGTGCCTTCTGTGGCCTAGAATAAGCCACCCATCTGCTTGCAAACATCCTTTCACAGAGAGCCAACTTAAGCAGTTCCACTCTTCCAAAATCCTTTTTGATTCCCTATTTCTGCAGGTGATTGTTTCTTTCTTTATCCCCTACCATACACCTGTGCACCTACAGTTCATTAAGAAAGGTATTTATTTCCATTTCTGTCTCTCCAGTAGACTGAGAGCAACATGAGTGCAGGGACCATGTCTTACTCATCCCCATATTCCTAGTGCTTAGCAAAGAGTCTGTCATAAAGTGGTAGCCCAATAATGCTCATAATGTTAATTATTCAATCACTTTACCTTCAGCTACATTCAACCAGCCAGCTTTATATGCCATGCTTTTACATGCTTTATCTGATTTTCATAACAGTTCTGTTGAGATAGGCCTAATTATGTCTAGTTTTAAGGTGAAGCTTAGTCCCAGAGAGGTGATGTGACTTGCTCAAAGTTCCCCAATCAATAAGATTCTTTTGGATTTTCTTCTCTGTGCAGAGCAGTCTCTGATATGTTTGGGTCTATGTCCCCACCCAAATCTCATCCCCAGTTATAATCCCCATGTATTGAGGAAGGGAAGTGACTGGATTATGGGAACGGTTTCCCCATGCTGTTCTCGTGATCATTCTCACATGATAGTTCTCATGAGATCTGGTGGTTTTATAAATGGTGTTTTCTTCCTGCGCTCTTACTTCTCTTTCCTGTCACCTTGTAAAGAAGGTACTTGCTTCTCCTTTGCCTTCCACCATGACTGTAAGTTTCCAGAGGCCTCTCCAGCCATGCAGAACTGTGAGTCAATTAAACCTCTGTCCTTTATAAATTACCGGTCTCGGGTAGTTCTTTATAGCAGTGTGAAAACGGACGAATACAGTCTCTCACTAAAAGATGGTCCTTGCCCTGAAGATGCTCATGTCAGATTTTCCTGTCCTTTATTGACAACTTGCTCATGCAAGTGACTTTGGAGAGGGAAAACAACTGATCAGGGACAGCCCTGGAATGCCCTGGGCTCAGGAGATGGATCGCTACTAGCCAAGAGATGTCTTGCCTCTAGGAAGTCTCTTCTGTATTACTTGTCAAGAAAAGATTCTCTTGAAATGTTTCCCCTCTACACTTTGATATCCTCAAAACCTTTTTTTTTTTTTTCCAAGACGGAGTTTCACTCTTGTTGCCCAGGCTGGAGTGCAGCGGCATAATCTCAGCGCACTGCAACCTCTGCCCCCTGGGTTCAAGTGATTGTCCTGCCTCAGCCTCCTGAGTAGCTGGGATTACAGGTGTCCACCACCATGCCCAGCTAAATTTTTGCATTTTTCATAGAGACAGGGTTTCACATGTTGGCCAGGCTAGTCTTGAACTGCTGACCTCAGATGATCCACCCACCTCGCCTTCCCAAAGTGCTAGGATTACAGGCATGAGCCACCACAGCCAGCCTCCTCAAAATCTTTTAAACAAATATTTACTGGGTATATAGTATGTATTCAGCAGTGTTCTATGTGCTACGGATACAGTAATCAACAAAACAAAGTCTTTCCCTTGTAGAGCTCATGTTGTAAAGGGGGCAGGAAAATGAATTGAGAAATAGATACATAAGAGGTACTGATACGAAAAAAAGTAGCATAAGGAGGAGAGTTGTGGTGAGGAAGGGGAATCTTGGTTTTTGCCTTAAGAACCTGCCTCCAGCTGGGTGCAGTTCCTTATGCCTATAATCTCAGCACTTTGGGAGGCTGAGGCAGGAGGATCGCTTGACACCAGGAGTTTGAGATCAGCCTGGCCAACATGGCAAAACCCCATCTCTATAAAAAAAATATAAAAATTAGCTGGGCATGGTGGCACATGCCTATAGCCCCAGCTTCTCAGGAGGCTGAGGTGGGAGGATCACTTGAGCTGGGGAGATAGAGGTTGCAGTGAGCCAAGGTTGTGCCACTGCACTCCAGCCTGGGTGACAGAGCCAGACCCTATCTCAAAAAAAGAAAAAGAAAAGAACCTGCTTCCCTTCCTCCTGGTCACATTCTTGTTTCCCCTTTTCAGTCCACAGAGTTGTCTGTCCACAGTTGGGAAATGAGATTTTTCATTAACTTAGTGAAGAAAATACGACAGCATGATGACTGGAAAGGTAAATAGTATACTATGTCAATGAAACAAAACCACGCTTCCAAAAGCAATGTTTTTAGTGCATGTCATGATTAATGTTACACCAAAATGTGTTTTGGTTTCCATAGTGCAGTTCCTCAATCAGAAAGCCAGTTTTTATTCTGCTTATCTCCAGAGCTTTTGTTTGCCTTTTGCTCACCCTAGCCCCGCTAAACCAGATAAAAAGACCAGAGACAGCCTGGTTGAGATTACTCTTGGAGGAAGGCATCAGTTAAGGACACTGGAAAAGACAGGCTCTTTTGTTCTGGTTCCTAATGGAGTGGCTTTGGCTGTTCTTTCTCCATCCTATATCGTTTTACCAGGGGGCTGCATTTCCCTTTGCACTTCTCTTCAATTATCTCTGCATCATGGATTCATTCTCCACTCGTGCCAGGTAGGCTGGATGGCTATTTTTACTCTTACATCCAGAAATACTATAGTGACTGGGTGCGGTGGCTCACGCCCGTAATCCCTGCAATTTGGGAGGCTGAGGCGGGCAGATCACTTGAGGCCAGGGGTTTGAGAACTGCCTGGCCAACATAGCGAAACCCTGTCTCTAATGCAAATACAAAAAAAATTAGCTGGGCATGGTGGCTCATGCCTGTAGTTCCAGCTCCTCGGGAGGGAGGCAGGAGACCTGCTTAAGCCCAGGAGGTGGAGGTTGCAGTGAGCCGAGATGGCGCCATTGCACTCCAGCCTGGGCAACGGAGCAAGCCTCTATCTAAAAAAAAAAAAAATTCAGAAATACTATAGTAGGGCAAAAAGCAGAGTAGACTGCAGATGTGAAGATTACAATATATTAATTACACTTGTTTTTAACTTACTCTCACTGTCACTGATTATTGATATTTGATAATGAATATATATAACAGAGTAAAACTAAACTGGAAATTCACATCCTTCCTGCACTGATGTAAGGTTTGCTGGGTTCAGGTTAAATGGCAGATGAGTGAAAATAAACTCTCAGGAGAGATGGTTGTTGCGATGGTACAGGAATTCTCCAAATGGATACATCTCTGTCAACCATGGATCTCAGATATTCTTGAATAGTCCTAATTTTATGGAATTTTATCATTTTCAATCAAATTAAATTTTATATAAAGTTACATCAGTATAAGTTTTATTATAACTAAATGTGATTTTTAAAGTGCCTTTATATGAATTCTCAGAGAAATGAAATAAGTCAAAATGAATCTTGTTAGATTAGCTATATGATAATTTGAAGTTCAAAAATTATCACTAGAGATGTGATGACTTGATTGTAATGATTTTTTAAATATCAAATAACCTCAACACATTAGAGACAGCACCTATTTTTTTAGATTGCTCATATAAGATTTTATGTTTTTAACATAGTCAAAAGGCAAGAACTTAACTGAACATAGAACAGAAATGGTGAGTGTACTGTTAACATGGCTACATGATTTTCTGTTAAATTGAAAAGTCGCAAATACATTTTTTATTTTATTTATTTTTATATATATATATATATATATATATATATATATATTTTTTTTTTTTTTTTTTTTGAGACGGAGTCTCGCTCTGTCGCCCAGGCTGGAGTGCAGTGGCACGATCTCGGCTCACTGCAACCTCCACCTCCTGGATTCAAGGGATTCTCCTGCCTCAGCCTCCCCAGTACCTGGGACTATAGGTGCACACCACCATGCCCAGCTAATTTGAAATACATTTTTAAAAATAATTCCAATTTTTATTTTAGATTCAAGGGGTACATGTGTAGGTTTGTTACGTGGGTATATTGTATGATGCTGAGGGTTGGGGTATGATTGATCCCATCACCCAGGTAGTGAGCACAGTACCCAAGAGTTAGTTTTTCAACCCTTTTTCCCTGACAGTCCCTATTTTTAACAAGGTTTTGTGGAATGTCCTTTTGTAAAGTGAAAATCTGTTGCCAAAGGGCCACTTCCTAATAATTCACTTATTTTGGGAATTAGGATTTTTATATATTGGGATTCTTAAATAAAATATAGCTGTATCTAACGATCAGTTAGGATTGTGGAATTTGATTAAACAATGGTATGATCAAGTGTTCACAACTGTCTCATGGCCCTTAACTTCACTAATGGAGATTGGAGTTGGGGGACAGCTGTAAAGAAGTTTCCTTTTGAGAAAGATTCTCAAAACAATAAAGCAACATGAGTGCAAAAATAAGGATTAATCCTCATGGAGTTACCTTAGGGTGAAGATTGCTCAGTTTCTGGCTGGATGCAGTGGCTCACACCTGTAATCCCAGTAACTGGGAGGCAGAGGCAAGTGGATAGCTTGAGCCCAGGAGTTTGAGACCTGCCCGGGCAACATGACAAAATCCCTGTCTCTACAAAAAGTACAAAAAATTAGCCAAGTGTGGTGGTACATGCCTGTAGTCCCGGCTACTTAGGAGCCTGAGGCAGGAGGATCCCTTGAGCCCAAGAGGTTGAGGTTGTAGTAAGTCGTGATTATGCCACTGCACTCCAGCCTGGGCAGCAGGGAGAGACTCTGTCAAAAAAATAAAAATAAAATAAAAAAGACTTCTCACTTTGGATTCAGCCTGTTGAGTCTTGACTCCCTCACCTAACTAAGTGTCCTTGTGTATATCAATATACTTCACCCAAATGCCCTCTTCTTATCTGTAGAACAGAAAACATAATGCCTATCTCATGGGGTTATTTTAAGTATTAAATAAATATATTTCTCGTAAAGGGTTATTAGCACTATGCCTAGAATGAAATATGCAATCGCTAAGTCACACATTGCTAAGTCACACATTCTACATTGTCCATGTACAGACAATTTAATGTTTATAAATCTCCTAGGGGAGTTGCCTGTGGGTGGGAGTGTTGCTGTGTAAAGGATAAATGTTCCCCCTTTTGTTTTCCCATAGCAGGGAAGTAAAGGCTTGGACCACAATGTTAACTGGGGTGTTGAGGGGGGAAGTCACCCCAAGCATAGGTTCAAAGAGAAGCACAAGAATGGTCCAGGCTTTTGAGTCATAGATGCTCTCACACTGAGACACTTAACGCTCTCCCCCAAGGAAAAAAGTGGTTCTTGCTAACCTGTACTTGGCACTGTGCCCGGAGCCGTGACACACATTTGCCTTGCAATGGTGTTTCCTGGTTCTGAGCTGGTAGAGAAATCCTAGGCTTCTTTGAGTCGCTTTCCCAGCGAGTCAAAAGGACCAGTGAGTCCTTTTTTCTTTTCTTTTATTTTCGCTTTTCTTTTCTTTCTTTTCTTTTCTTTTTGAAACAGAGTCTCTCTCTGTCACCCAGGCTGGAATGCAGCAGTGCGATCTCAGCTCACTGCAACCTCTGCCTCCTGAGCTCAAGCGATTCTCCTGCCTCAGCCTCCTGAGTAGCTGGGATTACAGGGGCCCGCCACCATACCCTACTAATTTTTTTTGTATTTTTAGTAGAGACAGGGTTTCACCATGTTAGCCAGGCTGGCCTCGAACTCCTGACTTCAAGTGATCTGCCTGCCTCAGCCTCCCAAAGTGCTGGGATTACAAGCATGAGCCACCACGCCCTGCTATTCCACACTTTTTCTGACCCCTTCATTCAGTTTTATTAACTAGGCACCAATTAAAAAACAAGCCTCCATATAATGCAGAAGGAAGAACCAAGTGTGCGTAATGTGAAGCTTCCCAGGCCTCTGCAGATCTGCATCTCCTTGGCTTCTGAGAGAGGCATGATTCACAAACCATTTCATCAATGTGGGTATTTTACAACATTAAAAAAACAATGGCCAGGCACCCTGGCTCATGCCTGTAATCCCAGGACTTTGAGAAGCTGAGGCAAGAGGATTGCATGAGTCTGGGAGTTCAAGACCAGCCTGGGCAACATGGCAAATCCCCATCTCTACAAAAAATATTAAAAAAATTAGCCAGGTATGGTGGTGCGTGTCGATAGTCCCAGTTACTAGGGAGGCTGAGGTGGGAGGATTTCTTGAGCCGGGGGGGTCAAGGCTGCAGTGAGTCATGATCGTGCCACTGCACTCCAGCCTGGGCAACAGGGACCCTGTCTCAAAAACAAGACAAAACACTGCTCTTTTCCTCCCTGGCCACCTGAAAATTGGCCACTATCATGAAAGACACAGCAGCTACCCATTCAAAGGAGTTCTTAATCAACTGACAACTTTGGTGGAAACATACGGTCGTGGTCACCCTTCACTCTGGGAAGGCAACAGTAATAAGAAAGAAATTTGGGAAAAACCAGCCAAAATGTACAAGATCTCATGGACATGATATATAAGATGGAGATCGTCTTTGTTTAGATTCTGACCCCATTTTGTTGTAGCAAGATAAGTGGCATGATTTATGATTCCCTGGATTATGTAAAGAAAAGTGAACCCAAGCATAAACTTGCAAGACATAGCCCAGATGAGAGAAAAAGACATCAAGAAAACAGCAAAAGGAATGCAAGGACAGAATGAAGAAAGTCAGGGGGCCCCAAAAGCCAGTGTTGGTGCTGACAAAAAAGAGTCCAGATTCTGCAGTGGCCGGGCGCGATGGCTTATGCCTGTAACCCCAGCATTTTGGGAGGCTGAGGTGGGCGGATCACCTTAGGTACAGTGTCTAAGACTGTACCAGGAGTTCAAGACAGCGTCTAAGACTGAGGCCAGGAGTTAGAGACCAGCCTGGCCAACATGGCAAAACTCCATCTCTACTAAAAATACAAAAATTAGCCAGGCATGGTGGCAGGTGCCTGTAATCCCAGCTACTCAGGAGGCTGAGGCAGGAGAATTGCTTGAACCCAGGAGACGGAGGTTGCAGTGAGCAACATCGCACCTCTGCACTCCAATCCGGGCAACAGAGCGAGACTCTGTCTAAAAAAAAAGATTCTGCAATGACTTCATCTGCGGTGATTGTGCAGATTTTTCGTGACAGGATATAATAAACTGTAACAACTTTTTGGGTTTTTTTAGAGACAAGATTTTGCACTGTTACCCAAGCTGAAGTGTAATGGTGTCATCATCGCTCAAGTGCAGCCTCTAACTCATGGGCTCAAGTGATCCTCCCACCTCAGACTCCTGAGTAGCTAGGACTACAGGTGTGCCACCATGCATGGCTATTAAACAAATTTTTTTTTTGTAGAGATGGGATCTTGCTATATTGCCCAGGCTGGTCTCAAACTCTGGCCTCAAGTGATCTTCCCTCCTTGGCCTCCCAAAGTGCTGAGATTACAGGTGTGAGCCACTGTGCCTGGCCTAAACTTTAATAAGTATAAACTTTAATAAAACAAAACAAAATCCTAACTCATAAGATCTTAAAGTGCAGTAGTAAGGATGAAGGGTGGATATAAAGATTTTTCTGAGTTTTCACTTTTCGAAGGGAAGTGTTGAGTCTCCTTTCTCTGTCAGCCTCTGGAATGCTTCCGGGTAGCACGACCCTGTGAAAAGGAAGGTACTTGTCTTGAGAGGATGCCTAGGGCGCTCTTCTAGATCCTTGACACTAGGTTCACAGCACTTTTCAGTCAGATGACGTACCAGGAGATTTCAAAGATGTCCTTGCTAGCCAGACTTCCAGGACGGTCAGGGGCAGGCGGTGGAATACCTTGGGAGGGAATCGCTTGAATGGAGGGCATCAAAGAGAGGTTCCAGGGCCACTAAGGCAGGAACTGAGATTTGTCTCCAGGCCAGGGGGGTGGCTCATGCCTGCAATTGTAGGATTTTGGGAGGCCGAGGGAGGAGGATCGCTTGAGGCCAAGAGTTTGAGACTGGGCGACACACCAAGACCCCATCTCTAAAAAAATAAAAAGCTAACCAGGCATGGTGGTGCATGCCTGTAGTCCCTCCCAGGTAGGAGGATCACTTGAGTCCAGGAGGTCAGGGCTGTGGTGAGCCATGATTGCAACTCTATACTCACCCTGGGTGACAGAGAGAGACCCTGTCTCAAAAAAAAAAAAAAGATTTGTCTCCAAGGTGGAAATTTACAAATTTACCCTGGCTCCTTCTCCCGTGATTCTTTTCTTCTGAAGAACAAAAGGAAGGCCCCAGAGTGCAAACAGCATGGCTACTTTAGGTGTTGTGTGGGGCCTACCAGATCGGGTTCCCTGGAGTGACATCTGCAGTAATTCCTTTGCTGTGCCGTTCTAAGTCATTCTCCCCAAGGTGTCCCTTCTCTTTCAGGTACCTCTTTCTCCTGACTGGAGGAGGTGCCCTGGCCGTGGCTGCCATGGGTTCCTACGCCGTGCTCGTCTTCACCCCTGCTGTCTGCGCTGTGGCTCTCCTCTGTTCCCTGGCTCCTCAGCAAGTCCACAGGTGGACCTTCTGCTTTCAGATGAGCTGGCAGACCTTGTGTCACCTAGGTCTGCACTACACTGAGTATTATCTGCATGAGCCTCCTTCTGTGAGGTAAGCAGCCTGTTCGTTGGTCATGCTCAGCCCACCTACAGTTTGCTTGCACCACGGTGGTAGCAGAGAGAACCTGGGTGTTGGGTTGGAGTCCTAATTTTTCCACATTTGACCAGTGTGACCTTGAGCAAGTCATTTTACCTCTTTCAGACTCATTTCTTTTTCTGGAAAAGATATGGGGCTAACAATACTGTGTTGCAAGATTGTTGTGAATGTTAGTGTAACCGCCCAGTGGGTTCACCTTCTCCACTGCCTAGACAAACAGGGGAATTGCAGTAAAGAAAGAGTAATTCACAGAGAGCTGGCTGTGCGGGAGACAGGCCAGTTTTATTATTACTCCAAGCTTTGGGGTAATCATAATCAGTTTCCCTGAGCATTTGGGGATCTGAGTTTTTAAGGATAATTTGGTGGGTAGGGGGAGGCCAGTGAGTTGACAGTGCCGCTTGGTTGGGTTGGAGATGAAATCATAGGGAGTCAGAACAGTCTTCTTGCATTGAGTCAGCTCCTGGGTGGGGGCCACAAGATAAGACGAGCCAGTTTATCGGTCTGGGTAGTACCAGCTGATCCATCAAGGGCAGGGTCTACAAAACATCTCAAGCACTGATGTTAGGCCTTAGAATAGTAATGTTATCCCCAGGAGCAATTGGAGGAGTGTCAGAATCTTGTCATCTCCAGCTGCATGACTCCTAAACCATAATTTCTAATCTTTCGGCTAATTTGTTAATCCTACAAAGGCAGTCTAGTTTCCAGGCAAGAAGGGGGTTTGTTTTGGGAAAGGTCTGTGATTGTCTTTGTTTTAAACTGTAAGCTATTAACTAAGTTCCTCCCAAAATGAGTCCCGGGAATGAACAAGGACAGCTTGGAGGTTAGAAGCAAGATGGAGTTGGTTAGGTCAGACTTCTTTCACTGTCTCAGTTATAATTTTGCAATGGCAGTTTCATTAGAATGAATATAAATGTGATTTTGTGACTAATCATCACTGCCACGTGTTGCCTACATGGTGCAGTGTCTGGCACTGAGCAGTAGTTGTCATTGTGCCTGAGAGGGAGGGCAAAGCAGGAATCCTAGAGCCCACAGAGCAGGCCTGCCCAGAAGTGACTCAGCACTGTCTGCCAGCCTCAGCACGGGTTGAGTGGACACTCTGCTTGCAGGTAACAATCTTCTCATGGCGGCTGCTGGGAGAGGCAGCTGCTGTGTCAGTGTTTCTCTTCCTTCAGACTCAGCTGTTCCCATCTTGCTGAAGAAGGGTAGGCGCCCCATCTAGAAAACAGAAATCAAGAGCTAATTACAGTCTAGAGAAGTGTTGTCATGAATCAGCAAGATCCCTGAGATGAGAGGAAACATTGCTTTGTGATCTGGAGATCTCATGTTCCTGGCTCTCTCTGGTGATCACAATTGGCTTCAGGGTCACTTGGAGCACAGAGGCTGTGATGCTCCAGGCGGTCACCTATCTGATTCTAGCCTGCGGTTGGTTCACTTGCTTTGCCATCCTCCTGACTATACCTAGAATTTTTTTTTTTAATTTTCCTGTAAAGACTATTTTCAGCCAGGCACAGTGGCTCACTCCTGTAATCCCAACACTTTGGGAGGCTGAGGCAGGCAGATCACTTGAGGCCAGGAGTTCAAGACCAGCCTGGCCAACATGGCAAAACCCCGTCTCTGCTAAAAATACAAAAATTAGCTGGGCATAGTGGCGGACGCCTGGAATCCCAGCTACTCGGGAGGCTGAGACAGGAGATCGCATCACTGCACTCCAGCCTGGGTGACAGAGGGAGACACTGTCTCAAAAAAAAAAAAAAAAGTTCGGGGGGAGAGACTATTTTCACCAAAGGCTTCAGGTTGGCTGCTCTAAGGAAAAGGCAAGATGGCAGGTGGGTGGGGCGTAGGAAGTACCAAATGGGATGGAGTGAATCAGGATTTCAGTAGGGAGCTGGGGCCTGATGGGGCTGGGAGAGCAAGTTGAACAGGATCTGGCTGGATGCGAGGCAGGCTGGAGCAGACCTGGAATGGGGGGCTCTGCTAGTCGGGCAGGGCTGCTGCCATCACACAGTGCCACAGACTGGGTGGCTCAAACAACAGAAATTCATTTCCTCACAGTTCTGGAGGCTGGAAGTCACTGATGATGACGTCAGCAGGGCTGGGTTCTTCTGAGGCCATTCTCGTGGCTTGCGGGTGGCAGTGTCCCTGTATGTCCGCGTGATGGTCACTCCTCTGTCTGTGCATGTGTCTGTGTCCTAATTGTCTGTTCTCATAAGGACTCTGTGCATATTGGATTAGCGCCCATCCTAATGACCTCATTTAACCTTAATCACATCTTTAAAGACCCTAACTCCATATACAGTCACATTCTGAGGTACTGGGGTTAGACCATAAGCACAGGAATTTTGGGGGCACATTCAGTCCATAATAGAGAGTGAATGAGCAGGGTTTGGTGGCATTTGGAGGCTACCTTGCTTTCAGTGAGAATCAGTCAAGTGACGGGGTCAGTTTTTCTTAAATCTTCAGACACATGGATAGAAACAGCAGCAGTTAGAAGACTGTTGTTTTCTCTCCACAGGACAGCATTTCTGACTGTAGAGTGTGTCATTGTAATTTTCTTTCCTTTTTTTTTTTTTTTTCAGACAAGGTCTCACTCTGTTGCCCAGGCTGGAGCACAGTGGCATGCTCATGGCTCACTGCAGCCTCGACCTCCTGGGCTCAAGCAATCCTCCCACCTCAGCCTCCTCAGTAGCTGGGACCACAGGCATGCACCACCACATCGGGCTAATTTTCATATTTTTTGTAGAAACGGGGTTTTGCCATGTTGCCCAGGCTGGTCTCAAACTCCTGGGCTCAAGTGATCAGCCCACCTCACCTCAGCCTCCCAAAGTGCTGGGATTACAGGTGTGAGCCATTGTGCCCAGCCTAATTTTCATTCATTGTTCTCCTCAATAATCTTGCCAGTGGGATCTTTGATGGTGAAGCAGTAAGAGCTCAGGTGATTGGTTAAGGCCATATTTCAAATTGCTAATGGCTCAGCACACATTGTGATCCATTCCTCAGTACAAATCCCACATTAGGCAAAGTCCTACAGCCAGGGCCTGGTTCGTATTTAAAATCTTCAGCTTCCTATCTTTTCTTCACTACCGAGTTTTTATTTCCTCTACGGCAAATTTCTCCCAAGTCTCTGATCCTAATCTTTGTAGGCCTTTCTTGGAAATATTATAATCAACATTTCCCACAATGTTCCTCATCATTCTCTTATTTGCATCTCTAATGTTTAATTTCCCCATTTACATGATCCTGCCTGATGTCACCCTAAATAACAAATAGGAAGAGTCTCCCTAAAAGAAAATGATGGGGCTGGGCACAGTGGCTCACGCCTATAATCCCAGCCCTTTGGGAGGCTGAGGTGGGTGGATCACTTGAGGCCAGGAGTTTGAGACTAGCCAGGCCAACATAGTGAAATCCCATCTCTACAAAAAAAAAAAAAAAACCCACAAAAATTAACTAGGCGTGGTAGCGCATGTCTGAAGTTCCAGCTTCTCAGGAGGGAGAGGTGGGAGGATCACTTGAGTCTGGGAGGCAGAGGTTGCAGTGAGCCAGGATGGTGCCACTGCACTCCAGCCTGGGTGATAGAGTGAGACCGTGTCTCAGGAAAAACAAAACAAGAGAAAAGAAAAGAAAAAAGAAAAGGATGCTTATGGCTGGGAGCAGTGGCTCACACCTGTAATCCTAGCACTTTGGGAGGCCGAGGCGGGCAGATCTCCTGAGATGAGGAGTTCAAGACCAGCCTGGCAGACATGGCGAAACCCTGTCTCTACTAAAAATACAAAAATTAGCTGGGCGTGGTGGCGTGCACCTGTAATTCCAGCTACTCAGGATGCTGAAGCAGGAGAATCGCTTGAAGCCAGGAGGCAGCAGAGGTTGCAGTGGGCGGCTGAGATCGCGCCACTGCACTCCAGCCTGGGCCATAGAATGAGACTCTGTCTCCAAAAAAATAAAAAAAGAAAATGATACTTATTTAGGAATTGGGCATTACAGTGGGAATATGTGTGCCATCGTATGTGTTTTCAGGTAGGTAAAGGAAGACAAAGTTTTTTTTTGTTTTTTTTTTTGTTTTGTTTTTTTGAGATGCAGTCTCGCTCTATCACCAGGCTGGAATGCAGTGACACAATCTCGGCTCACTGCAACCTCCGCCTCCCAGGTTCCAGTGACTCTCCTGCCTCAGCCTCCCGAGTAGCTAGGACTACAGGTGTGCACCACCACACCCAGCTAATTTTTGTATTTTTAGTAGAAATGAGGTTTCACCATATCGGCCAGGATGGTCTCGATCTCTTGACCTCGTGATCCACCTGCCTCGGCCTCCCAAAGTGCTGGGATTACAGGCGTGAGCCACCACACCCAGCTGGTAAGAGAAAGTTTTTTAAGAGAAAAATAAGGAGCATTACATAATTGTTTTGAAATCATTATCTTTGAGTACAGGCTCAATGACAAGGGTGATGTCAGTCTGTGGTTGGGCAGGAAGTGGCTGGGCAGGTGACCTCACAAAAGTATTTTTTTGTATAGGGTTGCAATGGTTGTTATGCAAGGTTGTGGTTTTTGCAGTCTTTTGTGGTAGTTTTTGTTATCAGACATACAAGCATTGAGAACCCTCTCTTCATACCTTTTCCTGGCTCTGTTTGTCAGAAGTGTTTTGTTTTGTTTTGCTTTTTAACACAAGTGACTTCATTTTCTTTTCTCTTTCTTTTTTTTTTTTTTTTTGAGACAGGGTCTCACTTGGATGTGTAGGCTGGAGTGCAGTGGTGCAATCATAGCTCACTGCAGCCTTGAACTCCTGGGCTCAAGGGTTCCACCCACGTCAGCCTCCCAAAGTGATGGGACCCACTGCACCCAGCCATGATTCCATTTTTATTCCCACAACTTTCAAATTGGAGTAGTGTGTGGTTCTGAATTAATTCAAGAACCTTCAGCTGTTAAAGTAAAATTTCCCAGGCAAATTCTCCTATTCAGGATGGAAGATTTCAGGATGGAAGATGGGATGGATCTCTGAGATCCCTGGGAAGCTTCTCAAGTTGAACATGCGTGTAAATGTGTGCATCTAACCTTTTCTTTAAAACAAACAAAAAATATATATGCAAATATACACACATATTCATACAGATATACATATGCTTATTTATAAAACACACATGATCATTACAAAAAATTCAAACAACGCAAAAAGTGAAAGATTTTTTACGCTAATTTCATTCCCTAGAGGTAACTATTCTTAAAAGTTTGGGGTATATTAGTCTAGACTTAAGCTCCACTGTATACTTAAGATCTATAAATATTGCCAGGGGCGGTGGCTCATGCCTGTAATCCCAGCACTCTGGGAGGCCGAGACAGGCAGATTGCTTAAGCCCAGGAGTTTCAGATCAGCCTGGGCAACATAGTGAGACCCCATGTCTATAAAAAAATAAATAAATAAGATTGATTTATTTTATTTTAAGATTTATTTTGTGTGGGGTCCTGCAGGCCATGAGATTAATCTTAGCTGTACAGACCTATCTATTTCCTGCGAGATCATGTATGACAGACTGGAATAAGAGAGAGAGAATAAATACAGAGTGTTTTTATGTTCTTTAAAAAATTATCTTGCAGGTTCTGCATCACTCTTTCTTCTCTCATGCTCTTGACCCAGAGGGTCACGTCCCTCTCTCTGGACATTTGTGAGGGGAAAGTGAAGGCAGCATCTGGAGGCTTCAGGAGCAGGAGCTCTTTGTCTGAGCATGTGTGTAAGGCACTGCCCTATTTCAGCTACTTGCTCTTTTTCCCTGCTCTCCTGGGAGGCTCTCTGTGCTCCTTCCAGCGATTTCAGGCTCGTGTTCAAGGGTCCAGTGCTTTGCATCCCAGACACTCTTTCTGGGCTCTGAGCTGGAGGGGTCTGCAGATTCTTGGACTAGAATGCCTAAACGTGGCAGTGAGCAGGGTGGTGGATGCAGGAGCGGGACTGACTGATTGCCAGCAATTCGAGTGCATCTATGTCGTGTGGACCACAGCTGGGCTTTTCAAGCTCACCTACTACTCCCACTGGATCCTGGACGACTCCCTCCTCCACGCAGCGGGCTTTGGGCCTGAGCTTGGTCAGAGCCCTGGAGAGGAGGGATATGTCCCCGATGCAGACATCTGGACCCTGGAAAGAACCCACAGGATATCTGTGTTCTCAAGAAAGTGGAACCAAAGCACAGCTCGATGGCTCCGACGGCTTGTATTCCAGCACAGCAGGGCTTGGCCGTTGTTGCAGACATTTGCCTTCTCTGCCTGGTGGCATGGACTCCATCCAGGACAGGTGTTTGGTTTCGTTTGCTGGGCCGTGATGGTGGAAGCTGACTACCTGATTCACTCCTTTGCCAATGAGTTTATCAGATCCTGGCCGATGAGGCTGTTCTATAGAACCCTCACCTGGGCCCACACCCAGTTGATCATTGCCTACATCATGCTGGCTGTGGAGGTCAGGAGTCTCTCCTCTCTCTGGTTGCTCTGTAATTCGTACAACAGTGTCTTTCCCATGGTGTACTGTATTCTGCTTTTGCTATTGGCGAAGAGAAAGCACAAATGTAACTGACATCTTTCCCTGGCTTTCACCTTAAACACCCAGGAAACATTTTAGAAAGTGCCAGATGACGCATCGATAATGCATACATTTGAACTTTTCCATAATAAAATTTTTTCTAAAGTTTTGGATGGATATACCCAGTGACTTGCAGTAGGAATTTGTGTATCTACTTTAGCAAGCTATTCTGCTGGTACTGAGGATACAAAAAGGAAAAAGATGTGGTTTCTTCCCTTAAGGTTTACAGTCTAGATGTGGAAGCAAAGATTAAGTAAAGTGATACATAAAAACACAAGGTGCTATGAACCAGATGGCAAACGCTCTATATATAGACACCCCAAAATTGAATGTTCAGTTGACCCACCTGATCCTGGAATGGGAACTTTAGCAACACAAAACCAAAACAAAACCTAACTCATTATCATATTGGTTTGTTATGTGGACTACAGACTTATATCCATTATTAGGTTTGAACTTTTTTTTCTAAATTTGGAAATTTGGGCCAGGTGCAGTGGCTCATAACTGTAATCCCAGCACTTTGCAATGCTGAGGTGGAAGGATTGCTTGAGGCCCAGGGTTTGAGACCAGGTTGGGCAACATAGCAAGACTTTGTCTCAAAATATATATATGTGTATATATATATATATACACACACACATATATATATATATATATACACACACATATATATATATGTATATTTGGGTGGACATGGTGTATGCACCTAAAGACCTAGCTCCTCTGGAGGCTGAGAAGGATCTCTTGAGCCCAGGAGTTTGAGGCTGCAGTGAGCTGTGATTGTGCCACTGCACCCCAGCCTGGTTGACAGAGGGAGACCCCATCTGCTAAAAAAATTTTTTGGGCCGGGCGTTGTGGCTCACACCTGTAATCCCAGCACTTTGGGAGGCCGAGACGGGCGGATCACAAGGTCATGGGATCACAAGGTCAGCAGTTCAAGACCAGCCTGGCCAATATGGTGAAACCCCGTCTCTTCTAAAAATACAAAAATTAGCCGGGCGTGGTGGTGGGCGCCTATAGTCCCAGCTACTTGGGAGGCTGAGGCAGGAGAATCGCTTGAATCCAGGGTGTGGAGGTTGTAGTAAGCCGAGATCACACCACTACACTCCAGCCTGGGCGACAGAGCAAGATTCCACCTCAAAAAAAAAAAAAAAATTTTTTTTTGAAAATTTGAAAAAAAAATTGTCCTAAAAATAAATGGCTGATATTATTCCCAGGTATATGTTAATAAGTAAAAACCCACATGATAACTATTTACATAATTGTTAAATACACAGCTGACTCATAAACATGTCTTACAAAGAGATCAATAACAGGAAGTAAACACTATTTTAATATGACTTTGAGGGTGGGTTTGATTCTTTTTTTCTTGGCATATCCTAAATAACTCCCTCTGTTTCTTCCTGTTAGGATTTAATATACACAAGAGAAAGGTTTCAGGACTTCTAAATTATGCAGTAGCAATGTCATTTAACTAGCACTTACAAATTACTGCCACATCTGCAGGTCACCTGTACTGTTATGTAATTACCATTTTTCTTTAGTCAACTTTAATTCAACTTACTTATAAAACTTACCCTTCTTCTAAGCAATGGCAGTGATGAAAATTGGGTTTGGTGTGCTAATTCTATTTTACTCCAGTACTCACTAAAAGAAATACATGCTTGTTCAAATAAAAAAAAACAAACTTTGTATTTGTGTTCTGTGTAAAACCATCTGCTTATCTAGGGTGACATCTATCCCACCATACAAAACACTGTACAGGTATCTCAGCTTGTTGAGTATTCCAAACCAATCCTTCTCATCATTTTCAAAATGTAAAATTGCAAATAAGCTTTTTGATATGGTTTGGGTCTCATGTTGAATTGTAATCCCCAGTGTCGGAAGAGGGGCCTGGTGGGAGGCGATTAAATCATGGGGGTGGATTTCCCCCTTGCTGTTCTCATAATAGTGAGTGAGCTTTCACATGATCTGGTTGTTTATAAAAGTGCGTAACGCCTTCCCGCTCTTTCTCTTCCTCCTGCTCCAGCCATGTAAAACGTGCCTCCTGCCTCTTCACCTTCCGCCACGATTTTAAGTTTCCTGAAACCTCCCCAGCCATGCTTCCTGTATAGCCTGTAAAACTGTGAGCCAATTAAACCTCTTTTCTTTATTAATTACCCAGTCTCAGGTAGTTCTTTGTGTGTGTGTGTGTGTGTGTGTGTGTGTGTGTGTGTGTGTGTGTGACAGGGTCTCACTCTGTCACCCAGGCTGGAGTGCAGTGGTGTGCAGTGGTGTGATCTCAGCTCATTGCAACCTCTGCCTCCTAGGTTCAAGCGATTCTCCTGCCTCACCCTTCCAAGTAGCTGGGACTACGGGCACATGCCACCACACCCAGCTAATTTTTGTATTTTTAGCAGAGACGGGGTTTCACCGTGTTGGCCAGGCTAGTCTTGAACTCCTGACCTCAAGTGATCCATCCACCTTGGCCTCCTGAAGTGCTGGGATCACAGGTGTGAGTCAACGCTCCCGGCCTCAGGTAGTTCTTTATAGCACTACGAGAACAGACTAATACACTTTTAATCGTTAAAACTTCGCAAAGATAATACTAAGTTAGAAGTTATAGATAACTTAGAAAGTTATAGGTCAATATCACTGATTAACATGAAGGCAAACAACGAGCCCAATCTTAGCACTCAGAACATAACACAGTGAGGGTCTTGATGAACAGAGATGGCAAGGATTTGTAGTGGCCTTGGTGGGGTGCAGTGGCTCACGCCTGTAATCTCAGCACTTTGGGAGGCTGAAGCAGGAGGAGCTCTTGATCCCTCGAGTTTGAGACCAGCCTGGGCAACATAGGGAGATGCCATCTCTATTAAAAAACACACACACAAACCCAAAACTTGTAGTGCCTTAACCAGAAGGGTTCTATACTTTCTCTCACCATACTCAGTAGCTCAGAGGAGACAAAGTAGATAAATGGGGTTTCCCAGAGTTGGGAATAGTCAAAGAGACTCTGTCTCAAAAAATAGTTTCAGACTCTGTCTCAAAAAAAAAAAAAGAAAAACAGAGTGCTTTTTATAGGGGCACTTCTGGGGAGCTGTCTAGGGGTGTGTGCAGTTGATGAAAATCCTTCGAGAGGTACACTTTAGATGTGTGCAAGTTTCCATATATATGTTACACTTCAGTATTTTTTTTTTTTTTTTGAAACAGGGCCTGGCTCTGTCACCCAGGCTGGAGTGCAGTGGCATGATCTCGGCTCACTGCAACCTCTGCCTCCTGGGCTCAAGGAATCCTCCCACCTCAGCCTCCCAAGTAGCTGGGACTACAGGAACGCACAACTATGTCCGGCTAATTTTTTTTATTTTTTGTACAGACAGGGTTTTGCCATGTTGCCCAGGCTGGTCTCGAATTCGTGAGCTCAAGCGATCCAACCTCCTTGGCCTTCCAAAATGCTGAGATTATAGCCGTGAGCCACTGTGTCCAGCCCCGTAATTTTTTTAAGTGACTACTCTTCATGATGAGGGAAATGCTCATGAAGGAATGTTAAATTTAAAAAAGAACTTGGTTAACAAAGCCTTTTAAAATGCAATCTGGCCTCCAAATCTATCTCCCCACTGATGGCCAGGGGTAATTTCTACTCCTCTGATTGGTTAAACCAGGACGTCTGCTTCCTTCTTTTTCTATTTGCATTCTGTAGAGAATGATTCATTTCTCTGGACAGTAGTAGAAAGAACATTTCTCTGGACAGTAGAAAGTGATTTGTGGGAATTGATCTAAGGAAAGAAGTCGGAGCCAGAGATGTAGACTGGAGCCATCTGTCTGCCCAGAGGACAGCCCGGATCCAAGATGGGCAGAAACAGAGAGGAGGTGTCTCCTTCCAGTTCTGATTTTTTTGTTAGATCTTAACTCATTCACTTCCCAACTCCTGCCCCCGCTGCTCCCTCCCATTTGGCAACAGTTTCCCTATCCTTCATTACCCACTCTATTACTTCCAAGACTCTGCCCATTGCTCCTGAATTCCCTTTGCTACATGACTGGTAGTACCTGGTTATTGACACCCCACCCGCTCTTTTTAAAAAATTCAATCACTAACCTTCTGGAATATCCTCTCATTAATGTTCTCTGACCTCACTTCCAGATCTGGATTTGATGTTTTCCTTCTCTTGCTTGATCTAGAAGTAACCCTCAGGTTACCCCTGCTTTTTGTCTTGTTCTGGCCCATTTATTGGCCCAAGCAGAATACATATACGTGTGTGTGTGTGTGTGTGTATTTTTTTTTTTTTTTTGAGACAGGGTCTCACTCTGTCACCTAGGCTGGCATGCAGTGGCACAATCATAGCTCACTTCAGCATTGAACTCCTGGGCTCAAGCGATCCTCCCACGTCTGCCTCCCAAGTATAGAATAGTATTTTGATGAATCGTGCCTATCCTTACAAATGCAAGGATGGGGCCAGCTGTCTCTGTCTTGCAGGCAGTAGCCTTGGACAAGTGAACTCAATTCTGTGGACCAAGTACTAGAGCTCAGTAACCCATGGAAACAGCGCCCATTGGGCACACACCTCCTGACCTCTGGCCTCCCACTTTCATCAGCCGAATCACTCTGAGAGGTCTGGCAGCTCTTTCAGGTCCCCAGGGGATCTCATTCATTTGTTTGAAAATAGTGTCTGAGAGTTTGGTGATTAAGAAATCCCTAAGAGGAGGGTAAGCTAAGCCATGAAAACCATCAAGCTCAGGATGCTGGCAAAGGTTAATAAGAAAATGTTTAGCAGAAAGCTATAGCATTAGCCTTTCTAAGAGCAGCAAGAAACTATAGCCTTCATTATTTATAGATTGAAATGGCATCATCACCTAGGAAGTGTCATGAGAACTCAGGTCATCTGTCAGCATATTATTTTGTATTTTCTTTTTTTTTTTTCAGACACAGTCTCACTCTGTCACCCAGGCTGGAGTGCAGTGGTGCCATGTTGGCTCACTGCAACCTCCGCCTCCTGGGTTCAAGCGATTCTCATGCCTCAGATTCCAAAGTAGCTCGGATTACAGGCGTGTGCCACCATATCCAGCTAATTTTTTTGTATTTTTAGTACAGATGGGGATTTGCCATGATGGCCAGGATGGTCTTGAACTTCTGGCCTCAAGTGATCCTCCCGCCTCAGCCTCCCATAGTGCTGGTCTGGCCTGTCAACATATTATTCTGAATATACTACCCTCATAGTGCAGCCCCATCCTTCTGAATCATAGCAGCTACTAAGCTGGGCTGGCCTCCTTCTTAATCTGTAGACAGTTGTCATGATCAACAGGCAGCCAGTGGCTTTAATGTATGTCCCAGGTTTAGCAATCCACTCAAGTAGTTAAACTTTTCCATAGGAGACAATCCAACCTTGGCCTTTTTCTATCTATGTAGTTTCATAAAGCAAACCACAGGAAGGCTTCACTGATACACATTCAGTCTGTTGATTCATCTATACTGGATTCATCAATTCCATGAGGACTTGGAAAAGGAGGTTGGTATGGTTTGAACGTGTCTCCTAAAGTTCAAATGTTAGAAACTTAATCCCCCGTGCAGCAGTGTTGGGAGATGGGGCCTAATGGAAGGTACAGTCATGTGTCACTTAATATGGGGACACATTCTGAAAGATGCATTGTTAGGCTATTTTGTCATTGTATGAACATCATAGAGTGGCCTTACACAAAGCTGGATGGTCTAGCCTACTACATACCTAGGCTATACGGTATAATCTAGGGGTCTCTGACTCCCAGTGCTGATCCACAGCCTGTTAGGAACTGAGCCACACAACAGGAGGTGAGTGGCAGGCAAGATTATAGATAGATTATGGGCATTGCAATGACCAATTGCAATCATTAGTAATTATCCTGATTAGAATGCCAACTATTAGATAGTACATTCAAATCACTTACAACAGATTCTTCACAGATTTATAACATAGGAGATGGTTCAGGAAACTTGATTCTCCATAGTCTAAGAGTTCAGTACTAACAGGTGAAGGGATAGTGATTATATTTTATGTGAGCTTTTTCCAAATGTCTAAATGCATCTATTTCCGAAACATTTCAAAGGAAATTATAGAGTAAAATGGCCGTGACTACTTTAGCATTTTCTTCCTGATAATGGCTGATTCGGATGTTAGCAAAGCCATCTCATGGGGAAGCAGTCTGAACCCCTCTCCTGGAGGCAGGAGTTCTGGCCCTGTCCCAGTTCTAGCACAGGCCAACTGTGGGACCCAAGCAATTCCATCTGGGCCCCAAGTTTCCTAGTACGCCATAACAGGATGTGGATAAAATATTCCTTTTAGAGTATTTAATTTTAAAACTGAAGGCATTATGATTGTATAAGTGTTCTATTAATTTTTCAACACATTAAGCAGAAAAAGTAAGGCATCCATCTCCCAATCTGCCTCTATTCATCCAACAAGAATTTTATAGAAAGCAATGGAAGAAAATCTGCTGAGTGCTCAAGGTTCTTTATAAACACCCGGCATTTCCTATTATATTCCTTCCATTTGTTTTCTATTGTATAAAAAGAACAAAGTGATATTTTTGTGGCTCATCAAAAAACTGAGAGTTGACAATAGTTCTCTCCTACTAAGAAAACACTGTTAACTTCTCTGACTCTTTCTTTTCTGAATCGTAGGTTTAATTTCTTAGCCTTTATTTGGCAGCTCATAACAGTCAGATACTTATTAATCTGTTCTGGCTCGTTTCCAGGGACAATCATAACAACAGCTAGAGATGCCAGATTATTTCTAAGGAAGTATTTTTGTCTTACTTGGTTCTTGCTGCACCTTTTTCTTCAGAAACACCTTTTAAGTTACAACAAGTGAGATAATTATGTACGTATGTTTTCCTTGCAGGGAATTTGTGCAGTTCATAAGATTCAAGTGATACTTTGGTTTAGTTTCATGGCCAATCTGGATATGTTACATCGAGTGCCTTAAGTGGATTCATTAGCCTGAGGACATGTGAGGTGATGTTTTCTAGCATTCTCAATTTACTAAAGGAATGCTTTCCACAACTTTGCTTCTAAATTGTTTGTTTAGAGGTTAGATGACATTTCCCTGTAGAAAGAACATTATGTTAACTCCTAATGGATGACACTCATGGTAATGACCTGAATTCAAGGGAACATGTTGTTTAGGATTGAAGAGAAGAGCAAAGGTAATTTCCTCCCTATTTCTTAAATATGCAGCTGACCCTAAGTACATTTTATTTTTATACTTTTTTCTGTTTATATAGTTATTTACATAACTATATAATAAACTACATTTATGAACTATATATGGACTTTGTTTAGATCTTGATTCAAATGAACCGACTTTGAAAGAATATTATAGGGAAATTTAAACACTAATTGGATAGTAAAGCTTTATTGTTAACTTTTTCAGGTGTAATAATCATACTGTGGTTTTTCTTAAGAATAAGGAAGGGTCACATTTTAGAGATATTCACAGATTAAATGATATTTAATCTTGGATTGCTTTAAAATAATCTGAGTTAGAGAGAATGGAGAATACATGGACGAAACAGAACAGCCATGTGTTCAGAATTGTTGAAACTGGTTGATTGGGAGTTCAATATATTCTATTTTTTATAGGTTTGAAAATTTATATGAAAACAAGTGTGCAAGAGACTACTGGGTAGATAAGGAAGAAGGAAGTCAGATACAGGAATTTCCATTCCCCAATTCCTAATGAAAAGATCAAAAACTGCAAAAAATCATTGTGGCCCCAGTGACCCATCCCCTCTTCTGGCATTTTCTTCATCCCACATTGAATCAAGGTTGGTCTGTGTGATGAATATTACATGACAGAAGTGATGGTATGTCACCTCTGAGATTAGGTTATAAAAGACAGTTAGTATAAGACTAACAATCTCACCAACTTTGTGTTTTGGTAGTTTCTTCTTCACTGCACTCCAGGTACAATGGCCTTGCTATCTTCTGGAAAAAAAAAAAAAAAGCCTATTCCTCCCTTTGAGCCTTTGAAATTGCTTGTCCTTCTATCCAGAATGTTCTTACCCAGGTCTCTGTGGATAGAGATGCTGCTCCTTTACATCATTCATGTCTCTGTTCAAATGACATCTTGCCAGAGAGGAACACCTTGTCTAAAATAAATCCCATTCCCATGCCATCATTCCCATCTCCTCACTCTGCTCTATTTGGTTCATTTACTTTTCATTGATTGAAATTATGTTATTTATTGTTTGACTAAATGAATAAATGATAGGTCTGGATAGAGCTTCCTAAGCAGGAATAAGTATAGACATGGGAACCATGCAAACATACTTCATACTTGAGGTTTGTATGTGTGTATATGTATGTGTGTGTGAGTGAGAGAGAGACGGAGCGAAACAGAGGAATGCTAGTATGACATGAGAAAACCTGACATATTTAGGAATAAATGTAGTAAAATGACTGCAAGACTTGTACTTGGAAAACTATGAAACACTGCTGAGAGATGTTGCAAACCTCAATAAATTGAGAGATATATCATGTTCATTGATTGAAATACTCAATATTGTTGTGGCAGATTGCATTTTCCAAAGATGGACACCATAATATATTCCCTCCCATATGCTTTTCTTACAATGTAACATTAACACTCTTCCCATTGAATGGTCTACGGTCATTCCCCTTGAACCTGGGGGGACATTTACACAACTGGGTTGACCACTAGAGTATGGCAGAAGTGATGCTTCGTGACTTCTAAGGTAGGTCATAAAATATCCATACACTTCTGACTGGTTTTCTTGGGATGATTCACACTCTTGGAATGGATGTAAGAAAGCCACATTGCCATGGAGAGGCAGAGTTTTATATGGAGAGGAGCAGAGACCCCTGGCCTTCATACTAGCTGAGCTCCCATTTAGACATCCAGCACCAATTGCCAGCTATGTAAGTGAACCATCTTGGGAGATGATCCACCAACCCCCAGCTGACACCATGTGGAGCAGACAAACACGTACTGTTAAGACAGGACCAAATTACAGATTTGTGAGCTGAACCAATGATTATTGGTTTAAGTCAATAGGTTTTGGGTGGTTTGCTATGCTGCAATAGGTAACTGTTACAATTGTTAAGATTCATTCTCCCCAAATTGATCTATAGCTTCAATGCAATCCCAATTAAACTCCCAAAAGTTTTTTTGGGAGAGAGTCTTGCATTGTTGCCCATGCTGCAGTGCAGTGGCGCGATCTCAGCTCACTGCAACCTCCACCTCCTAGGTTCAAGGGATTCTCCTGCCGCAGTCTCCCGAGTAGCTGGGATTACAGGCATGCACCACCACACCTGGCTAAATTTTTTTTGTATTTTAAGTAGAGACGGAGTTTCACCATGTTGGCCAGGCTGGTTTTGAACTCCTGACTTCAAGTGATCCACCTGCCTTGGCCTCCCAAAGTGTTGGGATTACAGGCGTGAGCCACCATGCCTGGCCCTCCCAAAAGTTTCTAAAAATAGAAATTGACAAACTAACTCTAAAGTTTATATGAAAATACTAGACTGGGTGAAGTGGTACAGGCCAATAATCCCAGTACTTTGGGAGGCTGAGGTGGGAGGATTGCTTGAGGACAGGAGTTTGAGACTAGCCTGGTCAACATAGTGACACCCTGACTCTACATAAAAATTTTGAGTGATTTTTGAATATAGAGTGAAGTAGGGGTCCAATTTCATTCCTTTGCATGTGGATATCTAGTTATCCCAGCAGAATCATCTGGAAGAGGTGATTCTTTCCACATTGAATTACCTTGACACCTAAAGTTAATTTTTTTTTTTTTTTGAGAGGGAGTCTCGCTCTGTTGCCCAGGCTGGAGTGCAGTGGCATGATCTCGGCTCACTGAAACCTCGGCCTCCCGGGTTCAAGCGATTCTCCTGCCTCAGCCTCTTGAGTAGCTGGGATTACAGGCGCGTGCCACCACGTACAGCTAATTTTTTGTATTTTTAGTAGAGATGGGGTTTTACCATGTTGGCCAGGCTGGTCTCGAACTCCTGACTTCAAGTGATTTGCCCACCTTGGCCTCCCAAAGTGCTAGGATTACAGGGGTGAGCCACTGTGCCAGCCTAATTTTTTTTTAAAGATAAAAAGAAAACAAAAAAGAAATCACTGGAATGCTTAGGGGAGCAGAAGGTAAGGAGCTCTCCACCAGCTTTCCTGTTAGACCCCACACCCCTAATCCAGAGGCCAGGACATTTCTACTGCCATCCAGAGGCCAAGAAACCACTGCCAGAATCACACATCCCTGCATTGGGTAAAAAGCAGTGCAATAGAGTCTTGTCAGCCCCAGAAAAAACACACCAAAGCCCACATACCACTGCTGGCAGAGGAAGGATGTCTTTTGCTTTCCTTCAGGTTTCCAAGTCATCTCATGAGTTTATTTTATTAACAATATCTAGGCTGGGCGTGATGGCTCACACCTGTAATCCCAGCACCTTGGGAGGCTGAGGTGGGCGGATCACTTGAGCTCAGGAGTTGGAGACCAGCCTGGCCAACATGGCGAAAACCCATCTCGACTGAAAATACAAAAAATTAGCCTGGCGTGGTGGCGGGTGCCTGTAATCCCAGCTACTTGGGAGGCTGAGGCAGGAGAATCACTTGAACCCAGGAGGCCAAGGTTGTGGTGAACCAAGATGGAGCCACGGCACTCCAGCCTGGGCGACAGAGTGAGAGTCCATCTCAAAAAAAACAAAAACAAAAACAAAAACAAAAACAAAACCCCAAAAACAATAAACAACAAAACACACAAAACACAATATGTAGATGAAACACAGAACCCTGGAGGTAAGAGAATCGAGTAAATGTAGTTTCAAGGCTCCTGAGATAAAAGGGGATGGGAATCAGTAAACAATATACAGCTTATCAACCAGTCCCAGAAGAACAAACGCTATATGATTCCATAGGAGGTACCTAGAGGAGTCAGACTTACAGAAACAGAGTAGAATGGTGGCTGCCAGGGGCTGGGAGCAGGGGGAATGGGAGTAGAGTTTGTCATGCGAGATGAAAAAGTTCTAGAGATCTGCTGTATAGAATTATGCGGGTATATAACAATACTGAAGTGTACACTTAATAATTTAAGATGGTATTTCAGCCAATCCTGTTTGAAAAGAAAAACAAAACAGTTGGGTGTGGTGGCTCATGCCTGTAATCCCAGCACTTTGGGAGGCTAAGGCTGGTGGATCACTTGAGCCCAGGAGTTCAAGACCAGCCTGGGTAACATGGCAAAACTTCATCTCTAAAAAGAAATACGAAAATTAGCCAGGCATGGTGGCTCATGACTGTAGTCCCAGCTACATGGGAGGCTGAGACAGGAGGATTGCTCAAGCCGGAGAGGCGAAGGTTGCAGTGAACTGAGATTGCACCACTGCACTCCAGCCTGGGTGACAGAGAAAGAACCCATCTCAGAAACAAAATTAAACAAAGATGGTAGATTTCATGTTATGTATTTTGTTACCAGAGTTAAAAAAATATATACATATATATATATGCATATACAAATACATACAACTTATTAAGCGACCATTTACATTTTGCCCTCTTTATATTTTACAACTAAAAGAGTATCATGTAACATCTTATGCACATGCAGTCTTATGATAGTTCTTATTCTTCTATTTCTCCCCAAATGGCTGGGGGAGATCTGGATCCATGCTGTTCTTTTATGTTTGTTATGGAGGAAGCAACTGTTAACAGATTTTCCAACTCAGAATCTGCTTCAAAGGGATGAGCTATTTGGACCCTTTTCAGAAACTTGCTTGGGGCAAAACTCATTAGTAATAATGACAATCAATTATAATTTTATTATTTTATTTGAGGTAGTTTAATGTGCAGCCTTAAAAACATACATTTATTTATTTATTTATTTATTTATTTATTTATTTATTTATTGATGGAGTCTCACTCTGTTGCCCAGTCTGGAGTGCAGTGGCATCTCGGCTCACTGCAACCTCTGCCTCCCAGGTTCAAGTGATTCTCCTGCCTCAGCCTCCCTAGTAGCTGGGATTACAAGCATACGCCACCACGCTCTGCTAGTTTTTGTATTTTTAGCAGAGACGGCATTTTGCCATGTTGGCCAGGCTGGTCCTGAACTCCTGTCCTGAAGTGATCCACCTACCTCGGCCTCCCAAAGTGCTGGGATTATAGACATGAGCCGCCAGGCCCAACTTAAAAGCATTTTTATAAAAAAATCACGAAAAAACTCTCCATATTTTAAAAATACCTAGTTAATATTTTCGTATATAGATGTTATGGGCTGAGTAGTATTCCCCTAAAATTCATATCCTAACCCCCAGTACCTCAGAATGTGACTATATTTGGAGAAAGGGCTTTAAAGATGTAATTAAGGTTAAACGAGGTCATTAGCATGGGCCCTCATCCAATATGACTGGCATCCCTCTAAAATCAGACAATTAGGACACAGACACAGAATAGAAATTGACAAGTGAATTGTAAAGTTTATATAAAAAAACTAGATACGGTGCAGTGGCAGCTCACGCCTATAATCCTAACACTTCTGTGTGAGGACACAGGGAGAATGGGCCATCTGCAAGCCAATGAGGGAGACTGTAGGGAAAAGAAAGAGAGATCAGACTGTTACTGTGTCTACGTAGAAAGGGAAGACATAAGAAACTCCATTTTGACCTGTACCCTGAACAACTGCTTTGCCCTGAGATGCTGTTAATCTGTAACTTTGCCCCAACCTTGAGCTCACAAAAACACATGTTGCATGGAATCATGGTTTAAGGGATCTAGGGCTGTGCAGGATGTGCATTGTTAAAAAAATGTTTACAGGCAGTATGCTTGGTAAAAGTCATCACCATTCTCCAGTCTCGATAAACCAGGGGCACAATGCACTGCGGAAAGCCTAAGGGACCTCTGCCCTGGAAAGCTGGGTATTGTCCAAGGTTTCTCCCCATGTGATAGTCTGAAATATGGCCTCGGGGGATGGGAAAGACCTGACCATCCCCCAGCCCGACACCCATGAATGGTCTGTGCTGAGGAGGATTAGTAAAAGAGGAAGGGAGGCGAGACATGTTGGCAGCAATGCTGCTTTGTTATTCTTTATTGAGATGTTTGGGTGGAGAGAAGCATAAATCCGGCCTACGTGCACATCCAGGCATAGTACCTTCCCTTGAACTTATTTGTGACACAGATTCCTTTGCTCACATGTTTTCTTGCTGACCTTCTCCCCACTATCACCCTGCTCTCCTGACACATTCCTCTTGCCGAGATAGTGAAAATAGTTATAAATACTGAGGGAACTCAGAAACCGGTGCCGGTGCAGGTCCTCCATATGCTGAGCGCCAGTCTCCTGGGCCCACTGTTCTAACTCTATACTTTGTCTCTGTGTCTTAATTTCTTTTCTCAGTCTCTTGTCCCACCTGACGAGATATACCTACCGGTGTGGAGGGGCAGGCCACTCCTTCAGGAGATCTCAGAAAAAACTGAACCTGTTGACACCTTACTGTTGGACTTTCAGCCTCCAACAGTGAGAAAATAAATGTCTGTTGTTTAAACTACGCAGTCTGTGGTACTTTATTATTGCAGCCCTGGCAAATTAATATAATAACCTTCTAGCTTTTTCCACATGTACACATGTATCTGTATGTACATATATTAATATATTTGTGTTTTTCTGGCCAGGCATGGTGGCTCACACCTGTAATCCCAGCACTTTGGGAGGCCAAGACAGTTGGATCACTTGAGGTCAGGAATTCGAGACCAGCCTGGCCAACCCAGTCTCTACTAAAAATACAAAAATTAGCCAGGTGTGGTGGCGGGTGCCTGTAATCCCAGCTACTTAGGAATGTGAGGCAGGAGAATCCCTTGAACCCAGGAGGCAGAGGTTGCAGTGAGCCAAGATTCTGCCACTGCTCTGCAGCCTGGAAGACAGAGCGAGACTCTGTCTCAAAAAAAAAAAAAAAAAAAAAAACAAATCAAAAAATATATATACAGATTTTTTTCCCAAACAGTAGATTCATACTAATTTCTATTTTATAGCCTGCTTTTTAAACTTTATGTCTATAAGCATTTTTCTACAATGTAATTTTAAATAACCACCTAATACAGTCACAGTTGATTTAATCAATCTTCTGCTAACTTTCAGATTTTAAAAATTTTTTATAGAAACAGGGTCTCACTGCTCCTCCTGCCATCTTTCTGCGCCGCCACAATGGTGCGCATGAATGTCCTGGCTGATGCTCTCAAGAGCATCAACAATGCCGAAAAGAGAGGCAAACGCCAGCCAGGTGCTTATTAGGCCGTGCTCCAAAGTCATCGTCTGGTTTCTCACTGTGATGATGAAGCATGGTTACATTGGCGAATTTGAAATCATTGATGATCACAGAGCTGGGAAAATTGTTGTGAACCTCACAGACAGGCTAAACAAGTGTGGAGTGATCAGCCCCAGATTTGATGTGCAACTCAAAGATCTGGAAAAATGGCAGAAAATCTGTTTCCATCCCTTCAGTTTGGTTTCATTGTACTGACAACCTCAGCTGGCATCATGGACCATGAAGAAGCAAGATGAAAACACACAGGAGGGAAAATCCTGGGATTCTTTTTCTAGGGATGTAATGCAGCATATATTTACAAACAAAATGCCTCACAGACAATTAAAAAAAAAAAAAAGAAACAGGGTCTCACTATTTTGTCCAGGCTGGTCTGAAACTCTTGGCCTCAAGTGATCCTCCTGCCTCCACCTCCCAAAGCACTGGGATTACAGGCCTGAGCCACCACACCTGGCCTTAAGATCATTTTGATTTTTCATTACCATAATTAGTAAAGCGATGATCATCTTCTGTCTCTGACTAATTCCCTAGGATTACAATACAAGGAGTTAGTAGGTCAAACAGTATGCATATTTTGAAGGTGTAAAGGGGAAAAAAAAACATTTTTTTCCTCTACTCACACATCTCTCAATACTTCTGATCACCAAATGTATGGTTTTTTTTCTCCCCCATACTGACCAATTCTCCAGCACTAGCTGGGTGTCCTATAATTCAATTCATGTCTAATACTGACTACCTGGAGTTAGTATCAGATCCCACAGGGTGAGGGCCCAGTCCCACAAGATTGTCCCTCCCTTCAGATGCAATCACAAGTAGTAGGTCCCTAGAGAACCCACGATGTCTGTCTGACTTGGCTACAAATCAGAGGTTCCAACCCCCTTCTTGGGTTTGACCATTTGCTACAGTAGCTTATAGAACACAGGAAAGTGCTTTACTTTATTACCTGTTTACCCTAAGGGATACAACTCAGGAACAGAAGGACATTTATCACGTAAGACAGGGGTCCCCAACCCCCGAGCCCCACAACCCCCAGGCCAGGGGCCAGTATCAGTCCATGGCCTATTAGGAACTGGGCAGCAGAGCAGGAGGTAAGCAGCTGGTGAGCGAGCATTACTACCTGAGCTCCACCTCCTGTTAGGTTAGTGGTGGCATTACACTCTCACAGGATCACAAGCTCTATTGTGAATTGCACATGCGAGGGATCTAGGTTGCGCGCTCCTTATGAGAATCTAATGCCTGATGATCTGAGGTGGAACGGTTTCATCCCAAAACCATCCCCCGCCTCCCTGTCCATGGAAAAACTGTCTTCCACAAAACCAGTCCCTGATGCCAACAAGATTGGGGACTGCTGACCTAACAAACTGCAAAGATGTTATGAGCTGTGTGCCAGGAAATGAGGGTAGCAACCAATTTTTTTTTTTTAAGACAGGGTCTCACTCTGTCACCCAGGCTGGAACACAGTGGCATGATCACAGCTCACTGCAGCCTCTACCTCAAGGCTTAGGTGATTCTGCCACCTCAGCTTCCTAGGTAGCTGGGACCACAGGCATGTGCCACCATACCTGGCTAATTATTTATATTTATGTAGAGACAGGGTTTTGCCATGTTGCCCAGGCTGGTCTCAAACTCCTGGGCTCAAGCAATCCGCCCAGCTTGGCCTCCCAATATATTTCTTATTATATCACAACATTACAGAAGGCTTTTAATATTTACTACCAAATTACATTTTAGAAGGTTGAGACCAACTACTTACACTTCCACCTAAAATCTATGAGAGTGATCATTTTCATATGTACTACCTGGGTATTATAATTTCTTAGGAACACTGGGTATTAAAATTTTTATAGATCTTTGCCAAATTTGTGGGTAATATAAAGTATCATATTGATGTTTAAATTTCATTTATTGGATTACTAATGAGAATAATGCCCCTTCCCACATTCTTTATTTGCCACTTACAGGTTTTTATTCAGAAATTGCCTGTTTATATATTTTGCTATTTCTCTCTTGGGCCTTTTGTCTTTTCCTTATCTATTTGTGAGGTTTTAAAGCATTCTCCTAAGCCTGGGCATCATGGTGAAACCCCGTCTCTACAAAAAAAAAAAAAAAAAAAAAAAAAAAATTAGCCAGGCATGGTGGTGCGTGCCTGTAGTCCCAGCTACTTGGGAGGCTGAGGTAGGAGGATCACCTAAGCCCAGGGAGATCAAGGGTGCAGGATTAGATGAAGGTATGCATTTTTGGTAAGAATGTGGTGTGCTTTTCAGTACATCATATCTGGGGGTACATGATATAGATTTTTTTTTTTAAGATGGGGTCTGGCTCTGCTGCCCAGGCTGGAGTGCAGTGGTGAAATCTTGGCTCACTGCAATCTCTGCCTCCTGGGCTTAAGTGATCCTCCCACCTCAGCCTCTGGAGTAGATGGGACCACAGCGGCACCACATCCGGCTAATTTTTGTATTTTTATAGAGATGAGGCTTATCATATTGCGCAGGCTGATCTTGAACTACTGCTCTCCAGGGATCCACCCGCCTCTGCCTCCGAAAGTGCTGGGAATACTGGCATGAGCCACCACTCCTGGGCCACAGTATTTATATCAGAAAAAAGTCAAATACTGTACATGAGTTTCAGGAGCAGGAGAGAAATAAGGGAAAAGTTGTATAAAGAAGGGCGGTCAACTGTCTTGCTGGCGTTCACATTCCCCCATGTCTTGAGATCAGGTGTGGCTGTGTGACTTGCTCCGGCAATGAAAGGGGAGTAGAGGAGGTGCGTGTGACCCCCAGGCAGATCTAACAGCCACCATGGAGGCCTCCATGCTTGTTCCCAAGTCTGCTAAAAGACGGACAATGCTACTGATAGCCCAGGTTCCTGAGACAATATTCCAGTAGAATCACAGCCAATCTGTGATACATTGAGTGAGAAATAAACCTTTGTTGTTAGCCCTGAGATATGGGAGTCGTTCGCTGCTGAAGCATAACTGAGCCCATCTGGACTCCCATCAGAGTTTTCCAACTCGAATAAATGTCCACAATGGGCCATGCAGGGTTCTAGGTGGGTAACCAAAATGTCATGTAAGCTGGGCGCAGTGGCTCACGCCTGCAATCCCAACACTTTGGGAGGCTGAGGCAGGCAGATGACTTCAGGTCAGGAGTTCAAGACCAGCCTGGCCAACATGGTAAAACCCTGTCTCTACTAAAAATACAAAAATGAGTTGAGTGTGCTGGTGGGCGCCTGTAATCCCAGCTACTCGGGAGGCTGAGGCAGGTGAATTGCTTAAGCCAGGGAGGTGGAGGCTGCAGTGAGCCAGGATCACATCACTGTATTCCAGCCTGGGTGACAGAGCCAGACTCCATCTCAAAAAAATAAAACAAAACAAAACAAAACAAAAAAATATCATGTAAGATGTGTCATTCTGAGCATAACTTTTCCTTACCTTCCTATCCAAGCAGATGGCAGGTTCTGGGTTCATTGTCTCAGGACGAGTGTTAAAGGAAGGAGAATACATTGTTGAATAAGGTTTATCCATATTAAGATTATACTATGTGTCTTTGAATCAAATCCATCTTTGTGATAAAACAGAGAGCCTCTGAGGAAAACCAAAATGTTTTCCCTAGGGTTCAGTCCTGGGGCAGCCTAATTGGATTTGGGTGCAAAAAATGTAAAATGTTCTCTAACTTTAACCCTCATCAGCCTGACTTTGTACAACAGTTGCTAGGGTCTCCCTAGGCCGGTGGGTGGCTCCAATACTTAAAACTGTAAAAACGGAGCTTCGGTGTATTCCATTGTTTCCTCAGTGGTGAGTTCTCTGAATTTGTTTTCTTCCTGCACTGTTGGGTGATCCTCTTTGCATGGAGACCCCCTGGCTGGACGGCCAGCCATGACTGCTTGAGGGTCTCACTAAACGGAGAGGCACAGTGTTTTCCCAGCATTACGGATGAAAACGATGTGCTGCTGAGCAGAGGGCCCGGTGGCTGCTCTTCCAGACTTGGTATTCTTATCCTCGCTACTGCAGGAAACATGTTCTCTCCGGCCCATAATGGAGGGTGAGATGGAGACCTGTGTGTACGTGGAGATGCGTAGTCATCTGCCGGCTTGGCTGCTCCCCTGCCACACCCCAAGTCCTCCCTCTGCAAGTTGCCTCAGTAAGCCCCCTCCTGCTCCTGGATTCCACCACTTGCAGCGATGACAGGCTCTTTGGCAGGGGTCCCAACTTTTATGGTAGTATTCTCCCACGCTTGCTAGCAGCATTTTAGGCTGCAGTTTCCCTCTTCAATACGATCCCGTATGTTTTCGTTTTCTCAGAAATTTCTTAGTTTCAGATCCACCAAGGCTTCCCCTTCTTGTTTTAACTTTGCCCATGTATTTCTCTGTTCTTTGTTTGTTTTGTTTTTGTGACAGTCTTGCTCTGTTTTGCAGGCTGGAATGCAGTGGTGCAATCTCGGCTTACTGCAACCTCTGCCTCCCAGGTTCAAGCGATTCTCCTGCCGCAGCTTCCGGAGTAGCTGGGATTACAGTCATGAGCCACCACACCCGGCTAATTTTTTTTTTTTTTTTTTTGGAGAGACGGGGTTTCACCATATTGGCCAGGCTGTCTCAAACTCCTGACCTCAAGTGATCCGCCAGCCTCAGCCTCCCAAAGTACTGGGATTACAGGGGTGAGCCACTCTGCACCTGGCCAAAAAGGGTATCATTTCTAAGATTCGGTGCAGGAGTAGGGGTAGGGAGGATCAATATGCTTAGTCCAGTAGATCGTTAAAATGTGTTTTTAAAAAGTTTGCCCTCTTAAAAGAGGAAACTGCTTAGCAATACAGGCAATTGGTAAGAAACAGTGAAAGCAACAGCGAACATCTAACATTCACTATCTATGTGAGCTCTCTGTGGGTTACATTTAAATCTCACCACTTTATGAGGTAGATACTATTAGTATCTTCACTTTATAGATGTGGAAATGGGACACGGGTTAAATAACTCGGCTAAGGTTACACCACTAGCATCAAGAAGAGCTAGAAGTTGGGTGGTCTGCCTCCAGAACCTGGTATGTAGCCCCTATGCTGTGATGTGTGCTACCATGTAAACCCTCCAGGAATTTAGAAAATGGTTACAAAGGCCGGGTGCAGTGGCTCATGCCTGTAATCCCAGCACTCTGGGAGGCCGAGGTGGGTAGATCACCTGAGGTCAGGAGTTTGAGACCAGCCTGGCCAACATGGTGAAACCCTGTGCCTACCAAAAATCCAAAAAAAAAAAAAAAAAAAAAAAAAAAAAATTAGCTGGGCATGGTGGCGCACACCTGTGATCCAGCTACTCGGGAGGCTAAGCCAGGACAATCGCTTGAACCCAGGAGGTGGAGGTTGCAGTGAGCCGAGATCACACCACTGAACTCCAGCCTGGGCGACAGAGCAAGACTCCATCTCAAAGAAAGAAAAGAAAAATGGTTACAAAGTTAGCGTCCCAACTCTGAATAGTGTTTTGTTTGGCAAGGGTCTGAAACAAAGCAAATTGTGGCATGTCTGGGTAACAGGTGGATATGATGAACCAGTTTGGATCTGTGTTCCAGAACCTTGATTTTTATTTTCCATTTCTCCCTTACTACTCCTTTACTCCTATCCAGGTGATATGGATGAGCAAAAACTTGGTAGTCATCACTGACTCCACTCTGTCTTCCACACAACTCATCAGCAAACCTGCTTTTATTCCTTTAAAATATAGCCTGAGTCTCACCACTTTTTATATCTCCATGGTATCTGGGATCCAGAGATCATCGTGTCAGAATCAAAAAGCTGTCCCCAACTGCCTCTGAAACCTCAGGATGCTGAAGAACCCCAGACTGCTGCTCCAAAGGAATTCTCACATCCTGTGACCCTGCTGGCTGGCACAAGACCCACCAGAGCAACAGAAAACCACCCCCCACCCGACCTCTTTCTGTCTCCCAAATCTTTCCCTTCCGTGAACTCCACACTTCTCTCTTGGCTTGGAGATGAATTGGCTTCGATATATTTCTGTCTCTCTTATCTCATTAGATTACCACTTCAGAGAGGGACTGTGCTCCAAGATTTTCCTGTTTCCAGTAGTACCTGGAATGCGGCATGTAACTGCCACTGGGAACAAGGAAGTTTTCTAGAGGAAAAGCTGAAACCAAATGCGGAATTTCAGCATAACTACCTCATGACATAGCCGAAGTGAAATACAGAGATGTGAACACCAAGTTGTTTCTACCTAATACACTGGACATTTCTTAGCATCTGGGTTTTTAAATGTATATATTTTTGAAATCACTGTTTTAAGCACTGTTTGGATTTAGTTGATAATAAATTATTTAATTTAAATAATTACTAGGCCATTTAAATTAGTAAATGACAAACATCATTTGTAGTATGAAGTATAGCTCAAAACCATCTTCTTTTTCTTTTAATTCTTAGGGACTAACACCTTTGTCTTCACTGCTACACTCAGTTAATGTTTAGAGCCAATTCTTGCTTATGTTTTGGAAGTTGATGATTTAGACCCTCCCTGACAAAAATAAATCCACCTACACTTGGTTTAATCCTAGGAAGTTGTTTCAATTGTAAACCCTTTCAGAAACAATCTTCAAATAGATGACATAAGTAAACCTAGCTTTCAGGAAAACATCTGTCCTATTTTGGGGAGGTTCCCAAATCTACACAAGTTCATTTACTTTTATGTCACAGTTGTATTTACATGATATTATACAATAAACTGATCTACCAAGAGAAAAAGATACTTCCAATATTAAATGCCAGACACACTATATATCAAGATAATTAATAAATACTAATGCTTTTACAAACAGATATGGAAATACTCAGGTTTATTCTTTAGTATTTTATTCTATTGGCTGGTTTCTATGGTTGTAAACTGCCACAACGCTTCTCTTTCATAGTATTAGACATTCTATTTGCTTTTTTTTTATTTTGGGACAGAGTCTCACTCTGCCACCCAGACTGGAGTGCAGTGGCGTGATCTTGGCTCACTGCAACCTCTGCCTCCTGGGTTCAAGCGATTCTACTGCCTCAGCCTCCCAAGTAGCTGGGACTACAGGCGCCACCACCACACCCGACTTAATTTTTGTATTTTTAGAAGAGATGGGGTTTCACTATGTTGGCCAGGATGGTCTCGAACTTTTGACCTCAAGTGATCCGCACCGCCCCCCAACCCAGCCTCCCAAAATGCTGGGATTACAGGTGTGAGCCACCATGCCCAGCCTCTACTGGCTTTTGAAGTAAAAAAAAATTCCTGATTCTGCCCCCACTACACACACGCGCGCACGCACACACACACACGGAGTACTGCCTCTAAATACAAAACTCTGCAGAATTACAGTTGAAAGATAAGTGTTTTATGGTCTTAATCTCTCACTCATAGAAACAGGTTTGGATTTGCTCTGTTCCCACCACCCTCTGCTAGAATTTACAAGCTTAACAGTTAATATCTGAATTACTGTGACTAACCATGTGTATGGGCATAAACCCACAGATGAATTCAAATAATCTTCAAGAGACTGGAAGCAAAGCATACAGTATAAAGTTTCTTGTAAAAATAAACTGTAAATCTATCTTCATCCCTAAACTTTCAGTAACTAAACACAAAGGGTGAAGTGAGATATAAGACCCTGGAAATCAGACAAAGGTCTATGAGTATCTTGAGCTCAGAATAACCCCAACATTAAAGTGTAGTAAACTTAATTATAAGCCTTCTTCTGCTGCACAGCATGGTAACACCTCCCTTATCTGGTGCTCCTTTTGCAATCTCAGATTATCTAGTATACAGTTAAAAATTATTTTTTTCTTAAAAAAGCCTTTCAAGAGGAAGAATACCTGTCACAAAGCATTTCATTTGTGTAAGAGGTAGGAGGCACCCTAATTAAGTCCACTGATGTACTGTGTACAGAAATGTTACATAATTGATTTAATAAGCTTGGTTGCCTTATTTTTTTCTTGACCACTTTCCACTCTTCCTAATATACTGTAAGTCAGCAACTTGGAAACAAAATAAGTTAAGGGGTGCTAGAAACAAATACTCAGTTGTATGAAAAGGATCAAAAACACAATTCCAGAAAAATACAGGTCGGCAGCCACTTACAATGGGGGGGAAATAGTTTATGATGATAGTCCTAAATTACCAAGGAAAAATTAAAGTGTTTTAATATATTCTAAGAAAGCACATGTGTACAATCCATTTAATACTTTCATCAAATGATTAAAGTAAAACAAACATTAGTTCTTAGTAAGCTAAGCTTCATTGATCTAAAATATTTACCTACAGGACATGTTTTCTTCCTTGAGAATGCCATAAAATGAACAGACCTGTAATAAAATCAGAGCTCCTAATCTTCACTGAAAGAAAGGGCAATACAAGCTTATAGAGAAGAAATACGAATTTCAATTTCCCACCAATCGTATACATCATAAAGCATCCTGGGATCTAAAACACACATACCACTTAACAATAACGTTGTGTTGCTTGTTAACTTTGGTGCATTGATTAAAAGTTATCTGAAACTTAAAAATCTAGTCACATTCAATATAAATATCCTAGACTTTAGAAATCTGGATTATTTTGGCCAAAGTGTGGTGGCTCACGCCTGTAATCCCAGCACTTTTTTTCGGGGCGGGGGGGTGGTTTGAGGGGGGTTGTGGTGGTGATGGCTTGAGGCCAGGAGTTTGAGACCAGCGTGGCCAACATGGCAAAACCCCATCTCTACAAAAAATACGAAAATTAGCCAGGCGTGGTGGTGCAGGCCTATAATCCCAGCTACTCAGAAGGCTGAGCGGCAGGGCGATAACTTGAGGCCAGGAGTTTGAGACCAGTGTGGCCAGCATGGCAAAACCATGTTTCTACAAGAAATACAAAAATTAGCCAGGTGTGGTGACCTATGCCTGTAATCCCAGCTACGTAGGAGGCTGAGGTATGAGAATCGCTTGAACCTAGCAGTTGCAGTGAGCCAAGATCGTACCACTGCACTCCAGCCTGGGCACAAAGCAAGTCTCAAAAAAAAAAAAAAAATCTGTATTGACAATGTCCCCAAAATCATATTAGAGCAGACATTTAGTGTCCACAGCCTAAACTTTTTAAAGTATATGATAAGATTATAATTAGGACAATTTGGGACACGACTAATATTTGAAAATACAGAACAGTACTTTTCTCTCTTCACAGTGTACCAAACAGAAATATTTTTTGTTTAAAATGTTTGCAAAAAGTAACATGCTATAATAATGAGTGGTAATAAATACATAATAAGAAGTCATAAAAATGTTCTGAAAATTTAAGAAGTAGGACCTTGCCTTTAGATCAGTAGTAGTCTTAAATGTCAACAAAACCTTTTATGACTATTTTTGTAAAAGATTTTGTAAAAATTCTACTTCCCAGATTACCAATCCTTTTACTACAGCTCAAAATTACAGGGCTGCATTGTAATATCTGTAACTATGGTTTCCATTTTATTTTGGAATGGAAACTTCTGCAACTCTAACATTACACCAATGTCATCTTGCTTTACATCACCTTATTAGAATGTTAATGCACTTCAGAATGAAAGTGTGCCATATATTTTCATTTCAAAAACACCCACAAACTAAAATAGATATTTAAAATCTTTATTGTTTCATCATCAAAAGTTTTCTTTCCATAGAAGAATGGTAATATTGTATCAGTGCATATTCTATGGAAAATTCATATCTCAAGTAACTAGCCTAGAAATCAGAGACAGCACTATGTCAAGCTAGTATACAAGGTCAAAGACACAATGCTGCCAATGCAGTTAGTATATAGAAATAATACGCAGCTGTTAGAAAAAGTCTGTGGCCAAGTGGATAAAACAGTAGCAGTGCACTGCACTGACATCCAGAACAGAAAATAGGGAAGGACCAGAGAATGCACTTCCTGCAAAAAAAAGTCCAGTAGATCACAAGCACAAAGAGTTCCCAACTGTCTCACCAGCTCTCTAACTCATGTGTACCTGCACCTTCCTCTTGAAATCTGAACATTATAATACCACAAGCCACTTTCAGCCTCCAGTGGGAAGGCTCCAGCCACACGCCGATATTTCGTCCTGCTTCCCGTCATCTCATATCTAAAAGTCATGGCTTAAGTTAGGCAATAAAACCTGTGGCTTTAGGCATCTTTAGTAAAAAAGCTGAACAAATCCCAAATTTATTCCCATTTTCTTGAGAAATAAACTTCATAAAACAACAGACAGCTGTCATGATTACTGAGTTTTGGCTGATGGCGAAATAATTTTTATGTAAGTATACTGAATAAACATACAAACAAATATCCTTAACAAAATACTGTCAGACCAACTTGAATGTTTTTATAACCCACTCCTGAAAAAAGTCCTGATAATTATTAGATGTAAACGACCACTATAAATTGATCATGCCTGGTTACTGGGAATTTTTTGGTCAGGTATGTTTCTGAAGCTGCTATATAGCTGGACTTGGCTACTTTGCATTAACTCACACAACAAATGCCTTTTATAAGGAAACAGCAGATCTATCATGATGAACTCAAAATCAAAACAGTTCAGAGGTATACAGGAAACTTGTCTTAAAAATACTTTTAAATTACATATGATATAACCTTAGAGAATAAGAACTACTATTACCATGGTCTAAATCTTAAACTGTTAATGCATGAATTATCTGTAAGACTAACAAGTTACTTGTTAATCATGGCAAGGCCTTGCAGGGGAGGGGGCACTCTGAATGTACGGCATAGCAATTATTTTCCAGGTAAGTAAACACTTCTAAGTGTTATTAAACTATATTTGAAAAGTTATTTTATGTAATATATACAACATACCAAATAAGTCAAAAGGAGGAAGCAGAGGAAGGTTTTCTGGCATATATGATGCAAACATACAACTGTCCCTCATCAGTAGTGGTTCCATGTATGTCCATTTTAACAGGGTAAAACATGAAAGGTTGATAGGAGATCACAAATTTCACTTATAAATAGAAACAGGATTCAAAAACTGGAATTTCAATGTCATTTCTTCCCACATTGCAACTCACTCTAACAATAATAAACATAAATAAAAACCTTATCTCAAAAATGTTTTTACACCCTTACCTTAAAGTTTAACATAAATTCTTCTAACAATTGAGAAGAAAAGCACTCCTCTGTAGCAATTCCATAAAATAATTTTCAATCCACAAAACATCTGTCTACCAGTAAAACCAACAACCCTTAACGGAGGGCATGGGCATTAACACTTGGCCCCTCTGAGGTATAAATGCAGCTATATTTGCACTGAGTATACAGTCTATAACGTATGCCAACCGTCTGTATGTCTGCATAACATTGGGAGTGATGTCATCCTGACTGACTGAAAACTTATTTTTATAATTTTTTGTAATAATGGAGGCTAAATAATTTTAAGAGAAAAGATGTACTTGACCAGTAATAGAGCCGGCGGAATTCTGAATTCCTAACCAATGCAAATGATTACATTAAAAAAGTGTTTAACATTGCATATTGATTCCAAAAAAAATCAACCTAACAGGAAAAACACATAAATATTTAAATTCAGCAGGACACCACAAAAAGCATACTATAGATAAGTGTGAAATCAGTCAAGCTTTTCCAAAAGAGAAAATCCTTTTAATCCTTCAGCAAGTCTCTGTGAAAATAGTATGCTTACAATAAAAGTGAGAAGGGAGCACCTAAAATACCCCCAAGAGGCTTGCTATACCATTCAGCATTAACTGCCCCATCTCCTGTGTGCGTGAATGGCCAACAAATGACAGGAAGTCCATTTGACAATAGTTCAGTAATTTCTTTTCACCACTGCTGCCAGCTGAAGTCGTCATTGCTTCCAAAGACCAAGAAAAAGCCTAGTATAGTTGCAAAGATGACTGTGTTTCCTGTGAGAACAAGTGCACAAGCTCCCCACTCAATCTATGGAAATAAGATACACTCAGTCAACAGGCATGAAAAACGAAAGGAAAATAAAAAAAAAAATCAAGGCTCTAGTTGTATCCCAATTATGATCTAAAAGAAGCATGCCTTGTAACAATAATTGTCACAGTGCTGAACACATACTTATAAATATATATAGTATAAATATATATAGTAAAAAAATATATAGTATAAATATATATAAATATATACAGTATAAATATATTTATAGTATAAAAGTGGTACTTTTATACTAGTATTTTCATTTACCTTTGGTTCCTTTAAAAAGAAAGTCATGAAATGACCATTCAAAAACAAGCTTGACTTCTGGGCTATGAAGAAGCAGCATAAAATTCTACAAGTTTCTGTTTATAAAGGAATGTGCTTACTCTTCCTTAATATAAAAATCTATCTAGAGTAGATTAAATTTTAGCATATCACAGATGGAAACACACCCATGTACATTCTTTTGAAGGGGTGGGAAAACAATTGCCTTCTCCATATGGCTGTCTTCTCTACCTCCCCAGAGATGAAGGCGCGTGGATCAGTGAGTTTGGGAGGAAGAACTGAGTACCCGTAGCCAGCCCCTTCCCCTCTTCAGTGCTTTTCTGCCTGCAGAGCACATGCACCTTCTCAGGTCTTCCATATTTTAGGTTTTACAGGATAGGCCTGGGTTGTTCAGCACTGGGGGAGTTGATATGCTCAACTCTGACAGTTAAGTATTAGCAAGCCAGACGGGTGCGGTGGCTCATGCCTGTAATCCCAGCACTTTGGGAGGCCGAGGCGGACGGATCACGAGGTCAGGAGGTCGAGACCATTCTGGCTAACACGGTGAAACCTCGTCTCCACTAAAAACACAAAAAATATCAGCTGGGCGTGGTGGCGGGCACCTGTAGTCCCAGCTACTCGGGAGGCTGAGGCAGGAGAATGGCGTGAACCCGGGAGGCAGAGCTTGCAGTGAGGTGAGATCACGCCACTGCACTCCAGGCTGGGCGACAGAGCAAGACTCCATCTCAAAAAAAAAAAAAAAAGAAAAAAAAAAGTATTAGCAAGCCAACAGCTGCTGCAGATCCAAGCCACGTTCTCCAATATCACTTTTATTAGTTAACAAGAACAAACAATAAAGTGAGATTTTAATCTCTATCTTCTAGGCTCTTATGTCTTTCACCTCTTTTCATGTCATTAACAAAAACTTTGCTTGAGAAAAATGTAACACATGTTCAATATAAAATCATTAATGGAAGAATATATTCACTTACCAGATGTGCTCTGGCAAATACAATAGGGAGTCCAAAAGCTGACACGACAATGCCCGTTGTAAGAAAGATGGCAAGTTCCTTACAAGCGTTACTCATAGCATCTGTATCATCCACTAATCTTCTTGCTATGCAGTATGGAATAGGTGAAAGGATGTAAAAAAATAGAACAAAGAGGGGCCAGTATTTGCTAGAAAAAGAAAAATAAGTTAATGTAATTTTTGCTATGTCATTTTCCTACACACAAAATATGGTCTTTTTAAAAAATCAAGATTCAATCGCTTGACTTCTAATGGATGATACCCAACCTTAGCATAAAGCTGAAACAACCCTAAACTTCCCTTACAACACGAGGAACTCCCAAATTACAGAAATCAAAATACAGAAAAGAAGCTAAAAGTAAGAACACTTTCAGTCAGAATATAGAATTTATCACAATAAAAATAGATGGCTTTTACTCTACATCTAGTTAACTGTATTGTACCACAGTCATTTCCTGGTTTTGATAACTATGGTTATGTAAGATCTTATGACTCTGGCAGGCTGTGTGGAGGGTACAGGGGACCTCTGTGTATGATTTTCACAACTTCTTCAGAATCTAAAATTGTTTCAAAATAAAAAGTTAAAAAGAAATAGATGCCCTTAAAACTACCATAGAATAAAATAGGTATCATGGTGGAGATCTGATTGTACAGAGGCTAATGATAAGCAGCTACTTATGTTTCCTAAATTTTTTTTTTTTTTTTTTGAGACAGAGTCTCGCTCTGCTGCCCAGGCTGGAGTGCAGTGGCATGATCTCGGCTCACTGCAACTTCTGCCTCCTGGGTTCAAGTGACTCTCCTGCCTCAGCCCCCGTGACTAGCTGGGATTACAGGCGTGCACCACCATGCCCGGCTAATTTTTGTATTTTTAGTGGAGATGGAGTTTCACCATGTTGGCTAAGCTGGTCTTAAACTCCTGACCTCAGGTGATCCACCCACCTTGGCCTCCCAAAGTGCTAGGATTACAGGCATGAGCCACTGCGCCTGACCATTTCCTAAATATTTTAAGAAAAAAAATTAAAAATTGAATATATGCTTAAGAAAAATAATTCAAACAGTACAAAAGCACAAAAAGTAAAGACTAAAAGTTCCAAATCTCCTCTTGCCCACTTTCCTATTGAGCTTCTCAGGGACCCTTCCACATTTCCACATAAACTTTAAAATATGAATGGGTCCCTGCAGTTTTCTAACAATATGTCTTGAACATATTTACATGTTAGCACTTACAGCTCTTCCTCATTCTTTTTAAGACTGCCTAGTATTTCCATTAAAAGATTTACTATAATTTAACCATTTTTCTTTTGAAGGACATTTAGGATGTTTTCAGAATTTTTTTTGGCTCTTATAAATAACGCATAAAACAACAAAACAAAAACAAAAACCAAAAAATAAACAAGGCTGCTTGAACATCCATACTCTCCCCCACTAAATATATCTTTGTAAACATCTGCAAGTGGGTTTGTATCAGAAAGTCTAACAAGTGAAAGGGCTAACTCAAAGAATATATACTTTGAGAGCTACAAGCAAACTTATCTCCAAGAAAACTATCTATGTGTACTCCCCCCACAGCACAAAAGAGTCCCTGCTTGCCCTGTCTCTTGTCTTTGTCAATAGATTTTGTTTAGTTTTGAGTGAGGCTGGGGATATTTTTATGTGCTTATTAGCAATTTGTAGTTCTCTTTTTGTATTTATTTTTCTATTGAGTTGTCCATCTTTTTCTAATTTATCTAAATGTTAAAATGTTAACTTTGAGAAGTTCTTTCTATCCTAAGGAAAGAAATTTTTTTTTTTTTTTTGGAAACAGAGTCTTGCTCTATCACCCAGGCTGGAGTGCAGTGGCGTGATCTTGGCTCACCGCAACCTCCATCTCCTGGGTTCAGGCGATTCTCCTGCCTCAGCCTCCCGAGTACCTGGGACTACAGGCATGTGTCACCACGCCTGGCTATTTTTTTGTATTTTTAGTAGAGATGGGGTTTCACCATGTTAGCCAGGCTGGTCTTGAACTCCTGACCTCAGGCAATCCTCCCGCCTTGGTCTCCCAAAATGCTGGGATTACAGGTGTGAGCCACCGCACCCGGCCGGAAAGTAATTGTTTACATCTCTCTCTTTTTTTTTAATTGTGTTTTGACTGCTTATGGTATTTTTTTGCAAAAAGACATTTTAAATTTTCTTGTAATTAGTATTATCAATAGATGTTAAAAACTGAGCAGGAGGGCTGAGGTACTGTGTAGCTATCTTGCCACTGCAGACTCAGCAGTAGTGAAAGAGCAGGTAACAGCCAAAAATATTATTTGCATCTTGGTGTCCTAAAATCTTTAGAAACAAACTTTAAGTGGTGATTTTTACAAAGGTATGTGTTTGGTAAGTGAACATTTCTCTGCATTACTTTTACAGTAGTAAAAAAACATTTTTTTAAGCTTTAAAAGTAGAAAAATTTTACCCTTAAATATTCAGAAAGACAAACATTTTACATACTTGTATATTGGAAGGGCACATCCAAGCATCAAAAACATCAGTCCGATTGCTCCTCCAAAGGACAAACTAATCAAAGCTGCAAAGCAAATAAAAAGTGCAACAGGAATATAAATTAAATATTATTTTTATTAATATCAGCAGTCTGAACATTATCTGTAACCTCAGAAGCAAAAATCCCTAAAACGTATTAATAGCAAGTTGCCATCAGAAGTGTAAGTTATCTAGTCTTAGAATAAGTCTTCTGTGGTATCTTCAAGGCAAAATGAAGTGACACTGGCCTTTTTTTTTTTTTTTTTTTTTTTTGTGAGATGGAGTTTCACTCTTGTTGCCCAGGCTGGAGTCCAATGGCTTGATCTCGGCTCACCACAACCTCCACCTCCCAGGTTCAAGTGATTCTCCTGCCTCAGCCTCCTGAGTAAGCTGGGATTACAGGAATGCACTACCACATCCTGTTAATTTTCTATTTTCAGTAGAGATGGAGTTTCTCCATGTTGGTCAGGCTGGTCTCGAACTCCCGACCTCAGGTGATCCACCTGCCTTGGCCTCCCAAAGTGCTGGGATTACAGGCGTGAGCCACCACATCCAGCCAGTGACACCGATTTTTAAAGCTCTAACCTACTGCTAGTACCCCACCATATTCCCCAGACGCTGGTTCCCTTTCTAAAGAGTCAAAGTCCACAGGCTCAATGCTCTTCTGGGCATTAGAATTATATTTACTTCACAGATCACTACAGTTTTGAAAAGCAGTATGTGGAGAAACTCCACATGCTCAAGTTTACTGGACTTTAGAAACCTCATCCTATAGGAAAACCTCTTCTAATCAGCTCCTGTTTCTGGCACATACACTCTCAATGTGCATAAAACTGACCAGAAAAAATGCCCGAGAATATCTGTAGTTAATGATTTTAATCAATTAATTTTGTTGCAAATCTTTAAATAGTTTGCAAAAGTAGAGCTGGGTTTCCTTCCCTAATCTACATTAGAAAATCTGTAGGACAATGGGTTATAATCCTTCTGAGGTATCACTACTTTAACATGTTATTATAAGCAATAGATGCATTCTACAGGTGAAATATAGTTTCTAAAGCTACGCGCGCACACACAGACACACACACACACACACAGCAGTACATTTTAAGGTGCTCTCACGTTAGTGAATAGAAACAACTTTCTTGAATAGGCATAGTTAACCAATGACCTAGACTAAAGCAAAGAAATAAATGATAGCCGAGTGCAGTGGCTCACGCCTGTAATCCCAGCACTTTGGGAGGCCAAGGCGGGCGGATCATGAGGTTGGGGGTTTGAGACCAGCCTGGTCAGTATGGTGAAACCTTGTCTCTACTAAGAATACAAAAAATTAGCTGGGTGTGGTGGCACATGCCTGTAGTCCCAGCTACTTGGGAGGCTGAGGCAGGAGAATTGCTTGAACCCGGGAGGCGTAGGTTGCAGTGAGCCTAGACTGCGCCTTTGCATTCCAGCCTGTGCGACAGAGCAAGACTCCATCTCAAAAAAAATAAATAAATAAGTAAATGATAAATTTATTTTGAGTTCTATATAACCTGTATTTCTACAGTTACAGTGGCTAAGAAAATAACTAGTTTTGTTGTTGTTAGGTCATTTTATTAAAATTCAAAAGTTAAAATTCGAAAGATTTGTAGAAGGTCTAAAAGTTACCAAAACAAAGGCTAACATAGAGAAACCAAAATGAACAGGAAACAAGTTAAACTTTGCCAAGTACTACTGATATACTCTGCACAACTAAAACAGTCATAATCAAGGACACCCCATGACATAGTGGCTTGGCAGATTTGGTTTTTGGTTAGATCGCTGATGCAGGTCATGGCAACCCCGAACACATCACTTAGTCCTGAATACCATTCTATTTCCAGCTACAGGAAAAGAATTGCATTTTTACTTTACAGCAAACGAGGCACTTCAAGTTTACAGGGGAATGCAATATAAACTGTAAGGAAAACACTGAATTTACCATTTGTTTTCTTCAGTTCCAAATTGGTTCTCATGACCGGGCCCTGCCCACCTCTCCTGTGACGTGTCACACCAGGCTACTACAGTGTCCCTGAACCCTCACTTCAGTTATACTGGCCCTCTTTCCTTTCCTGGAAATCAGCAGACTTGCTCACTCACGTGGCCTGTGCACACTTTGTCCCTTCTGCCTCAGACATTTTTTCATTCAAGAAATATTCACTGAGCACTAAATATGTGACAAGCACTAGGGATACAACAGTGAATGAGGCATGGTCCTTTCCCACTCCTCTCTACTTTCCTCCAACTTAACTCCTGCTTTTCCTTCAGATCTCAGCTCAACCAGTGAAGTGTTTTTTTGCTGGTTTTTTTTTTTTTTTTTTTTTTTTTTAAATGGAGTCTTGCGCTGTCGCCAGGATGGAGTGCAGTGGCGCGATCTTGACTCACTGCAACCTCCGCCTCCCAGGTTCAAGCCATCCTCCTGCCTCAGCCTTTCTGAGTAGCTGGGACTACAGCTGTGCACCACCATGCCTAGCTAATTTTTTTTTTTTTTGTATTTTTAGTAGAGACGGGGTTTCACCACATTGGCCAGGATGGTCTCCATCTCTTGACCTCACGATCTGCCCACCTTGGCCTCCCAAAGTGCTGGGATTATAGGCGTGAGCCACTGCACCTGGCCTCAGTGAAGTTTTTCCAAACCTCCTGATTAGACCAATTCCCTGTTATATTTATTTATTCATTCCTCTAACAAACATCTATGGAGCACCTAACGTGTGTCAGATACTGTTCTTGCTACTGGAGACAGAGCAATGACAACAATCAAAGCTTTTGCTCTCACGTTCTAGTGGGAGAAGAAAATGATTTTTAATAAGCAAGTGAATAAATGTCAAGTGATGACAAACGTCAGGTAGAGTAAGGGATGGGAGTGCTAGTCTAGATACAGTGGCCAGGGAAGGCATCTCTGATGAAGCACCACCTGAGCAAAGATCTGTATGAGGGGAGGGAGGAAATCATGTGGGTATTTGGGATGAGTATTCCTGGCAGAGACCCGTGTATGCTGAGGTCCTCTGTTCACTGAATGCCTCTCCTTTGCTCAATTATCAGCTGCGATTTCCTACTGGTTTGTATTTTGTCTTTCCTTCTCAACTGTCCATTTCACGAAAGGAGGGAGCAAGTTTTTCTGTTGTGATGATCGTGCCTGGCTCTTAACACTCAACAAATATTTGTGGAATGAATGTAGCAGAGTGGAAGCAGCATGGAACTGAGACTCTGGAGGGTCCAAGGCCCTAATAGTTACTAACTAGTTGTCCAAGTAATTTATGAGTCTCAGTTCTTCCTTCTCTAAAATGACAGTTGGACTAGATCTTAAATGCAGATAATTTTCTGAACACTAAAGGTACTGTTAAGACAGCTAAGTCCATTACTATAAATACTACCTAGTAACACCTCATTCATTCAGAAGCCATTTATACGCAACTTAGAATCCTGGAGAAAACAAAGGCCACTAAAAAGAGACAAAATAGATGTTACAAAGCCCATATACTAAAGCCAACATTCTCTATAAACAGACCCTTAAGTTCTTATTTATACTAACTCATTTTCGTGACACAATTGTTAGATGGGAATTCAGAGTAAAACACATTTTTATTTTAAAGAATCATCTATGCTCACTTATATATATTTTTCAATAGGTAATTCATATACCCAGAACAAAAATTAAGTGAAAAGGAACTTTCTCTTATCAAAAGTAATCACTATTACCTATATACCTTGTGACACAAAATTTTCTAAGTTTATCTTCCCACACTGAAACAAATGGGAATTAGGAGAAAGAGTTGCATACAAGCAAGAATTGCCCTTTGACAGGAGGGAGGAAACAACAAAAAAAATTTAAACCAGGCAGAAAAATCTCAAAAAGCATGTTCACGGTAATCTCCGCAAGAGGCAAGCCACCTTAGGACCATGAGGGCCTCTGAAGGTGGCTGTTCTGTGACAGAGAACAGTCATTCAAGTTTTTATCAAAAAAGAAGGCCTAAATTCTTTGATTACACTCTTACAAAGTTAATGAAAAATGATTCCTTAAAAAAAAAAAAAAACCAAGGGACTAAAATGAGATAAGGCTCAGGTATCAAAAAACAATTTTAAAAACATAAACCAAGATTGTCTTATTGTAAGTGCTATGAATATGAATACTGGAATAACATTTGTTTGGGGGAATCAAGATACCTTGAGATAATACTTCTACTCCATTAAATACTAAATATGTGTGTGTGTGTGTGTGTGTGTGTGTGTATATATATATATATTTTTTTTTTTTTTGAGACAGAGTCTCACTCTGTTGCCCAGGCTGGAGTGCAGTGGCGTAATCTTGGCTCACTGCAACCTCTGCCTCCCGGGTTCAAGCAATTCCCTGCCTCAGCCTCCTGAGTAGCTGGGATTACAGGTGCCTGCCACCATGCCCAGCTAATTTTTTTGTATTTTTAGTAGAGATGGGGTTTCACCATCTTGGACAGGTTGGTCTTGAACTCCTGACCTCATGATCCATCCGTCTCGGCCTCCCAAAGTGCTGGGATTACAGGTGTGAGCCACCGCGCCAGGATTAAATACTAAATTTTTTTTAAATATTCATAACACAGTTTGATGTGACATCTCATCTTCCAGTCATACCGAATAAGGTAGCCAATTAGAGGTTAAATAAATTGCTTAAAAGTGTTCTCAAAACTTGCAGTTTCTTCAATCTTATGAAATTGGCAACTAGGAAGATTTATATATACACTTCATCATTTGTATATAAGCTGTTTCTTAAATGACACATCAACAAGGCAAGAATTCATACAGTAATTGAGTGATGCAACATTTGGAAGACAAAGCTTAGATAAGTCTGGGTTCTACTCCCAAAGCCTCTAGGCTAGGCATGGAGCAGCCCAATTATCTAGCAAAACTCTCTAGAGACAAGATGCTGATTCTGTGATTACAAAGAAATTAGAGTAGAAGGAGGGACCACTTCTCTAACCTGGGAGTTACCAGAAAATCCAATATATCAAAAAGTAATAGACAAATGGCTCAAGCAATGCCTAATGGTCTCTAATTACAGCAACACTCCTTCCTAATATAAAGATATTAGGCCAAGAGAAAGAAACATACTGACTCATAACAACCAGAAAATCCTGCTGAAATCAAAAGTGCAGTTCACCTGAGGCACCTTCATCAGTTTAATGCAGTATTTCCCTAGGTCTGGAGAAGTAAATTACAAAGCTATTTTCTTAAGAGACCCCCGCATTATTGACACTGAAGAAACAGGGAAGAACAGGGAAACGGGCAACATCCTAAAAACCACAGCAATTCACAATAACTGCCTTTCACATAAGGGTTTAGAGTCTATCATAGTTCAAAAGGAGATTACAAAGTATCCCAGTTGCTTAAATGACAAGGTTTTATATGGGAAATGAAATGTTTTCAGACATTGAAAATAAACAAGAAACAGTAAGACTGTGACCCTGAAAAAAAACTCGATTAAGTTTTCCTTAGAGAAGAAAAAATACAAAGAAAACCACTGCTCCCAAAGTTACCTGCTTCCTGCCTGACTGCCCTTCTACAGAGCGGCAGGTCAAGAAATCAATGTAATTAGTTAAGCAGTAGCTGAAAACTTTGCTTCTCATCACACTGACAACAAAACTACCTAACAGGTGGAACAAATGCAACATTCCTTTTTTTAAAAGAAAATACATGAATAAGCCAGTAGTTTTTCATTAAGTTGTACCAGTATTTTATCTTCTTAAAAAAAAAAAAGGAAAAAAAGAAAAATTTTGAAATTTGAAAAAGCCTCAGGGTGCAACTGCGGAGAGGGAAGAGAGCCAGGAGCACTTTGGGGTCGCCTACAGGATCAACTCTAGGGTCCAGACACCGCAGATGAAAATGCACCCGTTTCGGGAGCCTGTAAAGCCTCGGGCGCGGGCGGCCGGGGTGGACGTGGGGTCGAGGTTTCGGGCAGACCCGTGCAGCGCCCGCAGACCGCACTTGTGCCTTTCGGTGGGAAATGACTGGTTTTCCATAGCTGGCATCTCTAGCAGCCTCAGCCTTCTCAATCCCACGCTCTGCCTGCCTCTCTCTCGGATGCAAACTCCTGCAAAACGTGTGTGGCCGTCCAAGTCGCGACGGGACTCCTCACTGACCGCCAACCACTTCATATTTTGTCCGGGGGGCGATGGGTGGGAGAGAGGCTGCCGAAATCGGCAGAAAGTGGGGGCTGCGGGGCGAAGCCGGGGTCGCAACCGTCCGTTGCCCGAGGGCGCCGCGCCCACCTCCGGGCCAAGCGCAGGGCCGGGGCGGGGGTCGCTTCCCCGGCGCAGGGACCCCACGCGCGCGCGCGAGCCCGGAGGGGAAGTGCGGGGGCCGCGTGGGACCCCCGGCCCATCTTCCCCCGCCGGCCCCAGCCCTCCCGCGTCCTGCAACCCAGGCCCACCTTTGATGCCTGCCATGGCGGTGACGTCGCTCCTGGCTCCACGACCCGAGGCGGCGGCGGCAGCAGCGGCAGCCGGGAGACCCAAGACGCGCTACGGCGGCCAGACAACACCCGGAAGTGCGCGACGCAGCACTTCCGCCGGCGACTCGGGCTCGCGCGGGGGCGCGGGGGACGCGCCGGGCTGGGCTGTGGGGTCGACCCCCTGCCTCTCTTCTCCGCGGGTGTGCAGATCGCCGCCGGCCGAGGCTTGCCGCCGCCGCCCCGACTGGGGGAATGAGCAGGCGCCAGGTCTTGAATTCCTGTCAGGGCCGGTCTGGGGGCTCCCTGCTGAAGCCCCTGTCCCTGATCCCGCAACCTCCCGCGTGCGTTGGGAAGGGGTCGCGGGTAGCGGCCGTCCTTTGGATGCACGTGTGATGGCTTTTGGCTTAATTTCACATTGTTTTGTTTGTTTTTTGAGACAGGGTCTCTTTCGCCCAGGCTGGAGTGTGATCACGGCTACTGCAGCCTCGATCTCCAGGGCTCAAGTGATTCTCTCACGTCGGCCTCGCAGTAACTGGGACCACAGACATGAGCCACCATGCCTGGCTTTTTTTTGTTTTGTTTTGTTTTGTTTTTTGTAGAGACAGGGCGGGGTGTGAGACTCTCATCTTGTTGCCCAAGCTGGTCTCCTGAGCTCAAGGATCTGCCCTCCTCGGCCTCCCAAAGCGCTGGGATTACAGCTTGATACCCTACCTTGTTTTAACCTGATTGACTCGCTCTTAGCTGAGAGAGCGGGACAGACTCCATTTTGGTTTCTTCGCTTGCAGCACCTTGTCCCCCTCCCTTAAGGACATAACTGGTGCAGACTGACACCAAGCACATCCAGGAATGTGCTTACTGATAAGATACTGAGGCAAGCTGTACCAGCAGCTCCTGGGAACGCGCTCGGTTGATGGTACCCAAAGCCCCTGCGTTTATCTCTTTGTGATAATTTAAGCCCCATGCACCTGGAACTGTTTATTTTCCTGTAACTGTTTCTATAACCATTTATCTTTTAACTCTTTGCCTGTTCTGCTTCTGTAAAAATTGCTTCAGCTAGACTACCCCTTCCCTATTTAGACCAAGGTATAAAAAGAAATCTAGCCCCTTCTTCAGGGCCGAGAGAATTTTGAGCTGTAGTCGTCTCTCGGTCGCCGGCAATAAAGGACTCCTGAATTAGTCTCAAAGTGTGGTGTTTCTCTATAACTCGCTCGGTTACGACAACAGGTGTGAGCCACTGCGCACATTATTTTACTGCGCCTTTTCCTCTCTCCCTCCATCCCTCCATCCCCAGTCCTATAATTAAGGTTAGTTGGGTGGTCTGCACTTGGCTCCTTGGTTTCCTATACAGGACTAGGGTTCTGGTGAGGACCCACCTCCAGAGATAGGAGCAGCAGGGCTCAGTAAAGGGTGGATTTAATAGAAATCCAGTCCCTTGGGTGGCTGTCTTTTTGGTAGTAACAAGGCAAGGAAAAAAAAGTGAAAGCCCAGGTTCAACACCTTTATTTACACATCCTACAATTATTTATAGAACATTTACTATGTGTTAGGCACAGGGTTAGACGCTGAGATGTGCAAAACCAGGTACTGTTTGCAGACTGGTGAGGAAGACAGACACACAAAAAATGTAAAATTGCAATAATGATAATTGCTAGTAAAGGGGATCAGAATATGTCACTCTAAAATATGCCACTTTGAAGTCTGGTGTGGTGACTCAGGCATGTGATCCCAGCACATTGGGAGGCTAAGACAGGAGGATCGCTTTGGCCCAGGAGTTGAAGACCAGCCCTGGCAACATAGTGAGACTCCATCTCTACAAAAACGAAAAAAAAATTAGCCAGGCTTGGTGTGTGCCTGTAGTTCCAGCTACTTGGGAGGCTGAAGTAGGAGGATTGCTTGAGCCTAGGAGGTCGAGGCTGCAGTGAGCTCTGATTGTGCCACTGCCTGGGCAACAAAGCAAGACTCTGTCTCCAAACAAACAAATAAATGTCAGGCCTCTGAGCCCAAGCTAAGCCATCATATCCCCTGTGACCTGCACGTACACATCCAGATGGCCGGTTCCTGCCTTAACTGATGACATTACCTTGTGAAATTCCTTCTCCTGGCTCATGCTGGCTCAAAAGCTTCCTCACTGAGCACCTGGTGACCCCAGCCCCTGCCTGCCAGAGAACAACCCCCTTTGACTGTAATTTTACTTTACCTACCCAAATCCTATAAAATGGCCCCACCCCTATCTCCCTTCGCTGACTCTCTTTTCGGACTCAGCCCACCTGCACCCAGGGGAAATAACCAGCCTTGTTGCTCACACAAAGCCTGTTTGATGGTCTCTTCACACGGACACGAGTGAAAATAAGGCTAAGGATTGTTTTGAGCTGAAAGCAAATAAGAAGCAACAGGCATAGGAGGAGCTCTCTGCTCTCTCCTTTTCTACCCAAAGGCCGTGCTTAAGTTCCCTTTGTAAAGATAACATAAAGTTCCACTTTTTGTTTTGTTTTGTTTTTCTTTTGAAACGGAGTCTCGCTCTGTGGCCAGGCTGGAGTGCAGTGGTATGATCTCGGCTGACTGCAACTTCCGCTTCCTGGGTTCAAGCGATTCTCTTGCCTCAGCCTCCCAAGTAGCTGAGACTACAGGCACGCGCCACTACGCCCAGCTAACTTTCAGTCTTGCTCTATCGCCCAGGCTGGAGTGCAGTGGTGTGATCTCAGCCCACTGCAACCTCTGCCTCTTGGTTAAAGTGATTTTCCTGCCTCAGCCTCCCAAGTAGCTGGGATTACAGTCATGAGCCACAATGCCTGGCTAATTTTTGTATTTTTAGGTAGAGACAGGGTTTCACCATGTTGGCCAGGCTGGTCTTGAACTCCTGGCTTCAAGTGATCGGCCCACCTGGGCCTCCCAGAGTGCTGAAATTACAGGTGTGAGCCACTGCGCCTGGCCCCCAAAAAATGTGTAAACAAATTTTTCTACTTATAAATATTTACATTTCCCAGACCAGGGAGAGGATGCAACTCCTATGCCCCAGTAAACAGCATTTATTGGAGTCTGTGAAAACATTACTAAAATAGCCCTTATCTTTCATTAGTTTTCCCCTATATATTTACCTTCTTAAAATCTACTGCCCCTAGAAGTCCAAAACCTTTCCTTTGTCTACTTTTCCACAATGCATCACCCTTTGTTAAAATGATACATGCTCCCAGGCCTAATTACTTTTTGAGTTTTCACTTCTTTTCTGTGAAGCCTCCTTGTGCATGCAAAATAAACCTTTTTTTTTTTCCTGGTAATCTGTACTTTGTTAGTTTAATTCACAGTTCTCAGCTTCTGAACCTAGGAGGGTAAAGAAAGTTTTTATCCTTTCCTACACTAGGAAAGATGGGTAAATAGTTCTCTGAAAACTTTTGATTGCGATCTGCCAAGGAAAATTTCCCCCAAGGAGAGACAACACAGTGATGAATAAATGTGTTAATAGAGAACGGAAAAGCCATCGCAGGTGGCGGGGTGTGTTGTTTGTGTGTGTGTGTTTGCGTGTGTTTGTGTGTGTGCGTGTTTGTGTTTGTGTGTGCCTGCATGTGTGTGTGCATGCATGTGTTTGTGCGTGTTTGTGTGTATGTGTTTGTGTACGTGTTTGCGTGTGCATGGGTATTTGTGTGTGCGTGTGTGTGCGTCCTTGTGCGTGTTTGGGTGTTGTGTGTGTGCGTTTGTCTGTGCGTGCGTTTGTGTGCGTGTCTGTGTATGCGTTTGTGCGTGCATGTGTGTTTGTGTGCGTGCGTGTCTGTGTTGTGGGCGTGTTTGTGTGTGCCTGCATGTGTTTGCGTGTTTGTGCACGTTTGCGTGTGTATGCATGTTTGTGTGTGTGCGTGTGTTTGTGCATGTGTGTTTGTGTGTGTTTTGTGTGTTGTGTTTTTGTGTGTTTGTGTGTTTGCGTGCGCGCATGTATGTATGTGTGGTGGGGAGTTAGGAGCTTTGGCAGCAAATGGAGCAAGGAACTTGCTTGGTCCCTTGGAGAAAAGAGAGGTGGCCAATGGGGTTGGTCAAGGTTGGGGTGGGGCAGCATGCTTATATAGTAGGGACGTACACAAGCAGTTTTGGGTTTTCTCTCTGAGCAATAAAAATCTTTTGAAGGTTTTAAAAGGAAGTAGGTGGGGGTGAGCTACGTACGATTTGAATTTTTAACTTTTTTTCAGTCATCAGACTAACATAAAGTGGCATGTAAGACTGTGGAGTGAATGTTTAGAAGAGATATTTCCAATATGCTTTAAAATGAGAGCAAATGGGAAGCTTGAGGCATTACCCACTTCGCTTCTCTCTACTATTTCTAGAGTTGAATTACAATTTAAACAACAACAACAACAACAACAAACAGGTCACTTCTTGAGTCTTAATGCACCAAATGAGTCTATGGGTGTTTTGTAGGAGAGTAGAATTTTTTTCTGTTCAAGTTAGTGCAGAAAGATCTACCATCTCTTTCCTGTATCATGAAAAAAGTTTCCATTTAAGGATGTGGTAACAAAACCACAAGGCACACTTGAACATATGCCATGGAAATACACGCTGTTTACACGGAATCTGTGAGCCACCAGCTCCTTTCTCTAAACTACTGAAGCAGGCATATACGTCCTTCTCCCCAGCCATCTTGAATGGATAGGTGGAATTCCTGGAGAAGTGAATAATTCCATCCCACATGTCACCTACCACAACACCTTTTCTTGTTTTGTTCTGTGAACCCACAATATGTGAGACAGGTCTCAGTCAATTTAGAAAGTTTATTTTGCCAGGGTTGAAGACGCACCCTTGACACGCCTCAGCAGGTCTTGATGACCTGTGTCCAAAGTGGTTGGGGCACAGCTTGGTGTTATACATTTTAGGGAGACATGAGACATCAATAACTGTATATAAGGTGTACATTGGTTCGGTCTGCAAAGGCGGGACAACTCAAAGTGGGGAGGGGGTGTCCAGGTCATAGGTAGATAAGAGACAAATGGTTGCCTTATTTTGAGTTTCTTTTTCTTCCTTTCTTTTTTTTGAGACCAAGTCTCACTCTGTCACCCAAGCTGCAGGCTGGAGTACAGTGGTGCGATCTCGGCTCACTGCAACCTTCAACTTCTGGGCTCGAGCAATTCTCCTGCCTCAGCCTCCCGAATAGCTGAGATTACAGGTGCCCACCACCACACGTGGCTAATTTTTTTGTTCTTTTTTTTGAGGCTGGAGTGCTGTGGCACCATCTGTCTTCTGGATTCAAGTGATTCTCCTGCTTCAGCTTCCCAAGTAGCTGGGATTACAGGCATGTGCCACCACACCTGGCTAATTTTCGTATTTTTAGTTAGAGACGGGTTTAACCATGTTGGCCAAGCTGGTCTTGAACTCCTAAGCTCAAGTGATCCACTTGCCTCGGCCTCCCAAAGTGCTAGGATTATAGGCATGAGCCACCATGTCTGGCCTCTTCTGAGTTTCTGATTAGCCTTTCACTGAATACACAATTTACAGGTATAGTCACTTATGCTTTAGTCTGGGTTAGTGAAAAAACAGGGCAAAGGAAGCAATCAGATAAGCATTTGTCTCACAGTGAGCAAAGGATGACTTTGAGTTCTCTCTGTCCTTTGTCCACAAGGAATATCCTTGTGGGCAAATTGTGAGGTAGGTATGTAGCTTTATTTTTTTCATTTATTTTTATTATTATTTTTATCTTTGTAGCTATCTTATGTAGGATAAGATAGCTACAAAGATAAATTTCCCTTTTTTTTTTTTTTTGAGGCAGGGTTTTATCCTGTTGCCCAGGCTGCAGTGCAGTGGAGCAATCACAGTCATGGTAGCTTCCTGTCATGGCAGCCTCCACCTCCAGGGCTCAAGCTATCCTCCTGCCTCAGCCTCCCGAGTAGCTGGGACCACAGATATGCACCACCATGGCCCGCTAATTTTTTACTTTTTGTAGAGGCGGGGTTTTGCCATGTTGTCCAGGCTAGTTTTGAACTCTGGGACTCAAGAGATCCTCCCACTTTGGCCTCCCAAAGGGCTGGGATCACAGGTGTAAGCCACTACCCCCAGCCTGATTTGCTCTTTTCAGTACAAATGTGTTGGCATTACAGATGTCCTTGACAACATTCATGGGCAACTGGGATTACTCATCAGGTTACAGGAATCTACATTCTTTTCTTCCATGGTCACAGAATCCTGAGAGATTGTGCTCCTTATCTTTCCCATGAGATTCAGTGTTTCCAGCACAAAAACACTCATCACTCTAAGGACCATTTTTGGTTTACTGGTCTAGGGACCAGTTGTGTCCGGAATTGGTGGGTTCTTGGTTTCACTGACTTCAAGAATGAAGCTGTGGACCCTCACGGTGAGTGTTACAGTTCTTAAAGACGGTGGGTCCGGAATTTGTTCCTTCTGATGTTCGGACATGTCCGGAGTTTCTTCCTTCTGGTGGGTTCGTGGTCTCGCTGACTTCAGGAGTGAAGCCACAGACCTTCGCAGTGAGTGTTACAGCTCTTAAAGGTGGCGCGTCCAAAGCTATTCGTTCCTCCCGTCTGGAATTGTTTGTTCTTCCCAGTGGGTTCGTGGTCTCGCTGGCTTCAGGAATGAAGCCGCAGACCTTCGCTATGAGTGTTACAGCTCATAAAGGCAGCACAAATCCAAACAGTGAGCAGCAGCAGCATTTATTGCAAAAAGCAAAATAAGAAAGCTTCCACACCCAGGAAGGGGACCCCAGCGGATTGCCGCTGCTGCTCTGGTGGCCTTTCTTTATTCCCTTATCTGGCCCCACCCACATCCTGCTGATTGGTCCATTTTACAGAGAGCTGATTGGTCCGTTTTGACAGAGTGCTGATTGGTGCATTTACAAACCTTTAGCTACACAGAGTGCTGATTGGTGCGTTTACAATCCTTTAGCTAGACACAAAAGTTCTCCAAGTCCCCACCCGATTAGCTAGACACAGAGGCTGATTGTTGTGTTTACAAACCTTTAGCTAGACACAGAGTGCTGATTGGTGCATTTACAGCCCTTTAACTAGACAGAAAGCTCTCCAAGTCCCCACCGGTCCCAGAAGCCTAGCCGGCTTCACCTCTCACTGGCGCTCTTCGCGGGATTTTGCGGCACTTACCCCGGGTGCTCCAGTAGCCCAGAAGGAGCTTGTCCCAGACAACCAAGAGGAAAAGAGGGGAAGCGAGAAAGAGAGGGAGACCCGCCATTCTGGCCAACGACCCTGCGAAGAGGGAATGGCGGTGCACGCACGGGACCCAGCCTCTGATCAAGCCCAGCAGGCGCCGGCCAGCTGCGCTGAGTGCTGGGCCCGTGGAGCCCGCGCCCACCCGGAACCTGCGCCGGCCCGCGAGCGGTGAGCGCCGGGCGCAGCCCCGGGTTCCGCCCGCGCCTCTCCCTCCACACTTCTCCGGGAGAGGAGGGAGCCGGCTCCGGCCTCGGCCAGCCCCAGAGAGGGACCCCCACAGCGCAGCGGCAGGCTGAAGGGCTCCTCCAGCGCGGCCAGAGCGGACGTCCTGGCTGAGGAGGCGCCGAGAGTGAGCGAGGGCTGCTAGCACGTTGTCACCTCTCACAGTCACTTGAGACCTTAAAAACAGTGTGTCTAAATGTTGTATTTCAAGGACCACCTAAAGCAGAATACTTTGGGATGCCTTCCAAATTCTTGACTGCTACTCCCGACCTTCTGAATTTAGAACTCTTGTGGGTAAAGCCCGGAATCTGAAAAGTTAACAAGAATCTCAAACAATTCCTGTGCAAACTAAAGCAAAGCTTGAAAGTCATTGTCGGAAAAAAGGTAGAATGTCAGTTTTCTCCACCAGTTTTCCAAGGGAACCCTAAATGCTAGTTAATGTCATATCCTTTAAATGTTCTCTATTGTTATGTAATAGCTAATTAGTGTTACCTTTCAGTTTCAATACTTCTTATATGGATGGTTTTCCATTCTCCAAAGTTAAATGGTGGAGATGAGAATGTGGATGAGAGGAAGGGAATTCTTACTTTTTCAGCAGGTGCTATTTGCCTGGTGCTTTAGCATTCATCTCATTTAATCCTCTTCACAATTTTGTAAACTGAGAATTACTAACTCTTACAGGTTGATTCAGAGAAAGCTCAGAGGAAAAAAAATCTTTTTTTGGGTCAGGGTCTCACTCTTGTCACCCAGGCTGGAGTGCAGTGGTGTGATTTCGGCTCATTGTAACCTCTGCCTCCCAGGCTCAAGCTATCCTCCTGCCTCAGCCTCCCGAGTAGCTGGGACCACGGGCATGCACCACTATGCCTGGCTAATTTTTTTTTTTTTTTTTTTTTGTAGAGACAAGGTCTTCTTACGTTGCCCAGGCTGGTCTCGAACTCCTGGGCTCAAGTGATACACCCACCTCGGGCCTCCAAAAGTGCTGGGATTACAGGTGTTAGCCACCGCACCCAGCCCCTCCTGTATACTTTAAATAATCTCTAAATTATTTATAATACCTAATAACAATGTAAATACTATGTAAATAGTTGTTATACTGTATTGTTTACAGACACCAAAAAGTCAGTCACCAGAAAGACCATGTGATTAGAGTGTTAGAGGGTTGGAAATTTCAGCCCACCCACCAACCAACAGGAGAGATCGGGGGCGGGTGGCTGGAGATTAAGCTCTATACAAACTCTTAGACAACAAGATTTCATGAGCTTCTAGGTTGCTGAATACAGGGAGGTGCTGGGAGGGTGGAGTGCCCAGCGAGGGCATGGAAGCCCCATGGCCTTCTTATCTTTGCCCTATCCATCTCTTCATCTGGCTGTTCATCTGTATCCTTTATAAATCCTTTACAATAAACTGGTAAACATAAAATATTTTCCTGGACTGACGTCTGAATTGGGGCAGTCTTGTGGGAGACTGGGCCCTTAACTTGAATTGAGTTATAGGACATCGTGTTGATGTCCTTTAGAGTTGGTTGGTGTGTAGGGAAATACTCCCCCAGCCCCTCTTCTGGTCACAGAACTGCTCTGTGTTTTGTGCCAGTAGAAAGGAGAAAACAGTTTGTTTTTTCCTTTTACAGCCTCATCATTTAGCTCTCAGCTCAAATGGTAATTTCTCAGAGAATCTTTTCTGGGCCATCCTACTTGTTATGGCACTACCTGTCATATTGCTCTGTTTTCTTCTTCAAGGTACTTATTATTATTTGAGATAGAGTCTTGCTCTGTTGCCCAGGCTGGAGTGCAGTGATGCAGTCATGGCTTGCTGCAGCCTCAACCTCCAGGGCTCAAGTGATCCTCCCACCTCAGCCTCTTGAGTGGCTGGGACTACAGGCACATGCCACCACATCTGGCTATTTTTTTTTTTTTTTTGAGACGGAGTCTCACTCTTTCGCCCAGGCTGGAGTGCAGTGGTGCGATCTTGGCTCACTGCAAGCTCCGCCTCTCGGGTTCACACCATTCTCCTGCCTCAGCCTCCTGAGTAGCTGGGACTTAGGCACCCGCCACCATGCCCAGCTAATTTTTTGTATTTTTAGTAGAGACGGGGTTTCACTGTGTTAGCCAAGATGGTCTCGATCTCCTGACTTCATGATCTGCCTACCTCGGCCTCCCAAAGTGCTGGGATTACAGGCGTGAGCCACTGTGCCTGGCCACATCTGGCTAATTTTTTAAAAACAATTTTTTGTGGAGATGGGGTCTTACTATGTTGCCCAGATTGGCCTCAAACTCCTGGTCTCAAGTGATCCTGAGCCTCGGCTTCCCAGAGTGCTGAGATTACAGGTGTGAGCCACCGTGCCTGGCCCAAAGCACTTATTTATTTGAAATGACATGATTTGTTGGCTACCTCTCCCACTAGAATGTTTATTATAACAACCTTTCATCTTTTGTTCATGACTGTCCAGAACTGTACATGGTACATGGTGGGAATCTAAAATAACAAACATTCTCTTGTTAAGGTAATTAGTGATTTCTACATTGCAAAATTCAGAGACCAAATTTTGCTTCAAGCTTTCAGCAACAGTGGACACTGTTGACCATTCTTTCTTTCTCTCAATTACCATATCCTATTGTCCTAGTTCTTCCTCCTTCTTCACCAGAGGTTACTTCTCAGATTCTTTCTAGAATCTTCTGCTTGAGGTTCAAATGTTAGTGTTTCCATAGCCTGGGCCTCCTTTTTTGTGGTATCTCAATTCTCTCATGTTACTGTGTCTCTTCCCACATGTCTTAGTTCATTTTGTGTTGCTATAACAGAATACCTGAGACTGGGAAATTTATAAAGTATAGAGATTTATTTCTTATGGTTCTGGAGGCTGGGAAATCCTAGGTCCAGGGGCCTGCATCTGGTGGGGAGCTTCCTGCTGTGTCATTTCACGGTGGTAGGCAAAAGAGAAAGGGAGCTGAACTCATCCCTTTTATCGGGAACCCACTCCCCAATAACTAACCCACTCCTGTGATAATAGCATTAAGAGCTCTGCCCTCATAACCTAATCACCCCTTAAGAGTCCCCCCTCTCAACACTATTGCTTTGGGGAATAAGTTTCCAACACATGAGCTTTGGGGGACACATTCAAACAATAGCATCATGACATTAAATGCTATCTTTATATTTACAACATAACTACCAAATTTACCTTAGTTTTGAACTTCAGACTTTTACAGTTTATCTATTTATTTGACACGTCTACCTGGATGCCTAATAGTCACCTCAAACTTAACATGTTGAGCATAGATTCTCTATTATCTCTTATTTCAGTCCTTGGTCCCAGCATTGGTTGGTTCCATGCCGAGGCCCCACTGCTCTGCCATCTCTTATTCCACTCTTCCCCTAACTTACTTTGCTTCAGTTATGGCCTTGTTTGCCTCTTGTCCCCCAAATTTTGTTTTATTCACTGCTGTATCCCCAATACTGATAACAGTGCCTGGCAGGTACTGTTAGGTACTAATAGGTGCTCAATATAATAATCTGGTAAACATAAAGTGTTTTTTTGAGTTCTGTGAGCCATTCTAGCAAATTATGGAACTCAAGATGGGGGGTTATGAAAACCCCAATTTATTTGTTGAGAGGGAGTCTCTCTCCATGGTCCAGGTGCAGTGGGGCAGTCTTGACTCACTGCAACTTTCGCCTCCCAGGTTCAAGCGATTCTCTTGCCTCAGCCTCCCAAATAGCTGGGATTACAGGTGTGCACCACCACGCCCAGCTATTTTTCCTATTTTTAGTAGAGGTGGGGTTTTGCCATGCTGGCCAGGCTGGTCTTAAAGTCCTGACCTCAGGCGATTCACCTGCCTTGGCCTTCCAAAATGCTGGGATTACAGGCATGAGCCACCACGCCCGGCCTGGAAACCCTAATTTATAGCTGGTTGGTCAGAAGCATAGGTCACAACCTGAGACTTGTGATTGATGTCTGAAGTTGGGGCCATCTTGTGGGACTGAACTCTTTATAGGATCTGACCAAATAACTCTTCCTCGAAACACAAAGTTAGGGCTTTTGCATCCACTGTTCCCCAGATGGGAAGATGAGTCCCCTGATCTTTGTACGGCTAGTTCTTTCTCATCATTCAGGTCCCAAGCTTCAAAAACCACTTCCTCAGCAAGGCCCTCCCTGAAGTTGTGTCCCCAGGCTCCATTATATCACCCTGTTTTTCATCAATGTTATTACCTATCATTACCTATTATTTTTGTTGTTTAATTGGTATGTCGTTTGTCCTATTCTATTTCAATGAGTACAGGGATCTTGTCTGTACCATCCATGCCTAAAACAGTGCCTGGTGCGTATTAGGTATTCAACATATATTCATTGAATGAATGAATGAATGAATGAATGAATGAATGAATGAAAGAAACCCAAGCCTGCTAGACCTCAAAAGCCCAGAGAACTGTTTTCTCTGGCTGGTTCTTCATTCAGACGATATTTTCTCCTCTTGACATTTTATAGTCTTCCGGCCTCCATGCGCAAGGAACCATGTAAAGGTTCTGAGCCTTGAAACCAGACAATGTATTTCCCTGTTACTTTTCGCTTGAATCTTCTCTGTATTTAGCAACCAGTCATAGAACACTAACCATGTACCAAGCGCTATGCTAAGTGCTGAACACATAGAGCTGAATAAAGCACAGAACTACCCTTGGTACAATTATTGAGGTTTTAATAATACATAATTTGACTACATTTCTTAGATTTCGCGTCGTGACGTTTTCAGCCTCTCAAACTGCATCGCCTACGCACAGAAGCTTCCCGAATCTCAGACGAGACACAACAAAGCTGCGCGCTGCCCTCGCCCCGCCCGCGGGCGCGGCGGCGACAGGCCCTCGGCCCCGCCCACACCGCGGCGCCACGCCTCCAACCCGCCTCCAGCCGTGCCTCCCCAGGCCCTTGGCCCCGCCCACACCGCCTCGCCCCGCCCCAAGCCGCGCTGTGCTCCAGGGGCGGGGGCCCACGGCGGCCACTCACTGAGCCCCACGGGCCGCAGCGGCAGTGACGTAGGGTTGGCGCACGGATCCGTTGCGGCTGCAGCTCTGCAGTCGGGCCGTTCCTTCGCCGCCGCCAGGGGTAGCGGTGTAGCTGCGCAGCGTCGCGCGCGCTACCGCACCCAGGTTCGGCCCGTAGGCGTCTGGCAGCCCGGCGCCATCTTCATCGAGCGCCATGGCCGCAGCCTGCGGGCCGGGAGCGGCCGGGTACTGCTTGCTCCTCGGCTTGCATTTGTTTCTGCTGACCGCGGGCCCTGCCCTGGGCTGGAACGACCCTGGTGAGTGCTGCCAGGGCCCTCAGGCGCTTCGTTCGCCCTTTTCCGCCGCCGTCAGCCGGTGCAGGCTCCCCTGCGTTTCCGTGCGCCGTCTTCCCGGAGCCTGGGTGCCCGGATTCCCCATGTCTGACCTCTTTGCTGTTCGTGCTCTCCCTGGTTCCACTGCTCTTCCCAGGCGTCTTGGGAGGCGGGTAGGGACTGCTCGAGTGGGCGGGGCGGGACGGCTGGAGATCCTTAAGGTCCCCTTTCTCCCTGCCCCGGACTCCCGGAATTTGCCCATTGTCGTCTTTCTCATCTCTGAGTATAACTGGAGAGCTGGACACTCACCTGCGCATCTGCTTTGTTGTTATGGCTGTGTGATGTCATCGTGGCCTGCTGTTGTCATGGCTGCCTGTTGCTATCGCCGGCCGTTGCCTGCCACTGGCAGTCTCTGAGTCACCCTTAGCGGACAGGGCTGCAGACCTCGCAGGTCTGTTAGCAGAATCGCAGATTGCACTCTTTTTTTTTTTTTTGAGTCGGAGTCTCACATTGTCGCCCCGGCCGCACTGCAATGACGTGATCTCGGCTCACTGCAACCTCCGCCTCCTGGGTTCAAGAGATTCTCCTGCCTCGGCCTCACCGGTAGCTGAGATTACGGGTGCCCACCACCATGCCTGGCTATTTTTTTGTATTTTTAGTAGAGACGGGGTTTTACTATGTTGGCCAGGCTGGTCTCGACCTCCTGACCTCGTGATCCACCCGCCTTCATCCTCCCAAAGTGCTGGGATTACAGGCGTGAGCCACCGCGTCTTTATGAGAACCGCTGCCTCTTATCTGACGATTGCAGTGATGTACATCGCGCGGCACCAGCTCTTCCCATTGGCTTTCACCGTAGAGAAGAATTTAAAAAATAATTTTCTCGGTTTTTTTTAGTGATGGTACATGATAAGTGGGTTTTAGGAAAGAGGTTCTTTTATGTCAGTACAGTATTAAAATTGTCTAAAGAATTTTCATGGGATCAGTAATATTCCGTGCAATTAATACGTATATGTCTATATACTTAGATACAGATTTTGACTTTTTCCATGTAATAAATGACGCATGCTGTTACTTTGGAATTCTGTAAAAAAAAAAAAAAATGAAAACAACATCATTTTTGCTTTGCGAAGTAAAGATGGCATGGAAAGCATATTGCCTTTGTGATTTGGTGATTGGAAATGCCTGCATTGTCGAATTTAAGCAACAGGTTTATTTCTATAATAGCCTATTCTTACATGCTGAAATGAGAGAGAAGGTGCTATTTGCAAGCACATCACGTTGAGTAGTCATTTGATGTGGACATTTTATTACCAAAAATAAAAAGCCAAGTTGTATTTAAATGTCTGTACGTTTTTCTTTTGTATTTCTAGAAAGCTGTGTATGAGTGGGAGACTTGATCAGAATTACAAGTGAAAACCTAGAATGAAACTTTAATTTGTTGAACTTTGAATCAGTTCGTAAATAAATTTAATAAAGGAAGTTTACAGTTGAAGAGCCAGAAGAACTATAAAAACTATGAAAGAAGAACCAAATTTAAATTAAAGATGAACCACTTCCTGGTTTATCTACGCTGTAAAACTATTGTTCTGGAACACAAAGCACCACAATATTTTGCAGAGTAAACTCAATTGTTTTATGTAAATTCTACTTCAAAGTTTACTTTGAGGAACTTTTTTGTTTTGTTTTGTTTTTTTGAGACAGTTTCACTCTTGTCGCCCAGGCTAGAGTGCAATGGCGCGATCTTGGCTCACCGCAACCTCTGCCTCCTGGGTTCAAGCGATTTTCCTGCCTCAGCCTCCCGAGTAGCTGGGATTACAGGCATGTGCCACCATGCCCGGCAAATTTTGTATTTTTAGTAGAGACAGGGTTTCTCCATGTTGGTCAGGCTGGTCTTGAACTCCCAACCTCAGGTGATCCGCCCGCCTTGGCCTCCCAAAGTGCTGGGATTACAGGCGTGAGCCACCGCACCCGGCACTTTGAGGAACTTTTTAAATGAAGATACTTTATTGACATACTATTTATTAAGTCCTTTACTAAAGCATTAATCGGCTCCCTAATTTATCTTTTGTTTGACTTGGATGCCATTACTTTAGCTCACATTGAGCAGTAATTTGTCTGGAAAAAAAAATTAGCACCATTCTAAAGAGATTACCAATGAATTTTCAAAATTCCTTATTGAATGTAATCTTATATTAAGTTACTCTTCCGGGTGTTGGGAATATAGCAGTGAACAAAACAGTGTCTTGCCTCCAAGGACTTTACCTCTATTGGGGAGAAATAGACAATAAACAGATAAACATGTAAATAACATGCTATATTGTGAAAATTGGTATGCACCGTGTATGATAAACAGCGTAAGGAGGACATGGTGTGCGGGCAGAAGTGGAGACTTAAAAAACGTACATTGGTCAGGGAAGTCACTGTTAGGGTGACATTTGACTGGAAACCTGAAGTGGGGAGGAGGAGTAAATGACCTGAAATTACTTATATCTTTAAAGGCTCATTTGGGCTGCTCTGTGGAAAACAGACCGAAGAGGGTAGGAGGGAAGCAGGGAAACCAGTGAATTAATATATATTGCTATCTATTTTAATATTGTACAGTAAGTTCTTAGAGTGGTGACCGCTTGGCCCAGGGCAGGAGCAGTAGAGAGCTGGTTAGAGTAGCTGGATTCTCTTGTCACCTGTTTGGAAGGTGGAGCTAACATGATCTTCTGAAGGATCAGATGTAGGAGTGAGAGGAGAGAAGATGAGAAGTCCAAGGTTTTTGGCTTGAGCAACTAGAAGCATGGAGTTAACCATTTCCTGAGATGTGGAAGAATGTGGGATGATCAGGTTTAGGGGAGTTTGGTTTTGTTTATCTTGTTTGAGACCTGCCGTGATTTTGATTTATGAGTCTGGAGTTCAGGGAGCTCCTGTGTCCCTTGACTGATCTAACTAGTGGGGCGTGGGTATTAGAATTTTGTTCTTGGACCTTAAGAATCTCTAGGGAAGAAAGATGCTATAGGATTATGGTAATGCTATTCCATCTTAAAACTTTCAGTAATATTTATCATACCTGATCACCTGTTATGCTTCAAGTACTCAGCCAGATAATAAATTATATCTAAGCTTCACAACAAATTTCAAGGTTGATAATATTTTAATTTTGTAGGTGAGGAAACTTCTACACAGGTAAATTAAATGCCTTGGCCAAAGTCACAGCCAGTTAGTGACACCAACTTAGTTCAGTGTTCTTTGCATTATTGCAACTCTGTTACAATAAATTCAATTTATTATTTCTGTTATTTAGTTGATTAATACAGTCTGATTTTTCTAAACCATTGAACATTTTCATTGTCTTATTTTTTATGTATGAGGAGGTAGTAGTTTGTGTTTAATGTAGCATGGTTTATTTGAATATAGTTCTTGGAAATTTTAGATCTGTAGCCCATGTGGAATTAAATTTTTATATAGCTTTAGGTGGATTTTCTTGTGGCTGCATAGTCAATTATGCCAGTGCTATTTATTAAAGAAGACATCTTTTATCCACTAAATTAAAAAGACCACTTCATCTTACTGAATTCCCAAATGTATCTTGATTTATTTCTGATCTTTCTTTTGTTTCACAATTTCCTTGTCTCTGTTCCAATTCCCTACTATTTTGATTATAATCTTTTTTTTTTTTTTTTTTTTTGAGATGGAGTTTCACTCTTGTCGCCCAGGCTGGAGTGCAGTGGTAGCAATATCAGCTCACTGCAACCTCCACCTCCTGGATTCAAGTGATTCTCCTGCCTCAGCCTCCCAAGTAGCTGGGACTACGGGCGTATGCCACCACGTCCAGCTAATTTTTGTATTATTAGTAGAGATGGGGTTTCACCATGTTGTCCAGGCTGATCTCGAACTCCTGACCTTAGGTGATCTGCCCTCCTTGGCCTCCCAAAGTGCTGGGGTTACAGACGTGAGCCACCGTGCCTGGCTGATGATAATAATTTTATAGTAACCTTTACTATCTGGTAACCTATGTGTTCTTTTTCAAAAAAAAATTGTCCACAGGACCTTTAACATAATTTCTTTCCCCAAAAAACCCTATTGGGTTCCTGGTTGGAAGTATATTTAGGTCTCTCTCTCTATATATATTTTTTATATAGATAGGGTATTGACCTTAAGTTTATTAGATTGATTAGATTCATATTAAATACTTGTGGGAAATACATCATAGGAGATGTTGTAACATCAGTTTGTTCCACCATTAGCAAAGCGATGGTTGGCAAACCCAGCCAGACTTTTTCCTTTAGAGTTTTTGAATATATTTCTCCATTTTCTTTTTCTATCCTGTTGAGATACCTGAAGCTTTTCTAAGTCTTATCTTTTCTATATGGCTTGTTTTCTCCCTATTCTTCTGGCAATTTGTAGAATCTTTTTTTGTCTTCAGTGTTCTAAAATTTACTTTTCGTGTGCCTTTGTGTGGTCTGTTTCTCAGGCCTGGGTATTTGTTGGGCCCTTTCAGTATGACAACTCAAGTCCTTCAGTGTGGGAACTTTTCTTGAATTACAGCCTGGAGTTTGTCTAATCAGATTCCCTTGTTCATTCTTTCAGAAGCCCTTGTTGGATTTTTGGACTTTCTGAACTGGTCCTGAACTGGTAATTTTCTTTCTTTCTTTTTTTTTTTTTTCCTCCTACTGTCTTTTTTCTTTCTTTCTTTTTTTTTTTTTTGAGACGGAGTCTAGCTCTGTCCCCCAGGCTGGAGTGCAGTGGCACCATCTCGGCTCGCTGCAACCTCTGCTTCCCGGGTTCAAGCGATTCTCCTGTCTCATCTTCCTGAGTAGCTGGGATTACAGGTGCCCGCCACCATGCCTGGCTAATTTTTGTATTTTTAGTAGAGACGGGGTTTCACCATATTTGCCAGACTGGTCTCGAACTCCTGACCTTGTGATCTGCCTGCCTCGGCCACCCAAAGTGCTGGGATTACACACGTGAGCCACTGTGCCCAGCCTTTCTCTCCTACTTTCTATCTTTTTGCTCTACTTTCTTTTTTCTTTTTCCTTTTTTTTTCAGATGGAGCCTTGCTCTATCGCCAGGCTGGAGTGCAGTGGCACAATCTTGGCTCACTGCAACCTCTGCTTCCTGGGTTTAAGCAATTCTCCTGCCTCAGCCCCCCGAGTAGCTGGGACTACAGGCACGCGCCACCATCCCCAGCTAATTTTTGTATTTTTAGTAGAGCCGGGGTTTCACCGTGTTCGCCAGGATGGTCTTGATCTCTTGACCTCGTGATCCACCTGCCTCGGCCTCCCAAAGTGCTAGGATTACAGGCATGAGCCACCACGCCCGGCCTCTTTTTGCTCTACTTTCTAGAAGATTTTCTTTTAACAGTTCTGTCGTATGTATGTATTTATTTATTTATGTTTTGTGACAGGGTCTCACTCTATCACCCAGGCTGGAGTGCATGGCTCACTGCAGCCTCGACCTCCCCAGGCTCAGGTGATTCTCCCACCTCAGCCTTCTAAGTAGCTGGGACTGCAGGTGTGTGCCACCATACCTGGCTAATGTTATAATTTTTTTTGTAGAGACAGGGTTTTGCCATGTTGCTTAGGCTGGTCTTAAACTCTTGGGCTCAAGTGATCTGCTTGCCTTGGCCTCCCAAAGTGCTGGGATTACAGGCATGAGCCACTGCACCTGGCAGTTCTGTTGTTTTTAATCTTGGCTGTCCTGTTTTTAATTTCCAAAAGCTCTTGTTTTTTCTCTGAGTATCCCTTTTAAAAATGATTGTTTTATTAACGCAGTCTTTTTCTCTTATCTCTCTGAGGATATTACAGTGTTTTTAAAAAAGTTTTCTTCTTGTGCGTCATCTCTTTTTTCCTCCTGCTTCCTTTTGTTGTTGTTTTGTCCTGGTTGCTGTATTTCATGTTAGGGGCTGTTTTGTCTGTTTAATGTTACTGTAACACAATACCACAGACTGGGAAATTTATTAAAAAACTGAATTCATTTCTCACAGTTCTGGAGGCTGAGAAGTTCAATATTAAGGTGCTAGCATCTGGTGAGGGCCTTCTTGCTGTGTCATCCCATGGTGGAAGGCAGAAGGGAGAGAGTGAGAGAGGGGAAAGGGGCCTAACTCATCCTTTTATCAGGAGTCCACTCCTGCGATAACTAACCCAGTCCTGCAAGAACAGCATTAATCTATTCATGAGGGCAGAGCCCTCTTAAAGATTCCATCTTTCAACACTGTTGCATTGGGGATTAAGTTTCCAACATGTGAACTTTGGGGGACACATTCAAACCATAGCAGGGACTTTCCTCATATTTTTAGTAATCCTTGGCTCCCTGCTCATGGTTAATTCTGGGGAACCAAAAAGCTCATTGGAAGCTATCAGTGTGCAGTTGCACTTTTGATTTTGAACTTCACAACAGGGTGACCTAGGTTGCTCTTTTTTGGAGGAAGTTCCTGATGTCAGTGTATTTAGGTACTTCTTCTTGGTTAGATTACCAAGGGAATAGTCATCCAGTCTCCCACAGAGGACAAGGGGATGGCTGTTAGCATTTTGTGCACCATGTGGGGAAGGAGAACTGTGCTTTCAGCAGTCAGAGTGCACACAGTCACTTGGGTTCCCTGTTTGGTTGTTTTTGTCCCCATGCCCTTTACTATGCCAGATGGTCCCCAATGCAAATCCCTTCAGTTTTATCCTCTCCAGAGAATACATCTCCAGACAGTTTCCTTAGTGGGGAAGAGGGAGTTAGAACAGTGTGGAGTTGGGGAGAGGATCTGGGAATATGGCTTCCTCTCAAGTAGCTTTCACCCTGTAGTGTGTATTCCAGGCATCTCCCATTCCAGAGCTGCCATTTCCCGTTTTTTGTTTTTTTTTTTTTGTTTTTTTTTAGGGATTCTGTTATGTACATCAGGTTGATTCTCAGTTTCCCCCTTTGCTGTTCTGGCATTTGTCTTTCACTTAGGTCTAGTCATCTACCACTAGTCCATTTACTTTCTCCTTCCAAAATTCTGCTGTCATCTCCTCTTTCGTTTTACCTGACCACAGTCATTCACATCATCAAAACAATGTATTTATTATAGTTTTAGTAGAATTTTGGGAGGCTGCAAATTCTGCTAATCTGACAGGTTGAATATAGGGAATTGGGTACTCACAAAATGGTAGAAAGCGATGCCTATTACATCTGCCACATTGAAAAATAGATTGTTCATGTCAAGCTTCATGACAGCCAGGAAGCTGATTAGAGGATACTATCAGTTTGAAAACTCATGGTCTCCATGCCTGTGTTTACTAGCTGAAGGACAGAGCACTGTATAAGTCTAGGGTCTGCTTTCCAGATTTTGCTCGAGTCCCTCTGGTTGGCAGAACTGAAATTGCTTTTGGCAACTATAGCTGCAAGAGGTTTTGGGATTCCTTTTGCTTTGCAGGAAGGCATACCTGTTTGAGGGTGAAGTGGATGTTGACTGAGCCAATCCACAGCATCTTCCATCAATAATCCACAACATGATAAATAGGAAGACTTTGTCCTTATTTTCCAATAATGCATAGAAATTCATTTTTTTTTTTTTTTTGAGATGGAGTTTCATTCTTGTTGCCTAGGCTGGAGTGCAATGGTGTGATCTTGGCTCACTGCAACCTCCTCCTCCCAGGTTCAAGCGATTCTCCTGCCTCACCCTCCCAAGTAGCTGGGATTACAGGCATGTGCCACCACTCCCGGCTAATTTTGTATATTTAGTAGAGATGGGGTTTCGCCGTGTTGGCTAGGCTGGTCTCGAACTCCTGAGCTCAGGTGATCCACGTGCCTCGGCCTCCCAAAGTGCTGGGATTACAGGTGTGAGCCACCACACCCAACCTAAAAATTTCATTTTTGCACATGAATGCCAGACATAATTTTATTGTTTTGACTCCTCCTTTCAAAGTCTCTTGTCAGTATGTTTTAAATTTTTTAGTTTGTGAAATAGTTTAAATAGTTTTGATTTTTAAAATTATGAAATACCTAAAGTATTTAAACATACAGAAGTGTACAATGAACCTACACATAGTCATCACCCAGTTTTATTGAATCTTTATATTTTGCCATATTTGCTACAAATCCCCCACTCCCAGTAATAAAACATTAGGAATAGAGCTAAAATCTCTTTTCTTTCTCTCTCCCTAGACTAGATACTTATTTGAATTTGGTGTTAAATCCTTCCCATACATGTTTTCATGTTGTTATTATATACATATATAGACATTAACAGTATGTAGTACTGTTTTGCCTTTTTTAAAGGTTTATGTAAAGCTGTCATACAAAACATTCTGCAACTTGTATTTTGTTTAAAATGTTTTTGCCATCTATCTAGTTTGATACATGAATTCTAGTTCACTCATTTTAACTGCTATGTAATATTCCACTGTAATAGGTCAGAATGTGTTAATTTCTTCACCTGTTGATGGACATTTAAAGCATTAAATGTGCTTCAGGAACATGCTTATATTCTTGCCATTTTAATTAACCACTATTATTATTACACAGTAGTACAATGTTTCAGGTTAATGAACTTTTTGTTCTTTTGATTTAGCAAAAATGATGTACAACTTGTGCTGTAGAAGCATCTGGCCTGAAATGCAGGGAGATCTTAAAAGTGTGACCTGAATTTTGTTCAGAAGGCCTGAATGTTGTTGGGATAGTTTTGAGAAATAGATTCATCCTCTCTTAGCCATCCTCAGAAGGCAAGAAAGGCATTTCCTATGACGAGAGTTTCGTTAGGATGAACCTTTCTTTCTCTGACACGATACTTACTTTGTGTTCCTCTGTTTTCTTGCTGTTTCAGACAGAATGTTGCTGCGGGATGTAAAAGCTCTTACCCTCCACTATGACCGCTATACCACCTCCCGCAGGCTGGATCCCATCCCACAGTTGAAATGTGTTGGAGGCACAGCTGGTTGTGATTCTTATACCCCAAAAGTCATACAGTGTCAGAACAAAGGCTGGGATGGGTATGATGTACAGGTAATATCCACTACAGTAATGGCAGTCTAAATGGGGTTTTTATTCAGTAAATTGTTTATTGGGACATTATTCAGTCTTTTGAGGGTGCACCTACGGAAATCTCAGATCAGCCTAAAATATGTAAGTAAATCAATCACTCTTCCTGTGGAAGAAATGGCCTCCAAAAGAAATGAACTGATTTTAAAGCCTGAAAATACTCATTTTAGTTTTTGTATCGTGACCTCCTTCTAAGATATTTGTAAATTTTCACAACTTTTTATATACTTGAGGGTGAGGGATAGGGGATATCTTATGGTTGTCATTTTCCTGTCGTTCCTCAAAGAATACCAACCTACCCTTAAGACAAAGTTAAGATAATTAGGAATTATAGATCGTAAATAGTAGGGGTTCATATATCTCTATTGTGCTTCTAGCACTTGATTTTAAAATTGTCTTAGAACTGAGGGTGGTTACTTTTGAAAGGAAGCATTTCGGCAGGTTTCATTGATTGCCTTTGGGACGCTGGTGTTTTGTATACGAGCAGAGCATCTCCTTGAAGTTCCAAAACTGAATATGCTTTAGAGATAGATTTTATTAAATGAATTCAGTTTAAATCACTAGTTACATATTTCTACTTTGTATTCTGACTGCTTTCAAAATTGATTTAAGACGACTGGTCACAAGGCAAGAAACTTATGTTGACGATTTCCCCTCTCCATCAGAATGATATTCTTGTTTGATACAACCTTTATGCGTGGTCTTTGCAATTCAGAGAGGAAGTTGATGTGTACTGGGTGATACTTACTTCACAATATTTTCCCCCAGTACTGCTAAGTTGAATCATAGAATTCTCTGGGTTATAGCAGAAGTCTCACTCCACTTTACTTATGACTTTTAGAGTCTTGATGGGAAAAAAAGGCAGTAATGGTGATGTCATTCATTAAGCATGTATTAATTGCAATATACAAAAATGAATAAGGTAGAATGAAGAAACTGTCTTACTAGTAGAAGAGGTAAGACAGGCACTCAGATTACATGTAGGTCCCAACACAACATTATAAAGTCACGTCTGGTTGGAGCCATTGGGACTTAAAGGATGAGACATTTGTGCTGTGTTAGGAAGGAATGATAACATTTTTAGAGAGGAAAGGCTAGAGAAGGGAATAGCATGAGCAAAGGAGTGTTGAGCATATCATACATTGGCTTATGTTTAGTAGCAGGAGAGAGGCCATTTAGTAGCAGGACAGAAACTCCTTCTATTCCAAGAGTTGAAATTTAAATACAGTACTTAGAAGCTACTTGTAAGTACGCATGATTAAGGAAGTGGTAGTTAACATGAAATACCAATACAAGTTTAGCTTGTTTTATTTACCTAAGTCAACAAACCTATGAATCTTCCTCCAAATAAAATTATTTTAAAAACAGTGTAGTAACAGCAACAAAAGAAAAACTGCATCTTATCCAAATGAAAAACTTTTGACTATCAAAGGACATCATCAAGAAAGTGAAAAGACAACCTACAGAATGGGAGGAAGCTTAGCAAATCATAATTGGTGAGGGACTTGTATTTAGAATATAAAATAACTCTTACAACTCAGTAAGAAAACAACCAAGGTAAAAATGGCAGAGCATCTGAATAGACATTTCTACAAGGAAGATATATAAGTAATAAATAAGCACATGAAAAGTGTTCCTTATTATTAGCCATCAGAGAAATGCAAATCAAAGCCACAGTAAGATACCACTTCACACTCAGTAGGAAGGCTATAATAAAAAAGATAACAAGGCTGGTGAGGATGTCGAGAAATTGGAACCCTCATACACTGCTGTTGGGAATGTGAAATGGTCCAGCTGCTTTGGAAAATTGGCAGTTCCTCAAAAGTTTAAATGTAGAGTTACCATGTATGCCTCAGTCATTCCACTCCAAGGTATATACACCCAAGAGAATTGAAAACACATGTCCACACAAAAACTTGCATACAAATATACATAGCAGCATTATTCATAATAGCCAAAAAGTAGAAACAATTCAAATGTCCATTACTAATGAACGATAAATAAAAGTGGTATATCCATGCAAAGAAATATTATTTAGCCATAAAAAAGTGAAATAGTAATACATGCTACAACGTGGATGAATCTTGAAAATGTTATGCTAAGTGAAAGAAGCCAGTCACAAAAGACCACATATTGTATTATTACATTCCTGTGAACTGTCCATTTAGGGAAATCCATATAGACAGAAAGTTGGTTGGGAGGTGTGCGGCGGGAGAATGGAGAGTGACTGCTAATGGGCACAATATTTCTTTGGGGTGACGAAAATATTCTAAAATTGATTGTGGTGACAGTAGCACAACTGTGAATATACTAAAACCATTGAAATGGGTGAATTGTATGGTATGTGTGAATTATATTTCAATAAGGCTATTATAAATGAAGTAAAATAGTGTGAACTTTGAAAGAGGAAAATAATTTGTACAAAAATTTGCAGAAGGGCAACAGAACCAATTAAATCTACTTTAGCTTGTGTCTTTTTTCATTTTTTTTGAGACGGAGTCTCCCTCTGTCACCCAGTCTGGAGTACAGTGCAGTGACATGATCTTGGCTCACTGCAACCTCTGCCTCTGGGTTCAAGTCGTTCTCCTGCCTCAGCCTCTATTTTTGAAGTAGCTGGGATTACAGGCGCCTGCCACCATGCCCACCTCATTTTTGTATTTTTCGTAGAGATGGGGTTTTGCCATTTTGGCCAGGCTGTTCTTGAACTCCTGACCTCAGGTGATCCGCCCACCTTGGCCTCCCAAAGTGCTGGGATTACAAGCATGAACCACCGCGCCTGGCCTTTAGCTTGTATCTTAAGAGTTAAAGAAGCATATTGCTTTTTCCACCACAAAATATAGAATCTAGACCAAACTTGGGCATATATTTTTTTATAAGGTGGACATTTTTGGGGCTAGCCTGGGTTCTTTTTGCATTTTTCTAAATATCTTTAAAAAATACAAGAGAATTACATAGAATTGGACCTTGGAAAGTTAGTCCATGGTTTTATAAAATTTGTGTAGAAAAGTTTTTTTCTCTGAAGGTTATGTAATATCTCTGTTGCTTTGTGTAGCTACCAGACATTCATATATGATGCTGTTTTGAGCCTTAACATCTTTTAAGAAATCTGGATTTTTAAAGAAAGCATCTTGAACAACAGTGGCAAAAAGTTGACATTTTGGCAGTTTGCTTAAATTTTATAAATTGTAGAATACTTAATATGTTCAGATGGATATATAACATGTATATGTAAAGAATAGTAATAAAACGAATACTCATATACGCAATATCCAGCATAAGAAGTAGAACACAGATACCACCATTATCTTTGAAGCCCCTCATTTTCCTTCCCTTAGACATGAATACTTACCATTGTGAATTTTGCGGATCATTCCCTTGCTTCATTTTGCAATTTTATGACGGATATATAGCCCAAGTAACATTTTTTTTTTTCTTGAGACGGAGTCTTGCTCTGTTGCTCAGGCTAGAGTGCAATCACGATCTCAGCTCACTGCAACCTCCACCTCCCAGGTTCAAGTGATTCTCCTGCCTCAGCCTCCTTAGTAGCTGGGATTATAGGCGCCTGCCACTGCGCCTGGCTAATTTTTGTATTTTTAATAAAGATGGGGTTTCACCATCTTGGCCAGGCGGGTCTTGAACTCCTGACCGCGTGATCCACCCGCCTTGGCCTCCGAAAGTGCTGAGATTACAGGTGTGAGCCACTGCGCCCGGCCCCCAAGTAACATATATTAAATGAAAAAAATGTTTGTTTCTAATAGTCTGTTTCTATTTTTCTTCACAGTGGGAATGTAAGACGGACTTAGATATTGCATACAAATTTGGAAAAACTGTGGTGAGCTGTGAAGGCTATGAGTCCTCTGAAGACCAGTATGTACTAAGAGGTTCTTGTGGCTTGGAGTATAATTTAGATTATACAGAACTTGGCCTGCAGAAACTGAAGGAGTCTGGAAAGCAGCACGGCTTTGCCTCTTTCTCTGATTATTATTATAAGTGGTCCTCGGCGGATTCCTGTAACATGAGTGGATTGATTACCATTGTGGTACTCCTTGGGATCGCGTTTGTAGTCTATAAGCTGTTCCTGAGTGACGGGCAGTATTCTCCTCCACCGTACTCTGAGTATCCTCCATTTTCCCACCGTTACCAGAGATTCACCAACTCAGCAGGACCTCCTCCCCCAGGCTTTAAGTCTGAGTTCACAGGTATGTTTCCCTCGCAGTGGCCATAAATAGAGCGGGTGTGAGGTTAGTGCATCCTGTGCTTGGTTCTGAAATAGAAAATCGTTGCATTGGGAAACCAAAGGAGGTTTGTCTTCTCATTTTGTTTTTTACTTTCAACTTCTTTTACCTCTTCTGTTTGGCTCTCTCCCAAGGTATATTGTGGTTGCTATGTTAATGCCTGATTGGCCGGGCGCGGTGGCTCACGCCTGTAATCCCAGCACTTTGGGAGGCCGGGGTGGGCAGATCACTTGAGGTTGGGAGTTTGAGACCAGCCTGGCCAAGATGGTAAAACGCCGTTCTTACTAAAAATACAAAAATTAGCCGGGTGTTGTGGCGGGCACCTGTGATTCCAGCTGCTTGGGAGACTGAGGCATGAGAATCACTTGAACCCGGGAGGTGGAGGTTGCGGTGAGCCGAGATTGCGCCACTGCACTCCAGCCTGAGTGACAGAGCGAGACCCTGTCTCCAAAAAAAAAAAAAAAAAAAAAATGCCTGATTAAATTATAAATACTCTTAATCAGAGAAACTTGATCAACTTTGCTAATAATCATTTGCCCTGACTCCTGTCTCACACTATACATAAAAATTAATTCTTTAAGTATTATAAATCTCAACGTAAAAGGTAAAACAATTAAGTTTCCAGAATAAAACATAGGAGAATATTTGTTATGACCTTAGGATAGGGAAAGATTTCTTAAACAGAACATAAAAAGTACTAGCCATAAAAGAAAACATGGGTAAATTAGACTTTATTTAAATTAAGAACATCTAATCATCAAAAGGCACTATTAGGAGAGTGAAAAGGCAAGCTACAGACTGGGAAAAATTTACGAAACGTATTTCCGGCATATATATATATAAAATGTATTTCCGGTAGAACATAAAATGAACTCCTGTAAATCTGAGCAACAGGCAGACAGGCCCTCCAAAGAGGACTTGAATGCCCATTTTATAATAAGAGAAGACATCTACTTCACCAGTCCCCAGCCTTTTTGGCACCAGGGACCAGCTTTGTGGAAGACAATTTTTCCACGGACTAGGGGGGTTGGGGTGGGGTGGGGTGGGGAGAGAAGGTTTTGGGATGATTAAAGCATATTACATTTATTGTGTACTTTATTTATGTTGTTATTACATTGTAATATATAATGAAATAATTAACAACTCATGTAATGTAGAATCAGTGGGAGCCCTGAGCTTGTTTTCCTGCAACTGGATGGTCCCATCTGGGGGTGATGGGACACAGTGACAGATCATCAGGCATTAGATTCTCATAAGGAGCATGCAACCTAGATCCCTCGCATGTGCAGTTCACAGTAGGGTTTGTGCTCCTATGAGAATCTAATGCTGCTGCTGATCTGACAGGAGGCTGAGCTCAGGTAGTAATGCAAGTGATGGGGGAGTGGCTTTAAATAGAGATGAAGCTTCAGTCGCTTGCTTGCTGTTCACCTCCTGCTGTGTGGCTCAGTTCCTAACAGGCCGTGGAGCAGTACTGGGGTCCCAACCCATGATTTACATGTTCAACAGAAATAAGAAAAGGTGCTTAGCATCATTAGTCTCCTGAGAAATGCAGATGAAAACCACAGGGAGATTATTTTTAGCCACCAGATAACCACCATAATGGCTAACATTAAAAAGACAGAGTACCAAGTATGGGCAAGAATGTAGAGTGACTGGAACTTTCATACTTTGCCGGTAGGAGTTTAAATGGTAAAACAACCCAAACATGCATACCCAATTCTATTCCTATGTACATACCTGGGAGAAGTGAATGCATGGTGCACCAAGAAAGATGCACAGGAATGTTCATAGCAGTTTTATTTATAACTGCCAAAAAATGGAGGTGGAATATCCATAAACATTAGAATGGGACTGTGTAAATTTTTCACACGGTGGAAGACACATGAGTTAAGAAAAAAACTGATAATGCAATGGTAGGATTGACTCCCATAGACATAATGATGTGCCGGACACAGAATACATACTTTGTGATCCTGTTTAGAAAAAGTTCATGAATGGACAGAATTAAAATATGGTAAGAGAAGTTAAAGTAGTGCTGATCTCTGACATAGATGGGAATCTATTAGGAGTTGTCATGAGGGAGCCTTCTGGGGTGCCAGAAATGGTTTATTGGTGTGGGTGGTGGTTACATGGATAGGTACATATGTACAAATTTGTTGTGCCACACGTGTAAGATTAGCACACTTTCTTATATATATGTATACATCAGTTAAAACTTCCTCTGAGCAGAAGATACTTTTTAGGTCCCTTTGAGATCTGACTTCCCAACTGACACAAATAAATATCTGGCTGCCTCCCCTTGGATTCCTCGGTTAGAGACTGAGGCACAGCTCTCATCTGGAGCTCTTAGAGACTCCACTTAGAGTTTGTACTGCAGAGAGAAAGTAACCCTGAAAAGTGGGGTGATTTTCTAGTAGCTGATTGAGCAGGGCAGATGTCATTTTATAGCAAGACCCTCCCCAGTCCCAAAATCTATCCCTCTCCTCCCATATCTATGGGAAATGCTCTCCCTCATTATAAACCAGTATTTTACAAATACCTTTTTGAATACAACTTGTTAATAACTTGATGCCTGAGTATTATTAATAATTCAGTACAGATGAAATAATTGAAATGTTACATTATCTTTGCTTTTGTAGACTGTCATGTTTAAGTGAGGATACATAATAAATCATTTTTATTTTAAGGACCACAGAATACTGGCCATGGTGCAACTTCTGGTTTTGGCAGTGCTTTTACAGGACAACAAGGATATGAAAATTCAGGACCAGGGTTCTGGACAGGCTTGGGAACTGGTGGAATACTAGGATATTTGTTTGGCAGCAATAGGTAAGCTTTTTGCATTGATCTCACTTGCTCTTTAATTCAAGAGGCTTGTTTTGCTTACAATTTAACTGCATTTAGTTTTGCTAAGGAAAATAAATTGTGGTGACGTTAGCCTATTAAATAAGATTCTCTGGGAAGGGGGAAGGTACACTATATTTGTTTTGATCAGTATTGTGTATGTTATTTTCTTTCACTGTGTTTCTTCCTGTGTCACCTTCATATATATTATGAGATAAGAAAAAGACTGTTTAGTTGACATCTGAGAAAATAAGAAGGCAGGAAAGAAGACAGCATTTGGGGAACAGTCTGGTTTGGTAGGAGAATGATAAAAATAAGGCTGGAAAGAGCTTGGGGCCAGATTTTGGAATATGAAGTATTAATGGTAGTTTAAGTTTAGATTTTATTCGAGTGCAAATTCAGAAAGAGCATTGACTCCCTGTCACTTTTCCCCCATAGCAGTGACCATAATAATGGCAGAAATATGAAACGGTTTTTATTTCATGTTAACTCTGATATACCAGAACATTCAGGAAAAAATACTTGATAAAGATATTTTTTTCTGACAGTTTAGGAACAGGAAGGTATTTAAAAATTATAGCCACAAGAAAAAAATGCCTAACCTACTTTTATCCCTTTAAAGAGCGGCAACACCCTTCTCAGACTCGTGGTACTACCCGTCCTATCCTCCCTCCTACCCTGGCACGTGGAATAGGGCTTACTCACCCCTTCATGGAGGCTCGGGCAGCTATTCGGTATGTTCAAACTCAGACACGAAAACCAGAACTGCATCAGGTAAGAGCAAAAAATACAAGTTCCTTTTACCTAGGAGTAAAGTACAGAAATAGTTTGGGAACTTTAGAAGATGATTATCTGTTTAGCAACCATGGTTTTATTTGGTGTACCTACCAAAAATATTAATAGCACAGTTAACTGAGATCCCACTTTTAAACATTCTTTAAAAATCAAACAGGGATTTGATTTAGGCTTAGCTCTACCATAGACCAAGGTTTTAACTTGAACCTTACTGGGTGCTAGCTTCCCCATATATTTAATTCTGTGATCTCTAGAGATCCTTTAAGTTCTAAACTAGACTTTTCTAAGTAGAAGCTTAAACTTAAAATTCAATAACATTCAAAAAAGATATTGAGGTATACTTTAATTTTCAAAAATATGATTGTAATGTTTATTGGAATGCTCAGAGGATATTTTGTAAAAAGCAAAGATACAAAAAAAACAAAGGAATAACTGGATTAAGCATCAAGCCTAATTGGGAGCTGCTGGGTAAGGAGGCCATGAGAGATTGCTCTGGAGTAGCTTTGTCTTTCAGGAAAAGGAAGTTATAGAACAATGATTAATTCTTGAAATTGATAGAAAAATATATTTAAATATGTTTTAAAATGTGAGTAGAATTCTCATAATGCTGGTTTGGATATATATTGATACATTCAATTAAAAAAACTGGTACTACCTCCTAAAATTGAACCTATGCATACTTCCAAAGGACAGAGCAGTTTTGCTCTCAGATATATCGCCACAGAAATGCATACACTTGTGTGCTGGCAGATAAGCACAAGACTGTTCATAGCATCCCTATTCATAATTGCCCAAAACTGGAAACAGCCCACGTATCCATCAGCAGTAAAATGGATGAATAAATTGAGTTATGTTTGCTGTATTGCAGTGGGTTACTGTGCAACTAAGAATAAGTAGTTGTGTGCAATAACATGGATAGATCTACCAAATATAAAGAAGCCAGACACAAAATAATATATACACTATGATGATAGCAGTTACATTTTATAAAATACACATGCAAAAACAGGCAAAACTAATTTATGGTGTTAGAGTATGAGATAGTAGGTACTTCTGGGAAGAAAAAAAGGAGTTGGGAGAATATATAAAAATATGACTAGGTAAGGCCAGGCACGGTGGCTCACACCTGTAATACCAGCACTTTGGGAAGCTGAGATGGGTGGATCACCTGAGGTCAGGAGTTCGAGACTAGCCTGCCCAACATGGTGAAACCCCATGTCTGCTAAAAATACAAAAATTAGCTGGGTGTAGTGGCACATGCCTGTAATCCCAGCTATTTGGGAGGGTGAGGCAGGAGAATCGCTTGAACGCGGGAGGCAGAAGTTGCAGTGAGCCGAGATTGCACCATTGCACTCCAGCCTGGGCAACAAGAGCAAAACTCTGTCTCAAAAAAAAAAAAAAAAAATATATATATATATATATATATATATATGGCTAGGTAAGACATCATGACAGAAAAATATTCATTCTCAGTGGAAAGAAGACTTGCATAAAATCATGACTATGAACTAGAAATGTATGGGAATTATATGAAAGAAAATCATAAAAACCAAATAATGTAAACCTGAAAATAATTGAGAGACTTTCTAGATAGGAAGATTTGTCATCCTGTAGCCTGTGTGTGTGCGCACAGTGTCTTAAGTAACGTTTAAGCATCTAAAGTCCGTAACCCTCCCCACATTACGTCTCTTACCACTGGAGTTGTGAGAGGTAGCAGGGCATGGCTTATGCGCCACTGGCCTCTGTCTTTTTGGCTTAGACTTTGAGTATTGCCTGTACCATGGTGGCCCCACTATAGAATGCATTCTCTTTTTTGGGGTCCTAACTGTCATTCCCAGCAACCATGTGTGAGTGTAGTAGGCTTGATGATTGGGAAGGTTGCTGTGGGAGGCGATGCACTGTCCTGCTTAGCCCAGTTCCACCTAGTGGCACACTCTTTCCTTTCCTCCTATCTCATTCATTTGCTGACAATAAACATGTATGACTTGTAATTTTATAAGCAATTCTAATGCATTTTTAAAAACTAATGTAAATTTTACCCCTCTCATTCTAGGATATGGTGGTACCAGGAGACGATAAAGTAGAAAGTTGGAGTCAAACACTGGATGCAGAAATTTTGGATTTTTCATCACTTTCTCTTTAGAAAAAAAGTACTACCTGTTAACAATTGGGAAAAGGGGATATTCAAAAGTTCTGTGGTGTTATGTCCAGTGTAGCTTTTTGTATTCTATTATTTGAGGCTAAAAGTTGATGTGTGACAAAATACTTATGTGTTGTATGTCAGTGTAACATGCAGATGTATATTGCAGTTTTTGAAAGTGATCATTACTGTGGAATGCTAAAAATACATTAATTTCTAAAACCTGTGATGCCCTAAGAAGCATTAAGAATGAAGGTGTTGTACTAATAGAAACTAAGTACAGAAAATTTCAGTTTTAGGTGGTTGTAGCTGATGAGTTATTACCTCATAGAGACTATAATATTCTATTTGGTATTATATTATTTGATGTTTGCTGTTCTTCAAACATTTAAATCAAGCTTTGGACTAATTATGCTAATTTGTGAGTTCTGATCACTTTTGAGCTCTGAAGCTTTGAATCATTCAGTGGTGGAGATGGCCTTCTGGTAACTGAATATTACCTTCTGTAGGAAAAGGTAGAAAATAAGCATCTAGAAGGTTGTTGTGAATGACTCTGTGCTGGCAAAAATGCTTGAAACCTCTATATTTCTTTCGTTCATAAGAGGTAAAGGTCAAATTTTTCAACAAAAGTCTTTTAATAACAAAAGCATGCAGTTCTCTGTGAAATCTCAAATATTGTTGTAATAGTCTGTTTCAATCTTAAAAAGAATCAATAAAAACAAACAAGGGGTTTAGTCTCATTCTTTCTATTAGCCTAGGCGCAAATAAATGTTACTTTTTGTTTTTTTAAACCCTTTTTCCCAAAGGGGAAAGTTCATGCAGAAGTTCTGTCTCCCTAAACAGTAATTTTATGTGGTAGTCGTACCTTAGTCTTTTGGTAAATGTTTTCAAAAAGTAATTTACAAATGGTGTGGAAGCCTCTGCCAAAAAATAGCGTTTGAAAAAAATAATTAAATCTCCAAGCCTCCCAACCCATCAGAGATTGCATGGTTACACTTAGTTAAGCTTCATAACCTCAAAGCCCCAGTTTTATATCTTATGTGTTTAATGATTTTTGCCATTTAAAACTGCAGTTACTTTTCACCAACCAATAAGAACCAATTTAAAACAAACCCTTATTAAGACTATTGCATAATAAAACTATCCTCTTTTCATCAGTAAAACAGTAGAAATTTTAACTGATAGAAGAAACACAGCTTTACTTTATGTATATCCCACTAAATCCTTACCCCATTTCTCCTTAGTAGAAGGATATGGAATAAAAGAGAATGTAGTTTGTTGCTTTTTTTTTTTTTTTGAGACAGAGTCTCTCGTTCTGTCACCAGGCTGGAGTGCAGTGGCATGATCTCGGCTCACTGCAACCTCCTCCTCCTGGGTTCAAGCAATTCTCCTGCCTCAGCCTCCTGAGTAGTTGGGATTACAGGCTCCTGTCACCAAGCCCAGCTAAGTTTTTGTATTTTTAGTAGAGATGGGGTTTCACTGTGTTGGCCAGGCTGGTCTCGAACTCCTGACCTCAGGTGTTCCACCTGCCTCAGCCTCCCAAAGTGCTGGGATTACACACGTGAGCCACCGCGCCCGGCTTACTCAGATTGTTTTTGAACATAGTACTGCAGATCATTGGGATTGTAAGAAAATAATGAGTTAATGTAAAGAGAGTTGACTGTTCTTCCTGTAGGCGATAGCTTTAAAAAAAAAGAGTTGACTTGGTGGCTTTTAGATTACTCTGGGGAGCCCTAGTGGTGTTCTTATGAGGTTCTTTAGAGGGTCCCTGGAGGGAAGGGAGGAAAAGAGGCAGAGTATAGGTTTCAAGCCCCACCTGAGTGTTCCTCTTTTATCTGTTGTGTATTTGTACTTCCTTGTCATTTAAGAACTTTTTTTTTTTTTTTTTTTTTTTGGTAGAGATGGTGTTTCACTATGTTGCTCAGGCTAGTTTCGAACTCCTGGCCTCAAACAGTCCTCCCACCATGGCCTCCCCAAGTGCTGGGATTACAGGCATGAACCACTACTCCCGGCCCTTTGTTGTCTATGGAAAAGGTTCACATGTATCACTTCCCCAAATGTAAAACTTAGAATAATAAGATAGTACAGTCTAAGGCAGGAGGATTGCTTAAGTCCAGGAGTTCGAGACAAGCCTGGGCAACATAGCAAGATTTCATCTCTACAGATTATTATTTTAATTAGCTGGGCATGGTGGTATGCACCTGTAGTCCTGGCTACTCCAGAGGCTAAGGTGGGAGGATCACTTGAGCTCGGGAGATTAAGGCTGCAGTGAGCTGTGATTTTGCCATTGCATTCCAGCCTGGGCAACAGGGTGAGACCTTGTCTCTTAAAAAAATAAGGTGAGAGCATTGATTGAGAAGCAGTGGGATCCTGAAAAGTGGAATGGGGACATAAGAAAGGATCCTGATGAAGCCAGTGAAATGGAACCCCTAAATTCTGCGTAGTATTTCTTGCCGGTAGAAGCAGCCCTTCTACTTCTGTCTGAGAAGGTTAATCCTACTTTGCCTGAAGGATCTGTAATGGTCTCTTCAGAGGTGTTCGTTACCAGGCATCACTCATCTGCCTCAGGGTCTGCCCTTGCTACCTGCTTTGCTCCTAGATGTACAGCTAGACTCACGTTCCAGTAGGCACCAAAGAGTGAGGTACAAATTATGATCCATGAGGAGGTACCCTGCACACCAAAAGGACTCCATGATTTTCCCAGTCTATACAGATAGAAATCTGGGGAATATGTGTGGGAATGGATCTTAGAGTGTAGGATATGGTGGTAGGACTGTAAAGTTCAGTCAGGACAACTTTATTGATATTGGCCCACTCAGCAGAGATTCTGGATTCAATATTTGAGAGGTTAGAAAGGACTCTTAACAGTTTAGTTGGTTTGCTGAACATGGACTCGAAGATGGCCTACACTAAAGTCAAAATGCCAGAACTGCCTCAGTGTACTGTGGAGGAAGGGATTCAAAGGCTCAGGGAGATTGGAATGTTAGGGTGGATTTATCATATAAGCCCCACCCACCCACCCTGGAGGAGTCAAGAGAATACACTTTTCACCATGATGGTGAGAAATAGATTTTTGAGAAGGAGGCCCACAAATTTGGTTTCTCTTCTTTGTAGGTCAGAATGTACAGTGGGAACTGCTACCATCAAACTGGGACCCCTAGAGGCAGTGGGGTTAATTTGATCCCAGGGTAGCAGGGGCCAAATGGTGACAATCAGCAAAGATAGCGTGGCATGGTTATGCTGTAATGGGCAGCAGAGTCAAAGCAGCCATCAGAATTGTTGGACTCAGGCCAGGAACACTGGCACATGACTGTAATCCCAGAACTTTGGGAGGCAGAGGCAGGAGGATTGCTTGAGGCCAGGAGTTTGAGACCAGCCTGGGCAATATAGTGAGACTCTATCTCTACAAAAAATTTTATGAAACAAAAATTAACAAGAATTGTCTGACTCAGAGACCTATGGCATTGGCTGGTTGATCATTGTGTACCTATGGAAGAAATAGATGGCAGTCTACTAAATTCTTATTTGATTTATGTATGTGGAAGAGTTCTAGGCTGAGTAAACGGAAGTCTTTTTTTTTTTTTTTTTTTTTTTTTTGAGACCAAGTCTCACTCTGTCACCCAGGCTGGAGAGAGCAGGGGCATGATCTCGGCTCACTGCAACCTCTGCCTCCCAGGTTCAAGCAATTCTCCTGCCTCACCCTCCCGAGTAGCTGGGATTACAGGCGCCTGCCACCATGCCTGGCTAATTTTTGTATTTTTAGTAGAGACAGGGTTTCACCAAGTTGGCCAGGCTGGTCTCAAACTCCTGACCTCAGGTGATCCGCCCGCCTCGGCCTCCCAAAGTGCTGGGATTATAGGTGTGAGCCACTGTGCCCAGCCAACAGAAGTCTATCTTAAGTCACCACAAGTGAGTCATAGCCTCTGAATCATTTCCTAGACTTGAGCTGGTTTATAGCTCCAGAATCCCTTCAATGAAGGAGAGGCTGGGTTCCCCTTGAGGAAGAACCCTACCACATTGCCAGGTTTATATTGTTTATCTTTCCCCCAGTCTTCCCTCAATGGACCCGTGGCTATTTACTGGGGTAACTATGCCCTGGGGAAAGGGAAAATAATCAGATAGTTTAGGGATTACTGGACACTGAATTGATGCTAATTCCAGGAGGCTCAAAACATTACTGTGGTCCACCAGTCAGAGTAAGAGCTTATAGAGTTTTAGCTCAGATCAATTTCACAGTGAGTCCCATGGGTCCCTCGAATGATCCTGTGATTATTACACAGGAATGGAACCTGCGTTCTAGAATGCAGGATTAGAATAGACATACTCAGCAACTAGCAGAATCTCTACGTTGGGTCCCTGACCTGTGGAATGAAGGCTGTTATGGTGGCATAGGCCAAGTGAAAGTCACTAGAACTACCTCTATCTACAAAAATGATAAACCAATAGTGGCTGTGATATGGACACTTGATTAAAGGGGCTGAGAGGACTTGTGGGGAATCCCAATTGGAAGAACATCCAAGTTAGAGATGAAGGCGACTAGGGAGAGTTGGAGTGAGGAAATGGGGTGAAATGGAGGGACACAGAAAGTGCCTGAGCTCTGTGCCTCAGAATGTGATCTTATTTGGAAATAGAGTCTATGTTAGTCCATTTGTGTTGCTATAAAGGAATACCGGAGACCAAGTAATTTATAAAGAGGTTTAATTGGCTCACAGTTGTGCAGGCTGTACAGGAAGCATGGTGCCGGCATCTGCTCCTGGTGATGCCTTGGGAAGCTTCCCATCATGGTGGAAGGTGCAGGGAACAGGTGCGTCACATGGTGAGAGTGGGAGCAAGAGAGAGCGAGGGAGGGAGGTCCCAGATTGATTGACTGATTTTTTTTGAGACAGAGTCTTGCTCTGTCACCCAGGCTGGACTGCAGTGGTGTGATCTTGGCTCACTGCCTCACCTCACCTCTGCATCGTGGGTTCAAGTGATTCTCCTGCATCAGCCTCCTGAGTACCTGGGATTACAGGTGTGTGCCACCACACGTGGCTAATTTTTGTATTTTTTTTTAATAGAGGCAGGGTTTTACCATGTTGGCTGAACTCCTGGCCTCAAGTGACCCTCCTGCCTTGGCCTCCCAAAGTGCTGGGATTACAGGTGTGAGCTACCGCACCTGGCCAGGTCCCAGACTTTTAAACAACCAGATATTGTGTGAACTAACTGAGCAAGAACTCATTCATCACGAGGGGGATGGTGCTAAACCATTCATGAGGGAATCCTCCTGTATGCTCCCAACACCTCCCACCAGGCCCCACCTGCAACATTGGGAATCACATTCAATGTGGGATTTGGAGGGGACAAACATCCAAACCATAACAGGGTTACTGCAGATGAAATTACGATGAGGTTATACTGGAGTAGAGTGAACACCAATGATTCATGTCATTATAAAATGAGGAAATTTGGACACAGACACACAAACAGAAATAATCATGTAATGTCTGGAGTTCTGCCAAAAGCCAATATATGCCAAAGATTACCAGCAAACCACCAGAAGCTGAGAGTCAGGCCTGGAACAGATCCTTCCTCAGCACATACAGAGGGAGCATGGCCCTGCTACCACCTGGATATCAGACTCACAGCCTCTAGAACCGTGAGATAGTAAGTTCTGCCTTTCTGGAGGGATTACAGAGATTAATGCCACCATCAAGGACTTGAAGGATATAGGGCTGGTGCTTCCTACCACATCCCCATTCAACTCGCCTATTTGGCCTGTGCCGAAAACGGATAGAGAGTAATAATAGGTTGTCATAAACTTACCCAGATGGTGACTTCAATTGCAACTGCTGTTCCAGATGTAGTTTCATCACTTGGGTACATGAACATATCTGGTAGTTGAAACACAAGTGCTCTGGCAAATGCTTTTCCTCCATACCTGTTAGTACACACCATCAGAAGCAGCTTGCTTTCAGCTGGCAGGGCCAGCAATACACCTTCACTTTTCAGTCCTATGTCATAATTTAGTCTGCAAGGACCTTGGTTACCTTTCCCTTCCACAAGACTTCACACTGGTCCATGACATTTATTATATTAAGCTGATTGGATCTGATGAGCAAGAAGAGCAACTACCAAGAAGTAGCAACTACTGTAGATGTATTGGTAAGGCATTTGTATGTTAGAGGGTGGGAAACAAATCTGACAAAGATTCAGGGGCTTTCTACCTCAGGGAAATTTCTAGGAGTCCAGTAGTATGGGACATGTTGAAATATCTTTCTAAGGCCAAGGATAAATCGTTACATCTGGCTCCAGATGAAAAAAATGATGCAATACCTAGTGGATCTTGCGGGCAACATATTCCTTATGTGGTATGCAACTCTAGTCCATTTACTGACTGATCGCAAAGCTGCTAGTTTTAACAGGAGCCTAGAACAAAAGAAGGCTCTGTGATAGGTCCAGGTTATTGGGCAAGCTCAAGAGTCATTTTAATATTCATTTTTTTTTCTTTTTTCAGAATAGTCTTGCTCTGTTGCCCAGGCTTTAGTGCAGTGGTGTGATCTTGGCTCACTGCAAACTCTGCCTCCTGGGTTCAAGTGATTCACCTGCCTCAGTCTCCAGGGTAGCTAGGATTACAGGTGCCCATCACCATGCCTGGCTAATTTTTGTATTTTTAGTAGAGACGGGGTTTCACCATGTTGGCCAGGCTGGTCATGAACGCCTGAATTCAAGTGATCCGCCCGTCTTGGCCTCCCAAAGTGCTGGGATTACAGGCATGAGCCACCGCGCCTGGCCAGCAACCTAATTTTCCCTTGATAATTAGGATGAATTACCTGTTAGAGTGGCCCCTTACTTTGTCCATTTGTTCAGTAGCATGAGGAGCCCAAACTGTCCAAGGACAGTCTCAGGTTTCCAATTCATCGTGACAGTGTTTCCTGGTGGAAGCATTCCTTCCTTGTGCACTGGAACTTCCAAATCCACTATATCAGCACCACTTGTACACCTTCTCAGAGGCTCTTAACTGCCTTCTCCTTTCACGTGGTTGGTGTCACACCCACACCAGGTCACCCCTCCACTTTGAGATTTGAATAAGACGACACATTGCAAGGTGTGGAATATGGTTTCCTGTGTGGCTGCCGGGAGCCCAGATGGTGCAACTCAGTTGTTTAGGGAATTAGCTCAATGGAATGAGCAATGACCAATGGGAAATAAATTCCTATCTTTTCAGGGATTACTGCAAGATGTGTTTTCTTTTTGCAACTCTTCTGGAGAAGTCCTTTGTGCAGAGTGAACCTGCCTGCAAAGCGACCTACTGTGTGTCTGTAGCTCATTGTGAAGCAGTGCCGCAATCCATTGCATGCCATTGCATCACATCTTTATTTGTCTCACTTTTTTCCCTCACCCTGTGTCTTTGGACATGCTTCTGTCCAAGTGCCAGAAATGTTTTTCTTTTTTTTTGCTTGAGTTCTGCTTTCTAGAGGACTTGTGTTAAGACAATTGGTGTGAAAGTTGTACAGGATGGAATTTTGGAATTGGACTGTTCAAGGAATCAGAAGAACTTGAACATCGACATCTTCCTAAGTCTTTCTTTCTGGCATAGCAGCCCCTTCCTTCTTGCTGAAGGGGATTAGCCTTCCTTGTCTAGAGACCATGTAACGGCCTCACCTGAAGCAGATGCCTTGTAAGATAGCATTTTTTCTTAAAACTGAGTCCTGCCACATCTCTGCCTCCAGGCCAATAACTAGAGTCAGATCTCAACCTTAACAGGGAAAGACAGTCCCTGCTTTGGGAGGAAATAAGCCACACAGCAAAAGAATGATAACCTCTTGGAATTATAGCACTTGCCTTGGGAGGAAATAGGTCACATACTAAAAAAATCATGGTACCATACAGCTAATATGTACCAGCGAGAGTAGGGATAAACCATGTGGAAATTCATCTGGAAGTTGGGCTGTGGGAGGGGTGAAATATGGTGGAAAGAGAAGTCCTTTATGTTCACCTGTGAATTGGGATTCAATGTTCTGTCAAAGACATGAGCTACTGGTTCTAATAATTTTCTGGGATGGTTTCTTGATGGATGATGATGGTTTCCTGATTGGATGTGATGATGCCTACCGTAAGTGAGGTAGAGATGCCAGACTTTCTATGGTATAGTATTGAGCACAGTATCTGAAGACTCAAGGAAGTGGGATGTTAGAATTTACTTATGAGACTGAATAATCCAACATTTGACTCTACTCTGAGGGTTCAGAGCATCTCCCTTTACCAAGGTAGTAAGGAAGGTACTGGTGAGAGAGTTATTAGCATTTTTAAGGGCTCAATGATAGTTGTCCTCTGTAGGCAAAGGTTAATAGTGGGAAATGCTGTCATGAAAATGGACTTCCCAAGATTAACAGAGATAGTGGGTTTCCGAAGTGGCAAATTGCATCTCTTCATTGTCAGAGCCAACCAAGGTGGATGGAATTCCATACAGGACAGCAAGTCAAGAGTAGCCTGATTTACAAATGGATCTGCATGATATGCTGATACCACCTGGAAGGACAGTGAAGGGAAGTGCCCTGAGGGGGTGGAATTTTGAGCTATGCATCTGAAATAAGAGATGGCAAGACATATGTATCTACACTTTTCAAAATAGACAGTGGTTTCTGGTTTGAATGGGTGACCAGGGGCTTGGAAAAATGAGACTGAAAAATTGACGATAAAGCTGGGCAAGCTGGCTCATGCCTGTAATCCCAGCACTTTGGGAGGCCGAGGTGGGCGAATCATCTGAGGTCAGGCATTAGAGACTAGCCTGGCCAACATGGTAAAACCCCATCTCTACTAAAAATACAAAAATTAGGCTGGGCGCAGTGGCTCACGCCTGTAATCCCAGCACTTTGGGAGGCTGAGGCAGGCAAATCACAAAGTCAGGAGATCGAGACCGTCCTGGCTAACACAGTGAAACCCTGTCTCTATTAAAAATACAAAAAATTAGCCAGGCGTGGTGGCACACACCTGTAGTCCCAGCTACTCGAGAGGCTGAGGCAGAAGAATCACTTGAACCCAGGAGGCAGAGGTTGCAGTGAGATGAGATCGTGCCACTGCACTCCAGCCTGGGTGACAGAACGAGACTCTGTCTCCAAAAAAAAAAAAAAAAAGAAAGAAAAATTGATAAGGATATCTGGGGGAAATGTAGATGTATGGTCCTCTCTTAACAAAGATGAGATTTTTTTTTTTTGTCCAATATACATGCTTACAACTACCTGAGTAGTAGAATATCACAGAAATTCTGGCATCTCCACCTTGCTTACTATAGGCATCATCACATCCAAGCAGGAAGCCATCATCCCTCAGGAAACCATCCACTCAGAGTATTAGGATCAGTAAGTAGTTCATGTCCCCGACAGAACGTTGCATCTTAAGTCACTTCATAAGATGACATTTTCTGTGGCTATTATTCAGCCTCTTTTTTTCAGCAAGCCCTACTCCTGTTTCATTGGCTCATAAACAAAGTGGCTAAGGTGGTAGGGATGAAAGTTATCCATCGATTCAGCAAAAGGGTCTTCCATTCACCAAAACCGATCAGGTTACAACCGCTGCTGAGTGCCCTATCTCCCAACGGCAGAGGCCAACACTGAACCCTGAATACGGTTCAATTCCCTGGGGAAATCAGCCCACCATCTGGTGGCATGTTGATTACATGAGACCACTTCTATCATGAAAGGGGCAATGATTTGTTGTCACTGAAGTAGACATTTACTCTGGGTTTGGATTGGCCCTTCCCACTCGAAAGGCTGTTGTTGAAACCATGATATGTAGATTTACAGAATGCCTTATTGTGTATCACAATGTTTCACATTGTTTCTAAGTAAATCATTTTCTAGTGGATGAAGGGCAGGATGGGAATAATGCCCACATAATTTATAGGAGTTCCTGTCTTCCCTGGATCCAGAAATAGTAAATCTTCATGATTTTGCTAGCTCTGTGATGCCTTCGGGAAGATGTCTTTTCATATTTTGCTCAGTTTTGTTAGTTTCCGTGTGTGATAGGATTGGTTCAAATCATCTTGCCCTCACAAACATAAAAGTGGAATTCCCTTACTGTAGATATTTGAAGACAGCTCTATTTTTTATTCAAGTTAAAAATCCAAAACACTCTCAATCATTTCTTACTTTACCTAGCTTTTGGATCCTCCACCATCTGGTCATCTACCTAGGTTTGATCATGTTTTTTTTTGTTGTTGTTGTTTTTTGTTTTTTAAATCCCCAGCACAATCTTTCCTTATTAAAGGAGAAAAGACACATTTCTTCCTTACATTAAAATATTCAAAATTATGAGTATTTATCAAGTTAAATTATATTTAATTAAATTATATAGATAAATCATTCACAACTATATATAAGTTAAAATATGCATATTTCATAATTGAAAAAAGAAAAGCAATGCAAGTTCTTTGTAAAACATTCGAACAGTTTAGAAGGATATAAAGAGAAAAGAAAGAGTCTGTATCTGGCTAGGCATGGTGGCACATGCCTGTAATCTCAGCTACTCAGGGGGCTGAGGTAGGAGGATCACTTGAGCCCAGGAGTCTGAGGCTGCAATGAGCTATGACCGTGTCAGTCACGACAGAGCAAGACCCTGTCTCCAAAAAGAAAAAAGTCTATATCTGCCCAACTCCCCACGGCCCCCTTCGTTTCATCCTCTCAGTGTGGTCTCTCTACCTAGAAATAATTTCTGTTAACATTTTTTGGTTATTATTATAGAAATTATACACAATGTCCAGAATTTTTTCACAAAGAATAAATCTATTCTTTTCACAGCTGCATAGTATTCCATCATATGGATATATTATAATTTAATCTCACCATTCCTTTATCAATATCAATATACATTTACCACATTTTCAATTTTGTTCCCTATTTTCAACAATGCAATAATGAACATCCGAACATATCTTTTGTACATGAGTTTATGTTGTAGCTGCTCCAAACACTGGAGTCAGAGACTTTATTATAGTTTAGATCTTTAATGTACATGTGTTTAGATTTATAAGATATATTTCTAGAATAAGATTTATGCTTAAATGTGGCACCCAGACTGTAATTAAGATATGGATGTCAGAGAAGCTGCCATTTAAACTTGGCCTTTGATCTTCCTGCATGGGAGGATAAAGTGAGTCATTCCAAAGCGGATCTTCTTTGTTCTTTGTGGTTCATAAGTAAAGATAGGGTAAGCAGACATCTATTGCTCTTGGGGAAATGTACAACAAAGCCTTTTAAAAAGGGCTTGATGAAGGCTGCTTTTTAAAATATGCAGAGATGAAAGTTTGCTTAAGCAGAAGTACATTTTCATGGAAACCCAGGTGGCTACTGGAAGAGTATGCAGTATCTCTCACACATCTCTTTTGGACTTCCTCATAAATAGTACCTTTTGGATGGTTAGAGGCAGCTCTTAGGGGAGAGAAGGATGAGTGAAGACCGGGAATTCTGGGTTATTACCCGATTCTACATAGTCTTGGGAAAAAGTGGGTTCTGGGTTAGCTTGTGGCTATGTCTGGAACTGGAATTGTCCTGGATCCACAAGGGCACAATGAGTGTGTTGGGAAGAATGTCTGCATATGTGGTTTTAACCTGGAGAGCTATTACCTGGGAAGTGAGGGAGGAGGACACCACTGTGACCTGCATAGGAATATGGATGGAAAAGAACAGTGGAAAAGAATATACCAGACTGGGAAAGACCAGTATTCATAATGTGGCAACAACAATGGTAGCTGAAAGTTAGGTCTGCTGGTGATGGATTGGATCCTCTGGATTGCTCTCCAGAAGGCATTTCAGAAATATGTTCATCCATTCTGGACAACATCCTGGGATTCTTGAATAAGTGGGCAGAAGAAGAGAAGTCCCTTGAAAGAAATTATACCTCCAACTTATCCAAAGTATTGGGATTCTGCTTGGTTTAGTTAAGTAAAATAAGAGATGCAACAATATTTGTATCTTGATTAAATAAATTATACTGGTTGTTCCAGCATAATTATATGAAGTTCAATGGATATATTACTTTCTTTTGGATAAACATTTCATGATTGCAGCCTTTTGGGAAGCTACATCTCTCTACTACTTCATATTGAGCTTATGAAAGTGACAAAAAAAATGCCACTCTATTTCACTAACTACTATTTCACTGAATTACTAACAGGAAGTCTCTCACCGTTCCTCATTTGTGCAACTGGTTAAAAAAACAAAGCAAAACAAAGAACACCAAGTTCAGGAATTATCAGTTACACACATTAATCTTCATCCCCTTACTTGTCCCTATCTTTTATGGAAGACAATAAAATATTTGTGTAGTAGATATCACTACTAATTCTTATACTTACAATAATCCTGGCACCTTAACCAACACGGATTCAGGATTCTCACTTTTTTGAAAATTATGGATAACTTTGAAAAGCAATGCCAGATTTTATCTTCTCAGATATACAATTGCTCATGGTGTCTCCCAGTCAAAAGTTGTTAGAAAGCAACCAGTCATGGCCCAAAGAATACCCCAAATTTCGAATTGAGTGTTTCCCAGAATCATTGGTTGTCACTTTCCTTTTCTCTAAGTACATTTTCTCTTTTATCACTAGAGGGCAATAATGCTCCACTATACAAGTCAGAAATCTCATTGCGGACAGTAAAATCTCCTAATATTTAGTAGGTTGCTTATGCTGTTGTAAACCTGCTAGATAGATTATTTATTTCCTTCCAGATTGTCACCAGACCATAAAAGATTGCCCCTAGAACCCTTCCCCTTTTTACACAAGTATATTTCCCCTTTTTACACAAAATGTCTCTGACATACTATTAGAATCAATGTAGTCTGCTGTAACTGGTCTCACATTTTCAATCATATAGGACTTAACTCTTTTCCATACAGCAAAATATTTCCAGATTCTGATGACTTCTCATCTCTTCTGCTATTGTCACTCAGGTTCAAGCCACTATCATTTGCTGTCTTAGTGGGGTCTACCCTGACAACTTGCATCAGTTAGGATAGGTCGGGTTATGCTGCAGTAACAAACAAGACCAAAAATCTCATTAGCTTAATATGTAGCTCACACCAAGTGTCTAACACAGGTTGGCAGGGGCTTTGGCTCATGATGTTATTCAGGAATTCTGGCCAAGTGAAGCTTCCTATGGCATGCAGCAGTGGGAGAGGCATGTGGAGAATCACACACTATACTTAAAGCTTCTGTCCAGAAATCACACACATCATTTCTGCTCACATTCCATTGGCCAAAACAAGTCCTATGGCTGTACTTAACTTTAATATGATAGGGAAGTACAATCCTAGTATAAGCCTGGAGATCAAAAACCATATGTATTTGGTGAACAGCAGTAAGGAAACCAAACCACTCTAATGATAATTTCACTTCCCCATTTCTGCCCTAGGACTTTGGATTTCCCTTATTCTGTTCTATTTTCTCCTATAACCCTTATCTTCTGACTTACTATATAATTTACTTTATTATTACTTTTCCTACCCCCTCTTTCTAGAATATAAATTCCACAAGGACAGGGATTTTTGTCTATCTTGTTCTATACTATGTCCATATTGTTCGCAACAGTGCCTGTCTCATACTAGGTATTCAACACATATTGAATGAATGAGTAACCAATGGATCATACATCAATTTTCTTCACCTTATACAACAGCCCACCCTATATGTGGAATGATGACACAAATTAGAGAAATTGACACTGTGCTTATTCAAAACCATGATATTTAGGCTGGGCATGGTGGCTCACAACCGTAATCCCAGCACTTTGGGAGGTTGAGGTGGGCGGATCATTTAAGGTCAGGAGTTCGAGACCAGCCTGGCCAACATGGTGAAACCCTGTCTCTACTAAAAATACAAAAATTAGCCGGACGTGATGGTGGGCGCCTGTAATCCCAGCTACTCAGGAGGCTGAGGCAGGAGAATTGCTTGAACCTGGAAGGCAGATGTTGCAATGAGCCAAGATCACGCCACTGCACTCCAGCTTGGGCAACAGAGTGAGACTCTATTTCAATAAAAAAAACAAAAACAAAAACAAAAACAAAAACCCAAACCATGATATTTAGGAAAGTCTTTGCAAGTAGGATGTCTTACTGGGAGAATGAAGTCTTTTGAATCCGGGACCTATTAAAGCATCATGACAACAAGCAGATTGGGAATATTGTTTACTGTACTGTCTTTATTGTTGGATGCATAAGCATGATGGTAAACATAATGGTAAGTCAATTATTTTCTTTTCTTATTTAATTAATTACTTATTACTTATTATTACCTTTCACTTGATGATTTCTGGAAGCTGGTGTTGGAATGGCAGTGTCGTCCCCCACATCCATGGCCACGATGTCCGGCTAAATTTTGTATTTTTAGTAGAGACAGAGTTTCACCATGTTGGCCAGGCTGGTCTCGAGCTCCTGACCTCAAGTGATTCGCCCACCTCAACCTCCTAATTAATAAGTAATTAATTAAATTAAATCAATTAGCTAATTAATTAATAAGTAATTAATTACATTAATAATCAATTAATTAAATTGGTCTTGTTCTGTCACCCAGGCTGGAGTGCAGTGGTGGGTTCATAGCTTGCTGTAGCCCTGAACTTTTGGGCTCAAGCGATCCTTCCACCTCAGCCTCCAGAGTAGTTGGGACTACAGGTGTGTGCTACCACACCCAGCTAATATTTTTTTCATTTTTGGTAGAGATGGGTCCCACTATGTTGCCCAGGCTGGTCTCAAACTCCTGGCCTCAAGAGATCCTCTTGCCTCGGCCTCCTAAAGTGCTGGGATTAGAGGCATGAACCACTGTGCCTGGCCAATTATTTTAAATATATGCTGTTTCGGTCCCTGCAGAGGCAGATGGAAGCTTAAAAGCTGTCAGCAGTCAAGCATCAAAAAGTGGAGTCAGATTCCTCATTGCGTATACATTCTTATTATTAGTTCAATACTGCCTAACTTGATATTTTAAATAACTCACAATTATTAGTTAGTTATTGGACTTCATGGAAATGAAAGGATCTGTTGTCATTTTCTGTAGGGAAAATGCCCGTGTGGCGGAGCAACAGGCAAGGATGCTTCTCAGATGACTTCCATCATTAAGTGTCTGTGATTCTGGGACATTGCTGTTCCAACACCAGCTTCCAGAAGTCATCAAGTGAAAGGTGATAAAGAAATTGTTTTATCTCATTATTTCCCTTTCTTGCCTTACCCTGTAAGCCTGGTCATAAGAAAGAAGAATAGGCTGGGCGCAGTGGCTCACGCTTGTAATCTCAGCACTTTGGGAAGCCAAGGCAGGCAGATCATTTAAGGTCAGGAGTTCAAGATCAGCCTGGCCAACATAATGAAACCCATCTCTACTAAAAATACAAAAGTTAGCTGGGCGTGCTGGCACACACCTGTAATGCCAGCTACTCAGGAGGTTGAGACAAGGAGAATCACTTGAATCTGGGAGGTGAAGGTTGCAGTGAGCTGAGATCACAACACTGCACTCCAACCTGGACGACAGAGTGAGGCTGTGTTTCAAAAAAAAAAAAAAACAAAAAACAAGAAGAATAGTCAAAGAATGGAGAGGTTTGATGGTTATTTTGATTTCAAAGAAGTTATGGAAACCTCTTTTTCTTTTTTTTTTGTTTTGAGATGGAGTCTTGCTCTGTCATCCAGACTGGAGTGCAGGGGTGCAATCTTGGCTCACTGCAACCTTGGCCTCCCAGGTTCAAGCAATTCTCCTGCCTCAGCCTCCTGAGTAGCTGGGATTACAGGCACCTGCCACCATGCTTGGCTAATTTTTGTATTTTTGGGGTTTCACCATGTTGGCCAGGCTGGTCTTGAACTCTTTACCTCATGATCCACCCACCTCGGCCTCCCAAAGTTCTGGGATTACATAGGCGTGAGCCACCACGCCTGGACGGAAACCTCTTTTTCTTAGGGAAAAAGAAAGTGAGGGGTGTATGTGTTTTCAAATTAAGACCAGGGTCCACTGGAATAAGTGCTAAGATATTAAATGGCCAGATTTCTTCAAATTAATGGACACCTTCCTTTACTAACTACTTATCTTCAGCAAGTGCAGATTGCATCAGAAATGCCCATTGACTAAAATTTTGAATCCCAAGAGAAGAAGCTATTTAAAAATAGAATATCTCTTTTGCTTTTACTTAAAAGACTGTATGAGCATCATGAAAAGTATAAATTTCAATCTTCGTTTGTATAAGTAGATTTTGTTAGTGTTTTGAAAAAAATTATGTAAATTTCCTATCCTAAACTAGCTTTGGCCCATCTGATAGTCCCCTTTCTCCGTTTCCCCAGGTTACTATGTCCCTTACATATATTTGTGGCCTCAGGGGCAAGGTCCACAGCCAGGGGACCTTCTCTTCTGTCTCTACCACCTTCTATTCCTGTTTCCTTCTCTCTTCTTCCTGCCCTGGGTCACACTTTTTCTTCTCCTCTCATACTATGGTAGGTCAGGCTCTCAGGCAATTTAGATGGGTAGGACTGATAGCATAGCACAGGAGATGGAGAAAGGGAGAGGAGGCGGGGGTGGGCGGCTCACGCCTGCAATCCCAGCACTTTGGGAGGCTGAGGCAGGTGGATCACCCGAGGTCAGGAGTTGGAGACCAGCCTGGCCAACATGGTGAAACCCCATCTCTACGAAAAATACAAACATTAGCCAGGCATGGTGGCGGGAACCTGTAGTCCCAGCTACTCGGGAGGCTGAGACAGCAGAATCGCTGGAACCCCGGAGGAGGAGGTTGCAGTGAGCCGAGATGGTGCCACTGCACTCCAGCCTAGGTGACAGAGAGAGACTCCATCTCAAAAAAAAAAAAAAAAAAAAAAAAAAGAGAGAGAGATTGAGAGAGAGAAAGGGAGAGGGAGGATGGAATAGTAAACTCTCCTGGCCACGCCCCTTTCTTCCCCACTAACAACCGCTGTTAGTGACTGGCTCCAGCAGTGAATGTGGTATCCTCTTTCAATCCCTCAGTCTATTCTCATGGGTCCTAACTTGCCCTATTCCCATGCTTTCCTCCTCTGGGTTCATGATTTACTCTCAAAACTGCATTTGTGGGAGAGAATAAGAAGAAATAATAAGGAAACAGCAGAGGGTATCGAGACAGACGGTATCACCAGTATCCACAACCATGCCCTAGGCTAGGCAAGCCTGGTTCCCTGGTCTAGTTTGGTCAGGAGGTCAGATGTCCAACATCAATGACTTACTGTTTTCAAACCTTAGGTCAGGGGTTTTGTTCCCTCCTGATATGAGGAAGAGAAAGAGGTGGACTTATAGCTGGTAGACAGCAGATGATGAAGCGGTGCATAACCCATAGCTAATCTTAGCTCTTTTTTTTTTTTTTTTTTTTTTTTTTTTTTTTTTTTATGAGACGGTGTCTCGCTCTGTCGCCCAGGCTGCAGTGCAGTGGCGCAACCTCGGCTCACTGCAAGCTCCGCCTCCCGGGTTGACGCCGTTCTCCTGCCTCAGCCTCCTGAGTAGCTGGGGCTACAGGCACCCACCACCACGACCGGCTAATTTTTTGTATTTTTAGTAGAGACGGGGTTTCACCATGTTAGCCAGGATGGTCTTAATCTCCTGACCCCGTGATCCGCCCGCCATGGCCTCCCGAAGTGCTGGGATTACAGGCGTGAGCCACCGCGCCTGGCCTAGCTAATCGTAGCTCTTTAAAAACATATCTGCTTACTCTTGGGAGTAAGTTTCAGATGTGACTTTCATTTCTCGGGTATGCTGTAGAGGAAACAGGGTTGAGAATCTCTGTCCTACTTTACACTATATCCACCTCCCTTAAGTACATTCTTATTCAATTTCCTCCCCAGCTCAGTTGCTGGGATGTTTTCTTGACCTAGTGACATCAGTTACGATGGAAATTTTGAAAGGGTGGAACAAGGGTGGGTCTTCTGGACTGCAAGTGCTCTCTTCTGTGTGTCAGGCATCTGCAGAGACCAAAACAGGAGATTCAGCCTCAGTGCTCAATTATATATTTTCTTGTGAATAATTATTAATTTTAAAATTTATTACAAAATACATCAAATATGAGAAGAGCACGGAGAATAGTATATCAAATATCCTGCTATCTTATAGCTATTTCAGATCCCTATTTTTTTTTTTGAGACAGAGTTTTTTTTTTTTTTGAGACGGAGTCTCGCTCTGTCGCCCAGGCCGGACTGCGGACTGCAGTGGCGCAATCTCGGCTCACTGCAAGCTCCGCTTCCCGGGTTCACGCCATTCTCCTGCCTCAGCCTCCCGAGTAGCTGGGATTGCAGGCAAGCCACCACTCCAGCTAATTTTTGTATTTTTAGTAGAGACGGAGTTTCACCATGTTGTCCAGGCTGGTCTCGAACTCCTGACCTCAAGTGATTGACCCGCCTTGGCCTCCCAAAGTGCTGGGATCTTGATATCCTTCACATGGACACTTAGTATACCACAGGAAGGCATCTTTAATAACTTCCTTTCTGTGTTCTGCTCTTCCTCCTGTGCTTGTCTTAAAACAGAGCCTTACAGGGTCATAATTTGGAGGAAGCACAGGTATGAGCCATTGTGCGCAGCCATATCAGATCCCTATTCTTGTTTTATTTATTTTTTGAGACGGAGTCTTGCTCTTGTCACCCAGACTGGAGTGCAGTGGTGTGCTCTTGGCTCACTGCAACCTCTGCCTCCCGGGTTCAAGTGATTCTCCTGCCTGAGACTCCCAAGTAGCTGGGATTACAGGCATGTGCCACCATTCCCAGCTAAGTTTTGCATTTTTAGTAGAGACGGGTTTCATAATGTTGGCCAGGCTGGTCTCGAACTCCTGACCTCAAGAGACCTGCTCGCCTTGGCCTCCGAAAGTGCTGGGATTACAGATGTGAGCCGCTGTGCCCAGCCATATCAGATCCCTATTTTTGAAGAATCTAAGTCACTAGGTATAGTTACAGGCACTGTGTATCACTCCCCAAACTCATTAGTCTCTTTCTTTTCCCAGAGGTAACCACTATTCTAATTTTGGAGTTCATCATTCCCATGAATATTAAAAAATTTTAATTACAGACAAATGCACGATTATGTGAAGAATAGTTTGAATATATTACAACTTTACATAAGTTTATAAAGTTATGTTCATTCCTCTGGGTCATTCCTTTCAACCGCTTCATAATATTTCTCTATGGCTTTAACCCAATTATTGTATTTATTCTCTTACTGTTGGATAGTATTTAAAAAAAAATAGATCTATGTTGAGATTATTTCAAAAACAGTGCATATTAACTGCCAAGCACTGTTCTAAACACTTGACAAGTACCGATTGATTTAATTCTCATAATAGGACTATGAGGAACTCCATATTATTTCTCCATTTTACAGATGGGAAACTGAGGCACAGAAGGAAGTTAAGTCACAGAGAGAGGTTATTTGCTCAAGGTCACAACGTTAGTAACTTGTGGGCCTACTTCCTAGAATTGAAATTTATGGATCACAGGCTATAGGCACCTTCCACCTTACTAGATATTGCACTCTACCAAGCAGTTGTGTAGATAGGAACTCTTGGAGAACAGAGCCAGAAGAAGCCCAGAACTGTGAGGAATAGTGGATTAGGAAACCATTCCCAGGATGTAAAACTAGGCCCTAAACTAGGAACATTCTCTGCCTCCAGAATAGGGTGTCTGGCATGGCCTGAATTATGTCTCCCCTCAAATTCATATGTTAAAGCTCTGTCCTTCAGTGTGACTATGCTTGGAGACAGTGCCTATGAGGAGGTAATAAGATTAGATGAGGTCATAAGAATGGGGCCCCAATCCAATAGGGCTGGTGTCCTTATAAGAAGAGGAAGAGACACCAGAGCTTTACAGCTGTCTGCAAACCAGAAGGAGCACCCTCACCAGGAATCAAGTTGGCTGGCACTGTGATCTTGGACTTCCCAGCCTCTAGAACTCTGAGAAATAAATTTCCATTGTTGTGATTGCTTTGGCAGCACATATACTAAAAATTGGAATGATACAGAGAAGATTAGCGTGGTGGCTGTGCAAGGATGGCATGCAAATTTTTGAAGATATATATGTATATATACACATATATGTGTATATACACATATATGTGTATATACACATATATGTGTATATATACATATATGTGTATATACACACGTGTATATACACACACGTGTATATACATATATGTGTATATGTGCATATATGTGTATATACATGTATGTACATATGTGTATATACATATATGTGTATATGTGTGTATACATACATACGTGTGTACATATGTGTATATGTATATATGTGTATCTGTGTACATATACATATATGTGTATCCGTGTACATATACATATATGTGTATCCGTGTACATATACATATATGTGTATCCGTGTACATATACATATATATGTATATGTGTACATATACATATATGTGTATATGTGTATATATACATATATGTATATATGTATATATACATATATGTATATATGTGCATGTGTACACATACATATATGTGTATATGTGTATATGTGTATATACATATATGTGTATATATACATATATGTGTATATGTGTATATATACATCCATGTATATACATATATATACACACACATCCATATATATATATATATATATATATATATATATATATATATATATGGAGTCTAGCTCTGTTTCCCAGGCTGGAGTGCAGTGGCACAATCTTGGCTCGCTACAACCTCCATCTCCTGGGTTCAAGTGATCCTCCTGCCTCAGCCTCCTAAGTAGCTGGGACCACAGACATGTGCCACCACACCTGGCTAATAGTGTTTTTGTATTTTTGGTAGAGACGGGGTTTCACCATATTGCCCAAGCTGGTCTTGAACTCTTGAGCTCAAGTGACCTGATTGCCTTGGCCTCCCAAGGTGCTGGGATTACAAGCGTGAGCCACTGCGCCTGGCCAACATTCCATATTTTAAAATGGACTCTGGGGACTCGAGAGAAAGGGTGGGAGGGAGCCGAGGGATAAAAGACTACACATTGGGTGCAGTGTACACTGCCTGAGTGATGGGTGCACCAAAATCTCAGAAATCACCACTAAAGAAGTTTTCCATGCAACCAAACACCACCTGTTTCCCAAAAACTATTGAAAAATAAAAAAGAAGCTAGATGACAGACATAATGGGTTAACTATACTATTCTCTGTATTTTTGTGTAAATTCAAACTTTTTTAGAATAAAAATTAAAGGCTGCTTAAAAATATTATATTGCTTAAGCCATCCCTTCTGTGTATTTTGTTATAGCAGCCCAAGTGGGTTAATCCAGGGTCTTAATCAAATTTGTCTGGCTATGGGTTGGTGGTTACTATATGCCTTCCATTACTCCTTTTTGTTTTTGGAGGGGGGTGTCTATTGTGACTGTCCTATCTCTGCCTCACCATTGTATGCTGGGTGCGTATGTGAGCAGATAACTTGTCTTTTTAGTACATGGGTCTCTGGATCCAGAGAAGTTGGACTTGAGAAGCGTCATCTACATTTGAACCTTGCAGATCATGTTGTCATGGACGTTGTCCCTGATGACATGATTGAGTGAGACTTCGGAGTCCTGACTGGGGATAAATGCCCCTTGCATGCGGGAGGGGTATCAATCATTGAGGTGGAGGGAAGACTGTGATAGAGATTGTTTTATGTATGTGTGCATGTATATATATTATATATATGTATTTATTATTATTTTTTTTTGCCAAGTGTGGCTCTATCGCCCAGGCTGGGCGCCCAGGCTCTGTCGTCCAGGCCCAGTGGCACGATCTCAGTTCACTGCAACCTCTGCCTCCAAGGTTCAAGCCATCCTCCCACCTCAGCCTCCTGAGTAGCTGGGACTACAGGTGCGTGCCACCACACCTGGCTAATTTTTGTATCTTTTGTAGAGATGGGGTTTTGCCATGTTGTCTAGGCTGATCTCGAACTCCTGTGCTCAAGCCATCTAACTGCCTGGGCCTCCCAAAGTGTTGGAATTACAGGAGTGAGCCACTGTGCCTGGCTGAGAGTGTTATATATTAAAGGCCTCCAGTGAATTTCTCTTTTTAGTATCCAAACCCTTGCAGTCTTCCTGTCTTGATGCTGGAGTTGGCTATATGACATTTTTTTTTTTTTTTTGAGATGGAGTTTCATTCTGTCGCACAGGCTGGAGTGCTATGGTGTGATCTCGGCTCACTGCAAACTCCACCTCCTGGGTTCAAGTGATTCTCCTGCCTCAGCCTCCCAAGTAGCTGGGATTACAGGCGCTCGCCACCAGGTCTGGCTAATTTTTGTATTTTTAGCAGAGACGGGGTTTCACCATGTTGGCCAGGCTGGTCTCGAACTACTGACCTCAAGTCATCTGCTTGCCTCGGCCTCCCAAAGTGTTGGGATTACAGGCGTGAGCCACCGTGCCCAGCCATGTGACTTTCTCTGGCTTGCAGGGCATAAGCAAATAAGAGGCTAGCAGAGACTTGATAAGCACTTTGCACTGGGGATTCCCTTGTGGACATTTATGTTGCCATGTGAAAAAGGCCAGTTTAGGCGCCTTAAGGATATAAAATCAAATAGACAGAGGTCTAGCCATCCCAGTGGAGCCCAGTCCCTGCCAACAAATGTAGCCACATCAGGACATGCAGGTAAGGTCAACAGAATAACTGCCCAGCCATCCTACAGATTCAGGAGAAATAATAAATTGTTATGTCTTTAAGCCACTAAGTTTCAGCCTAGCTTGTAACATAGCAATATATAACATATATGAAGTTTAGCTCCCCTATTGTCATTTTTATTTTTTTCAATTATGATCAATGACATCTATGCATTTTTTCCTAAGCAGAACTTTAGCGGCATCTTATACGTTTTGATGCATACTATTTTCTAATTTCCATTATACTTTTTTTTTGACTTAAGATTTACTCAGACAGGGCGTGGTGGCTCCCACCTGTAATCTCAGCACTTTGAGAGGCCGAGGCGGGTGGATCACCTGAGGTCAGGAGTTCAAGACCAGACTGGCCTACATGGTGAAATCCCATCTCTACTAAAAATACAAAATTTAGCCTGGTGTGGTGGCGTGCACCTGTAGTCCCAGCTACTCGGGAGGCTGAGGCACAAGAATTGCTTGAACCTGGGTGGCAGAGGTTGCAGTGAGCCGAGATCGCACCACTGCGTTCCAGTATGGGCAACAGAGTGAGAACTCTGTCTCAATTAAAAAGTAAATAAAAAAATAAGAGTTATTTAGAAGCGTATTTTAACATTTCTTTATATAATTTTTTTGTTACTTTTTTGTTATTGGTTTCCAGTTTATTTGAATCTTGTTAGGATTGGCTTGTTAAAACTTTTTGAGATTTACTTTGAGACCAAATACATGTTCAAATACTCTAAAGTATTCTGTTTATGTTTTAATAGCACATGTATTTGCTGATTTTTGTCTGTGGTATATATATATACACACACACACTTTATATATTTTATATATGTTAATAAATTGGGGAGGGGGGATAGCATTAGGAGATATACCTAATGTAAATGACGAGTTAATGGGTGCAGCACACCAACATGGCACATGTATACATATGTAACAAACCTGCACGTTGTGCATATGTATCCTAGAACTTAAAGTATAATAAAAAAAAATAAAAAAAAGAAAAAAAGAAAATCAGAGAAAAAAATAAATTAGCTTGATATGGTATATATATGTGTTTGTGTATATAGACTATCTATATCCATATATCTATTATATTTATGTATTACAATCATTATTCTATAACTATTATAGTATATTATATAATCTGATATATAATATATTTTATATATATATATATATATATATGTGTGTGTGTGTGTGTGTGTGTGTGTTTTCTTTTTCCGTCGCCCAGGGTGGAGTGCAGTGGCGCAATCTCGGCTCACTGCGAACTCTGCCTCCCCGGTTGAAGCAATTCTCCTGCCTCAGCCTCCCAAGTAGAGTAGCTGGGATTACAGGCGCCTGCCACCATGCCTGGCCAATTTTTGTATTTTTAGTAGAGACGGGGTTTCACCACATTGGCCAGGCTGGTCTCGAACTCCTGACCTCAAGTGATCTGCCCACCTTGGCCTCCCAAAGTGCTGGGATTACAGGCATCAGCCACCGTGCCCGACCTCTGTTTACTTTTTTTTTTTTTTTGTCCATTTGCTTTATTTACTATTGAGGTACTTTTGTTAAAATTTCCCAGTTTCACAATGGGTTTAAAAACTTTCCTTTTAATTTTACTCATGTTTACTTCATATTCTGATACTGTTATTAGTTGAGTACATGTTCAGAATTGTTATATGTTTTTGGTGGTGTATCATTCATCTACTTTTTCATAATAATTCTTTTGGACTTAAAGTCTTATTTAAAATATTAACATAGCTCTATCAGTAGTTTCGATGATATTTACTTGTAATATATTTTTACATCTTTAGTTGTAACTTTTCTGTATTCCACTGTGTCTCTAGTAAGCAGCTTATGCCTGCATTTTAATTTTTTAATTAAAAAACTTTTTTTTGAAATGGAGTCTCACTTTGTCACCTTGGCTGGAGTGCAGTGGCGTGATTTCAGCTCACTGCAACCTACGTCTCCTGGACTCAAGCGATTTTTGTGCCTTAGCCTTCCAAGTAGTTGGGATTACAGGTTTGCGCCACCACACCTGGCTAATTTTTGTATTTTTAATAGAGACGATGTTTCACCATGTTGGCCAGGATTGTCTCGAACTCCTGACCTCAGGTGATCTGCCTGCCTCGGCCTCCCAAAGTGCTGGGATTACAGGCATGAACCACCATACCCAGCCATACATGAATTCTGAAAGGCTGATTCTCTATTAATAATGAATTTTATCCATTTGCATTTATTGCAATTATTTACATGTTTAGATTTCTTCCTGTCCTCTTTTGTGCTTTCTATTTACTATGCTTTTTCTTTGCTCCTTTTTTGTCTTGCTTTAAGTGTGTTTTTTTAAATTCACATTTTTCTTTTTAACTAACGACATCATGCATTCAATTTCTATTTCTTACATTTAACTTGCGTCTTGATTTAAGACAGGCTGAAATTGATCAGCATCACCAGCCTCCTCTAGAACTAGAAAATAATCTTCTTGAAACAGTCCCAATAATAGGTTATTCATAGCTAATATTCTAGTTTCACAATGTTTTGTTTCCTCCACAAATTTGTTACTTTTTATTGTTTTATATGAGCAATGCTTACTTAGATTTACCCACATTTGACACATTTGCATCTTATTCCTTTCCTCTGGGCTCCCTCCCTCCCTCCCTCTCCCTCTGTTCCCTCCCATTTTAGAGACAGGATCTCTCTCTGTGGCCCAAATTGGAGTGCAGTGGCGTGATCATGGCTCACTATAGCCCGGAATTCCTGGGCTGAAGCGGTCCTCTCATCTCAGCTTCCTGAGTAGCTGGGACTACAGGTGCATGCTGCCATGCCAGGGTAATTTTTAAATATTTCTGTAGAGACAGGGTCTTGCTGTGTTGCCCAGGCTAGTCTGGAACTCCTGGCCTCAAGCAATCCTCTTGCCCTAGCTTCCCAAGGTGCTGGGATTATAGGCATGAGCCACTGCACTCAGCCCTCTTTTCCTTCTTCCTAAATTATGTCTTTTAGGATTCCTCTCAGCCAAAGTTTGACAGAGGTCAACTCTCTTATTCTTTGTTTGCTTTAAAATGTCTTTAGTTTGCCTTCATTCTTTAGTGATAGTTTATCTCCTTTATCTGCAGAGAATCCTAGATGATAATTATAATTTTACACTTTGAAGATATTGTGTTTTTGGTTTCTGTTGTTGTTAAGTCTGCTGTTTGTCATTCCTTTGTAGGTAATCTACTTTTTTTTTGGTGTTTAAAATTTTCTTGTTGTCTTGGTGTTTTGCTGTTTATTATAATGTGACAAGGTATAGATTTATTTCTGTATTTCCCACTTGGTACTTTTTGTATTATACTTCCTGAATCTGAGGATTCATGTCTTTCATTAATTCTAGAAAATTCTCAGCCATTTGTTCTTTGAATATTACCTCTCTCACATCTCTTTGTTTCTGCTGGAATTCCCATTAGATATATATTTATTTTCTCATTCTCTCTTCTGTGTCTCTTAAACTCTCTTGAACCCTTTCCGTGTTTTATTTCTTTTGCATTCTGGGCAATTTCCTGAGCCCTATCATAGTCTACTCTTCTCTTTTCAGTTGTGTCTAAGCTGATGCCAAATTTGACTAATGGGTTTTCTGTTTCAGTGATTCCATTTTTCATTTCAGAAGTTTTTTTTTCCTTTCTATACTGTCTTCTATGTTTACTTTTCTCCTTTATGTCTTTAATTGTTTTATCATCTTCATTTGATTATTCAGGAACCTGAAGCTCTGAGAGTCTAATGAACTTTATTACATGCTTGTTACTTCTGCTGGCTCTTGCTCACGATGGATTATTAAGTACTGAGTTGTGTGATTGTATGTTATGAGTTCATCTTCAGCAGGGCTCTATTTGTAAGAATGGTGGTGAGTGTGTCCCTCCTGTGTGGTTTTCTTCTGCCAGGTGCTCCAGTGATGTAGCCATCCTAGGATCTATTTATGTGTTAATTTTTTGGCTTGGGGGTTCCTGGGTCCTCACATGGCATTGACCCATAATTGACTTTCCGATGAGGAAACTAATTTTTTTTCTTTTTTTTTCTTTTTCTATTCAGAGTCTAGGTAGGCCAGAAGAGACAAACTTCTACGTCATTTCGTTATGCTGGTAGAGAGATATTTTTCTAGTCCACTCTTCCTGTGCTGTATGTGGAGTCAGGGGAGGGAGGATGGGTGGGTCTTACTTCAGCTTCCTACTTGGCAGTCTCAAGATCTTTCACTTTATCATTGTGTACATGTTAAAACCAAATTCCTAACGTTTCGTAAGTTGGAGATAAACCCGACCAATCCAGGTTAGTTGCCACATCAGCTCACTCACATAATGCTCTGGTTTTCAGAAACCAAATCTTCATTGCTGAGCTCTGGGGATTTCTCCTACTTTCTTGTAAGCTTAACTATGCATTCAAATGTTTTTACTTTTTTTTTTTTTTTTCCACAGAGTCTCACTCTGTCACCCAGGCTGGAGTGCAGTGGTGCAATCTCGGCTCACCGCAACCTCTGCCTCCCAGGTTCAAGCAATTCTCTTGCCTCAGCCTCCTGATTAGCTGGGATTACAGGCATGTACCACCATGCCTGGCTAATTTTTGTAGTTTTAGTAGAGATGGGGTGGCATGAGCCACCGCAGCTGGTTGCTATGCATTCAAATGGATGTTACATCTGGCATTCCTCTGTGTTAATGGTGGGAGAGTTTTCAAGACATTGAGTCTGTCCTGTTCATAAAATTAGAAATCTTCAGTATTCTAATCTATCAAAGGTCGTTGTCCATACCATACGATCATAGCCTAATTTCCATACATGGCACACACTTCCACAGGAGCATGCTGCATGTGCACATGTGTGCACCCACACAATACCTGTTTTGCCTACAGTAGACTCACCCTTAGTGCCCATGTGCAACTTTATCCCTTATGGGATCTCAGTGGAAGAAGTAAAAGTTTCAATGCCTAGAAAAGTATATGGGGTCAGAGGGAGTCCCTTCATTATCAACAAAAACTTTTCGGAAAATACAGCACAGTGGTTAATGGCTGTGTATCAGACAAGCCTGTGTTGAATCTAGCCTTTGCCAGTCTGTGACCTTGAGAAGAGTACTCAACCTTTTTTTTTTTTGGAGACAGGGTCTTGCTCTGTCACTGAGGCTGGAGTGCAGTAGTGCATTCTTGGCTCATTGCAGCCTCAATCTCCCAGGCTCAAGTGATCTCCTATTCAGTCTCCCAAGCAGATGGTACTACATGTGTGCACTAATTTTTAAAAAGTAAAAACAAATAATAAAAAAAAGTTTTTATAGAAACATCTCACTATGTTGCCCAGGCTGGTCTTGAACTCCTGGCCTCAAGCGATCCTCTCACCTTGGCCTCTGGGATTACAGGCATGAGCCACTGTGCCCGGCCTTACTCAACTTCTTTATGCTCAGTTTTCACATCTGTGAAATGAGAGTGTTAAATGTTGTGAGGGTTAAATGAATGCTTCAATAATGTTAGTTATTACATTTATTATTATTATTCTTTATTTGTATGCTTAAAAAAACTCAATCCCTTTCCAAAAGACTCTGAGGGCCAGTATATTAAGTTGAACCACAAAATCGCTTTCATGCGCGTCCGTGTGAAGAGACCACCAAACAGGCTTTGTGTGAGAAATAAAGCTTTTAATCACCTGGGTGCAGGTGGGCTGAGTCCGAAAAGAGAGTCATCGAAGGGAGATAAGGGTGGAGCCGTTTTGTAGGATTTGGGTAGATAAAGGAAAATTACAGTCAAAGGGGGGTTGTTCTCTGGTGGGCAGAAGTGGGGGTCACAAGGTGCTCAGTAGGGGAGCTTTTGAGCCAGGATGAGCCAGGAGAAGGAATTTCACAAGACAATGTCATCAGTTAAGGCAGGAACAGGCCATTTTCACTTCTTGTGTGGTGGAATGTCATCAGTTAAGGCAGGAACTGGCCATCAGGATGTGTACGTGCAGGTCACAGGGGATATGATGGCTTACCTTGGGCTCAGAGGCCTGACAATCGCCATGTTTGTAGATAAAAAATTATTAGATTGGTAGTTTTGTAAGGCTCAATGTAATACTTACTTCAGAACAGGGATCCTATTTTGAAGTTGTTAGAGGAAGACACATTCAAAGGATGAGACTTTGATAATAGAAACACAGATTGGGGCGGGGTGCAGTGGCTCATGCCTGTGAGCACTTTGGGAGGCTGAGGCAGGAGGATCACCTGAGGTCAGGAGTTTGAGACCAGTTTGGCCAACATGGTTGAAACTCCATCTCTACTAAAAATACAAAAATTAGCCGGGCATGGTGGTGGCCACCTGTAATCCCAGCTACTTGGGAGACTGAGGCAGGAGAATCACTTGAACCCAGGAGGTGATGATACAGGAGTTATTAAGAAATAATTTTTAGGCAGATAGTAAGGGTAAAGGTTCTCGGTGGAAATTTTCCTGGAATAAGAAACAATCCCTGAACCATCTCTTTTCTAACAGAAATGGTGGCTTGAAGGGTTGGGCCAGCAAGCTTTAATATGCAAATACAGGCCATTAGAAACTGGGTTCACTCAATATGGCGATTCCTGCCATCTTTTCCTTGTCACCAGGTGTAGCAATTGTCATGGCCACCTCCAGATAACACCATGTGTTCAGAACATCATGGCGACCTGCATTTGTATGTTACGGGGCTAAGGTGGGAGGGCCAGGTTTTTCTTGGGTTATGTAAATGACACACCTGGTGGGCCCTATGGAAATCAGACACCACCTCCTCCGGCCTCTTCCTATAAGCAGCCACTTTTCTGCCGCACACGGAGTTTTCTCTTTGTTTGAATACCCCTCCCTCTGTCTCTATACGGGGGAGCTGTTTTCTTCTTCCTTCTTTCTTGCCTATGAAACTTTTCGATCCCTAAAACCACTCCACGTGTGTGCGTTTTATTTAAACCGGCACGAGACCGAGGACCCTGGTATTCCTCCAGTCATTGGAGTGGTATCAGCAAGGTTGCAGTGAGCCGAGATCACCCCACTGCACTCCAGCCTGGGCGACAGAGTGCGACGCTGCTCAAAAAAAAAAAAAAAAAAAAAAAAAAGTAACAAAGATTGGGACTCAGTCTCTGGGGTTAGGAAGGTCCCCAGGTGTTGAATTTGAATTCCCCATTGGACATTTCTTCGGTTTTATTATAATTTAGTCAGTTTTAGCATTGCCTAATTTAGATAAGTTTTGCCAGAAAGTTGCTGAAAAGTTATATATTTCAGGGTATTGAATAGGCCTATGTATTTGAAACAAAAATATCCCATTTTGGAAGTGATCATTAAGAATAGGAGACTTGGTAGTTAGCAGGAGGCTTTCAGATGGTCAGCTCATTAGCGAGCTCCTAAGGTGGCCTGCTGAGTGATTAGGAGAAAGAATTGAGGGTGGATTTGCATACTTCTGGATCTGATCTTCTTGTTAACACTGGATAGCTGATTAATAACTGTGAAGAAAATAAAGGTCCTGCCGGGTGGCCCGCAGGGAGCGATACATAATTAGAGGAAACCTCCCCTGCCAGACAGAGAGCTGCTGCTGCAGGGTTGATGAATAACCTTCTGAGGCCGGGAGTTGGAATTTAGCCGAATTCCTGTCACTTTCTCCTGTAATTTGACTGTGTGATTCGTTGACAAGAAAAAGTGGCCCTGCGGAGGTGAGCCCTCCCCACACCCGAGGCTCTCCAGTGCTGCTGAAGCCTTTTGAATTCACTCGTCTTCGAACAGATCAGTCATTAGGTAATCTCTCTGATTTCACTTTTGTGATTTAGGTAAATTAGAAAATTAGCAACAATTAAGTCAGCTATGGGAGAGACTTGAGATATATGGCCTGTTATTTCACAAGAGATAGTTAACTACATTCTGTAGCACTTCCTGTGATCTTTATGAGACTTGTTTACTCAGTTTCTCTGGTGGGCAGAATTTTTTTTTTTTTTGAGACAGTCTCGCTCTGTTGCCAGGCTGGAGTGCAATGGCGTGATCTCAGCTTACCGCAACCTCCGCCTCCTGGGTTCATGCCATTCTCCTGCCCCAGCCTCCTGAGTAGCTGGGACTACAGGCGCGTGCCACCACACCTGGCTAATTTTTGTATTTTTAGTAGAGACGGGGTTTCACCGTGTTGGCCAGGATGGTCTCGATCTCCTGACCTCATGATCTGCCTGCCTTGGCCTCCCAAGTTGCTGGGATTACAGGTGTGAGCCACCGCACCCGGCTGCAGAATTTAGTTTCTATTCCTACCCCAAAACCGAATTGGTGGCTGAATGTTGACCTGAAATGACAATGTAGTGTTAGAGCCTCTCCAAGGATGCCAGAACTCTCTGATGACAATGGATTACACCTCCCTCTTAATTTCTTCCTTAAAAACTATGTAAGTAATCCATGGTAGCTTCTTTTATTTATTATATTGTATTTATTTATTTTTAGAGATGGGGGTCTCACTTTGTTGCCCAGGCTGGTCTCAAACTCCTGGACTCAAGTGATCCTCCGACATCGGCCTCCCAAAGTGCTGAGATTACAGGCATGAGCCACCATGCCTGGCCCCATAATCACTTATGTAAAAGTAAAAGAAAACCCCCAGATCACCATATTCACACCTTGGTGCACGGCAAGGCCCTGAGTGAAAAGAGGATTCAATCTAGAGCAGAGATGGAGAAGTATGACTTTCATTATGGGAAAGGCATTTCTATGTAATAGACGGAAAAAGAAGACTGTAGTTGCAGATGGAGAATTGGTGGTTAAAATACGAGGGATGATTTGGTACTTGATGGGTTCTGTATTCTTCATGAAGTGTGAGGAATGATCAATTGAGGCTACATGGAACAGGACGTCAGAGTTTTAGTGGAGTGGAGAGGTATGAAATCCTAATGGAGAATGGGAGAAGGGTTTAGTAGAGGAAATTTAAGAAAATTTCTGGGCATGGTTGAGTGTAAATTTGAGGTTGGTCACTACTAATTTGACCTGTTACCATTCTGCTTAACTGGGTGTTTTTCTCCAGTAATAACCAATGTTTCAAGTTCAAGGCATAGAGGAGGTAAGGTGGATATTGGATCTGTGCAGAGTTCAGGTTCTGCTGTGGAAGGAGAAGGTCAAGGAGCTGAAGGTATTTGTAAGACAGCAAATGCATTTGCTAGACTATGGAATTGTAGCTTGATGAGAAGGAATGTGCTGGGTAAAAAAAAGTAGAAATGTCATTGTTTTTGGGATGTCGATGAGATCAAAGAAATGTGGGAGGAAATGGAGAAAATGATGTCAAAGGAAAGAGGTTACGGTAGGAGACAGAGGTTTTTAAATTAGTGCCTTTTCTTTTTTTTAATATTTGTTTATTTAGTTTTTACATGGACAAGGTCTTACCTTGTTGCCCAGGTTGGTCTCGAACTGCTGGGCTCAAATGATCCTCCTGCCTTGGCCTCCCAAAGTGCTGGGATTACAGGCATGAGCCATTGCACCTGGCGGTACCTTTTCTTTTTGCTTCATTTCTTTTTTCTTTTTCTGAGAAGCTCAGTGGAAGAGGAGGTATCTTCAGCTTGGGTGACTGGAAAGGCTTAATTGAGATGAGATTTAAGTTGGCTTTGGAAATATTTGCATGGGGAAAGAGACTGGAAGTTACGTGGAGCTGTAATTTTGGTGAACACATTATGCAAAGTGGAAACTCATGACACTTGTCTTTCCTAGCAACAAATAACTTGCCCAGCCACTGCTGATGCCATTTTATTATTATCATTATTTTATAGAGACAGGGTCTCACTATGTTGTCCAAGCTGATCTCAAACTCCTGGACTCAAGTGATCCTCCCACCTCGGCCTCCCAAAGTGCTGGGATTCTAGGCATGAGCCACTGTACCCAGCCATAGCTATCTATTTTCTGTGCATCTGTTTATGTATTTGTTGAGAATTTATTATATTCTAGGGCTCATGATATATTCTTTACTTTTGTTAGCTCATTTAATCCTAAGGACTCTATAAGGCAGGCATTATTATCAACCCCATTTTTATATACGAAACTGAGACTCAGAGGCTAAAATTTTTGCCCTCATTCAAATGGTTGGATTTGGATTTGGTTGGAGCTGGGTGTTAAATCTGGTCTATGGACTGTTATTCATAGGTTGAATAACATAATCCGATGGTACACAGACACACCTTAAATTGAGGTAAAATTCACATAACATACATTCCCCATTTTAACCATTTTAAAGTATGCCAATTTAGTGGCTTCTAATACATACACAGATTGTGCTACTGCAACTACTAATTCTAAAACATTTCCTTGCTTCCTTCCTTCCCTCTCTCTCTTTCCTTCCTCTCTCCCCTCCGCTCCCTTCCCCTCCCCTCCCTCCCTCTCTCTCTTATTCTTTCTTTCTTTCTTTCTTTCTTTCTTTCTTTCTTTCTTTTTCTTTCTTTCTTTCTTTCTTTCTTTTTCTTTCCTTTCTTTCTTTCTTTTCTTTCTTTCTTTCTCTTTCTTTTTCTTTTTCTTTCTTTCTCTTTTTCTTTCTTTTCTCTTTCTTTGTTTCTTTTTCTTTCCTTCCTTTTCTTTTTTCTTTCTCTCTCCCCTCCCTCCCCTCCCCTCCCTTCCTCCCTCCTTTCTTTCTCTTTCTTTCCTTCCTGTCTCTTTCTTCCATCTCTGTTTCTTTTTCTTTCTTTTCTCCCTCTCTTCTTTCTTTTTAAAGACAGGATCTCACTGTTACCCAGGCTGGAGTGCAGTGGTGTGAAGTGAAGGCTCACTTCAGCTTCGACCTCCCAGGCTCAAGCCTTAGCCTCCCGACTAGGTGGGACCACAGGAATGCACCACTATGGCTGGCTAATTTTGGGAAACATAGAGAGACCTCATCTCTACCAAAAAAAAAAAAAATGTAGAACATTTTCAATACTCCAAAAAGAAACCCCATATTTATTAAGCAGTCACTTCCTTTGTACCCCTCCTACCAGACCCTGGTGATCACTAATTGGTTTTCTGTCTCTGTGGACTTCCATACTTTGGACATTTCATATAAATAGAATCATGTAATATGATAAGCCTTTTGTGTCTGGCTTCTTTCATTTGTTTTCAAGCTTTGTCTTGTTGTAGCAGGTAACACACTCTGTACATTTTAATGGCTGAATAGTAATCTGTGGTATGGATATACCACATTTTGTTTATCCATTCAACAGTTTATGAATATTTAGGTTGTTTCTACCTTTTGGCTATTGTGAATAATGCTGCTGTGAACATTTGTGTGTAGTTTCTATTCGAACATTCGTGTTCAGTTCTCTTAGATATATACCTGGGAGTGGAATTGCTCGGTTGTGTGGTAGTTCTATGTTTAGCTTTTTGAGGAACAACCAAACTGTTTTCTACAGTGGCTGCACCATTTACATTTTCACCAACAACATATCTACTCAAGTCCTTGTCTTTTTGAGTTGTAAGAATTCTTTTTCTTTTCTTTTCTTTTTTTTAGCTTCCATCCTTTTTTTTAAACTTCATAGTATATTTATTGGAATAAGAGATTAGATTTGTTAAACATCTAGGTTAAAATGGTTAAAAGGATTTTCATACAATATTAGGCACTGTACGTGTCGTTTATAGCAGCATTGGTACTTGGATATGGGGAAAGATAAATCTGACATTTTAATGCCTTGATCAATTTGTGACATTCAAAATAATTTCACCATTTAAGAAACAATCAAAACTTAAAGAGACATACCACTGAGTATCCCACACAGTATATTGAAAATAAATGTAGAAATACAACCGGAGGTCTACAGATCGTCACAGTAGACAGACTGGTGAAGCCCCAGCTATCATGGCAGTGAAGTGCTCTGGCTAGATTTGGATGTAAACTGCTGAATTCTACATGAAAAGCAAATAATAATAAAATAACATGATGTACACTTTCTGATGCTCATATTCACAGCAGCAAAGCATGCTTCACATGCACTGCCTGTGAAGGATCTCACAAAAAGCTCCCTCCTACTCAGAGAGAAAGTATGCCCAGCAAGAATAAAGTACCACCAAATGTGAAAGAATCCCGAAAATACAGGCAGACAGCCAGTCATGGAGCAAGAACAGCAGTGCAATTGTAAGAATGACTACCCACAGTCACCAGAATTTCACTGTAATTCAGCCTGGCACGGGTTTTGATCATCAACATACACACAAATAGCCCCAAGCACAAAGCCAATCCACTTAGAGGAACAATAATAGTAATAAGAATAAAGACAGTAATATTAAAAATGACAAGAGTATAATCTTGGCACATGCTGTGTTCTTCATCCTTTGTCACAGGTGAAATGCACATCTAAACAGAGACAGGCATGGGAAGGAGGCCCAAAAGTGACATGGCAAACCACTGGGCAGGGGACTTGCTCTTTGCTGCTTCCCAAACACTTAGACGCCAGCAGCATGGGTTGGTGTGCTGGGCTGGTTAAGCCCGATGGTGGAGCAGAGCCAACCCGCAAAATCCACTTCCTCAGCATCAGATCTCTTGATAAAAGCATGAACCATGAGTTGCTTCAAATCTGCTCTCTCTACGGGGTTTTTATTAGGCATTTATTCACAAAATCTTGAAATTCCAGACTGAACACTCCACTGGGCAGTTTTGGAGGAGGCTCGTTGACTATGTAATCCAACAACTCAAAAATTGCCACGGGAGGTCGGCTGTCCATTCCATATGAGCTAAGAGGCCTCCCTGGGGTCCTTGGCCTGGGTGGGGTCTCAGCCGCATCTCCCTCCACCTGGCACCCAAACATCAGCTCCAGCTCCTTGGCATCTGGAGAAGGGATGGGATACCTCCCAACTGCCATCTCTACCAGAGAGAGTCCCATGCTCCAGATGTCTGACTGCACAGAGTAATGAGTCCCCTGGAATCTTTCTGGGGACATGTAGGACCTTGGGCCCATGAAGGAGTTGGCCATGGAGTCGATGAGCTGCCCACTGACCCCCCAAAGTTACAGAGCTTGATCTCCCCACGGGAGCTGACTATGATGTGGGAGGGCTGGACATCTATGTGCATGATCTTGTGCTTCTCCCTCAGATATGTCAGGCCTTTTATTACAGCAATGCTAACTTTTTCTAAAATTTGTTCAGGAATTCTTCCCGCTTTCTTCAGGACTTGATCCAGGGAATCTCCATCCATGTGCTACCTGCAGATACTGATCTCGCCTCTCGCTGTAGAATGCACCACAGAAGCCCACGATGTACGGAGAGTTGCACTCATGAAGAACCTGCAGCTCCCTTATGATCTGGTTCCGGACTGCAGGTTTGATCTCCAGATGAATTAGCTTTCTGGCCACGACCAGGCCAGAAGGCTTGTGGGAGGCTTTGGACACCACACCGCCATTGCCAGCCCCCAGCTCACTGATCTTCTCAAAGTCGTCATCCTTTAGTTCTCCCACCTTCTATCTCTGGGTAAGAAAGGCCTCAAGGTGCTTTCGCTGCTGCTCGTCAAGCTCTAGCTCTTCCAGCTTCTTCTGCAAGGCCTCCAAGTTGGTTTCCGCAGAGCTGGTCCCGTTAACCACGGCTGGAGCCGTCGGGGGCTGGGGTCAGCTGGATGGGCGTCGGCGTCTTCTTGGGCATTTTGGACCCGACTAAGGCGCTTCCAACTCCGGGGGGAGGGCAGCACCTCTCGCGTCCTCCCGCTGCGCTGCTCCGCGCCTGCTGTGCAGGACCAAGTCCGGTCCGCGTCTGCCTTCGGCGAGGCTGCCTTCGGAGGGTGAGCCCCTCGCGGGCCCGTCAGCGCCGAGGGGCCGGTAGCGGTCTTAGGGGACCCCCGCCTCAACAACCCGGGACTCAGCTCCCCACGCAGAGAGCCGAAGGGCTGCCCTGCAGGAGCGAGCAGGCTGAACATGCGGTTGGGCAGCCCGGGATTCCCTCCCTTTCTCCCTCAACCAACCAGTCCCTCCGGCTCGGGCGGCCCAGCTGCGCGCGCACCAGAGCCCAGCTCCAGCTCCTGCCGTGGAAAGTGCTGCCGCCGCAGTGCACCTAGCCGCTCGTCGAAGCGACCCTGGGAGGGAATGGAGGCCGGGGCCGGGCGAGGAGGGGGAAGAATTCTTTTTCTGTTCTGGATACTAGGCCTTTACCAGATATGTGTTTGCAAATATTTTCTCCCATTCTGTAGGTTATCATTTATGCTTTCTTGATAGTTTCCTTGATGTCCAAAAGCCCGTTATTTTGAAATTCAATTTGTCTATTTTTTCTTTTGTTGCTTGTGCTTTGGGTGTCATATTTAAGAAAACTAGTTAAAGGTCAAGAAGACATATACTTACGTTTTATTCTAAAAGTTTTATCATTTTTATTCTTACATTTAGGTCTTTGATCAATTTCAAATTAATTTTTACATATGGTGTAAGGTAGGGGTTTGATTTCATTCTTTTGCATGTAAATATCCAGTTGTCTCAACACCATTTGTTGAAGAGACGATTCTTTCCTCATTTAATGGCCTTGACAAACTTGTTGAAAACCAATTAGCTATAGAAGTAAGAATTTATTTCTGGACTCTCAGTTCTACTCTATTGATCTGTCTATCCTTATGCCAATACCACACTGTTGTGATTACTGTAGCTTTGTTGTAAGTTTTGAAATTGGGAACTGTGTGTTTTCCTACTTTGTTCTTCTTTTTCCATCTTTGTTTTAGGATATTCTCCATCTTTATCAATTCCCTATGAATTTTAGAATCAGCTCGTCTATTTCTGCCAAAATGACAGAATTTGACAGAGATTGGATCAATATGTAGATCAATTTGGGGAACATTGCTGATATAGTTTGGATATTGTTCCCCCAGAATCTCATGTTGAATTGTAATCCCCAGTGCTGGAGGTGGGGCCAGGTGGAAGGTGACTGGATCATGGGAGTGGATTTTTCATGACTGGCTTAGTGCTATCCCCTTGGTGTTGTCCATGCAGTAGTGAGTGAGTACTTGAAAGATCTGACTGTTTAAAAGTGTGTGACATCTTCCCCTACACACTCTCTTGCTCTTGCTCTTGCCATGTGATGTGCCTGCTCTTGCTTCACCTTCTTGCTCTTGCTCTTACCATGTGATGTGCCTGCTCTTGCTTCACCTTCTGCCATGAGTAAAAGCTCCCTGAGCCTTCCCAGAAGCTGAGCAGATGTGCAGCACTGTGCTTCCTGTACAGCCTGCAGAACCATGAGCCAATTAAGCCTCTTTTCTTTACAAATTACGCAGTCTCAGCTATTTCTTTATAGCAATCTAAGAATGGCCTAATACAATTGCCATCTTAATAATATTGTCTTCTAATCTATGATAGTGAAATGTTTTTCTATTTATTTAGGTCTTCTTTAATTTTTTTTCAGCAATGTTTTGTGGTTTTCAGTGTATAAGTCTTTGCCCTCCTTGGTGACATTTATTCCTAGATATTTTATTATTTTGGATGATATTGTAAGTGGAGTCATTTTCTTAATTTCCTTTTCAGAGTGTTCATCGCTGTTGTCTTGAAGTACAACTGATTTTTGTGTATTGTTCTTATATTCTGTCACTTTGCTGAATTCACTTATCTCTAAAAATTTTATTGTGTATTCCTTAGGGTTTTCTCTCTCTCTCTATATATAAGATCAGTTCATCTGAAAAAGGGTTACTTCTTCTTTTCAGATTTGGATGGCTTTAATTGTTTTACTTGCTTAATTGCCTGGGCTGGAACTTCCAGCACAATGTTAAACAGAAGTGGTGAGAGTGGACATCTGTGTCATTTTCCAGATCTCAGGGAAAAAAACCTTCACTATTTCATCAGTAAGTGTGATATTAGCTGTGGGTTTTTAATAGATGACCTTGATCAGGTTGAGGAAGTTCCCTTATAGTCCTAGTTTGTTGAAATTTTTTTTTCAATGAAAGAGTATTGGCTTTTGTCAAATACTTTTTATGCATGAAGAAGTTTTCATGTTTTTCTCTCCTTTGTTCTATTAATGTGGTGTATTACATGGATTTATTTCCATATGTTGAATCATCCTTGCATTCCTGGAATAAATCCAACTTGGTCATGGTGTGTAATCCTTTTACTATGCTACTAGATTCAATTTGGTAGTATTTTATTGAGAATTTTCTCATCAGTCTTCATGAGATATATTGATCTGTAGTTTTGTTTTCTTCTAGTATCTTTACCTGGCTTTGGCATCAGGGTGATACTGGCTTCATATAAAGAGTTAATAAGTGTTCTCTTCTATTTTTTGGAAGAGTTTGAGAAGACTGTTAATCCTTCTTTAGGCATTTGGGAGTATTCCCAAGTGAAGTCATTGGGTCTTAGAATTTTCTTTGTTGAAAATGTTTTGATTACTGATTCAATGTCATTACTTGCTATGGGCCTATTAAAATTTTCTGCTTCTTCTTGAGTCACCTTTGGTACTTTGTGTAGGAATTTGTCCCTTTCTTTTTTTCTTTTTTGTTTGAGATGGAGTTTCACTCTTGTTGCCCAGGCTGGAGTGCAATGGTGCTATCTTGGCTCACCGCAACCTCCACCTCCTGGGTTCAAGCGATTCTCCTGCCTCAACCTCCTGAGTAGCTGGGATTACAGGCATGCACCACCTTGCCCGGCTAATTTTTTTTTTTTTTGTATTTTTAGGAGAGATGGTGTTTCTCCATGTTGGTCAGGCTGGTCTCGAGCTCCTGACCTCAGGTGATCCACCCGCCTTGGCCTCCCAATGTGCTGGCTAAATGTTTGTTAATTTTGCTTATCTTTTTAAAAAACCTTTTTGTTTTGTTGATTCTTTCTATTGTTTTTCTATATTTCATTTATTTTTGTCTAATCTTTATTGTTTCCTTTCTTCTGATTCCTGAGTTTAGTTTGCTTTTCTTTTTCTAGTTTCTTAAAATAGGAGGTTAGGTAATTGATTTGACATCTTTTTTTATTTTTAAATGTAAGTGTTTAGAGTTATACATTTTCTTTAAGCGCTGCTTTCACTGTGTCCCAAAACTTTTTTGTATGTTGTGTTTTTATTTTTATTCACCTCAAAGTATTTTCTAATTCCTTTTGTTACTTTCTCTTTCACCTGTTGGTTGTTTAAGAGTGTGTTATTTAATTTTCACATATTTGTCAATTTTCCAGATTTCCTTCTGCTATTGATTTCTAATTCATTCTGTGTGGTTGGAGAAGAAACTTTGTGTGATTTCAGTTTTTGAAAAGTCTTTGAGATTTGTTTTGTGGTTTAAATATAATCTATTCTGGAGTTGGTCCATATACACTTGAGAAGAATGCTAGGTATGAGAAGAGTGTCTTCTGTTGGGTAGAGTGTTCTATAATAGAGCTCTATAGAGTTTGTTAGGTCTAGTTTGTTTACAGTGTCGTTCAACTCTTTTATTTCCTTGTTGATCTTTTTTCTAGTTGTTCCACCCACTACTGAAAGTGGAGTAGTGAAGTTTGTAATGATTATTATCGAATAATCTCTCCCTTCAATTCTGCCAGTTTTTGCCTTATATATTTTGGGTCTCTGTTTTTAGGTACATATGTTTATAATTGTTTTATCTTCTTGATTGTATATAATCAGTATTGTATATAATATTATATAATTATTATTGTATAATATCCATTATTGTCTTTTGTAAACATTTTTATCTTACTATTTTGTTTGATATTAATATAGCCGCTCAAGTTCTTTTTTGGCTAATGTTTGCTTGGAAAGTCTCTTCCTATTCTTTTACTTTCAACCTATTTGTCTTTGTGTGTGTGTGTATGTGTGTGTATGTGTGTTTTGAGATGGGGTCTCACTCTGTCATCCAGGCTCGAGTGCAGTGGCATGGTCTCAGCTCACTGCAACCTCCACCTCCCCAGGTTCAAGTGATTTTCCTGCCTCAGCTTCTGGAGTAACTAGGACTACAGGTGTGTGCCACCATGCCCAGCTAATTTTTTTTTTTTTTGAGACTGGAGTCTCGCTCTGTCGCCCAGGCTAGAGTGCAGTGGCACGACCTTGGCTCACTGCAACCTTTGCCTCCCGGGTTCAAGAGATTCTCCTGCCTCAGCCTCTTGAGTAGCTGGGATTACAGGCACTCACCACCACGCCTGGCTAATTTTTATATTTTTAGTAGACATGGGGTTTCACCATGTTGGTCAGGCTGGTCTTGAACTTCCGACCTTGTGATCTGCCCGCCTCAGCCTCCCAGAGTGCTGGGATTATAGGTGTGAGCCACCGTACCTGGCTAATTTTTGTACTTTTTAGTAGAGACAGGGTTTCACCATGTTGCCCAACTCCTGGCCTCAAGTGATTCACCCACCTTGGCCTTCCAAAGAGCTGGGATTATAAGCATGAGCCATCGTGCCTGGCCTCAACCTATTTGTCTTTGGATTTAAAGTGAGTATTTTGTAGACAGCATATGGTTAGATTATTTTAAAAAAATATATTCTGCTAAGTCTCTTCCCTTTACTCAGATAATTTAATCTCTGAATTAATTTACGCTAATTAATTACTGATAAGGAAAGGCTTCTGCACTTTGCTATTGTTTTCTATATTTCACATTGTTTTTTTTCCCTCAATTCCTCCATTATTGCCTTCTTTTATATTTAATAGATATCTTCTAGTGTACATTTTTTATTCCTTCTTATTTCTTTTACAATATACTTTTTAGTTTTTTTTCTTAGTGGTTACTCTGAGAATTACAGTTAACATCTTAATTTATAACAAACAAGTTCAAATTAATGCCAACTTATTTTCAATAGTAGTCACAATTTTTGCTCTTATAAAACTCTATCCCATTTGTTGTTGTTACAAATCACATCTTTATACATTGTGAGCACATCAGTGAAGATTTATAAGTATTGTTTTATACAGTTGTTGTGTTTTATTGATTGATTGATTGACTTTTTGAGATGGGATCTCGCTCTGTTGCCCTGGCTGGGGTGCAGTGATGTGAACATGGCTCACTGCAGTCTCAGTCTGTCTCCTGGGTTCAAGTGATCCTCCTGCCTCAGTCTCTTGAGTAGCTGAGACCACAGGCACATGCCACTATGCCTGGTTAATTAAAAAAAAATTTGTAGAGATGGAGTCTATGTTGCCCAGTCTGACCTCAAAATCCTGGGCCCAAGCAATCCTTCTGCTTTGACCCCTCAAAGTGCTAGGATTAAATGTGTGAGCCACCATACACAGCCCTAAACAGTTGTGTTTTAAACTATATAGGAAAAAAAGGAGTTACAAACTAAAAATAAACGAATACTGACTTATATTTACCTATGTTGTTAGGTAAATATTTACAGATGTTCATTATTTCTTTGGGTGGATTTGCATTGCTTGTGTTCCTTCTCATTTCAGCTGAAGGACTCCTCTCAGCATTTCTTATAGGTTAGGTCTACTAGCAATGGATTCTCTCAGTTTTTGTTTATCTGGGAATGTCTTAATTTCCTCTTTAGTTTTGAAAGATAGTTTTGTCAGATATAGAATTTTTGGTTAATAGCACTTTTAATTTATATTTCAGCTCTTTTAATATGTTATCCCACTGCCTCCTAACCTCCATGATTTCTGATGAGATACTAGCTAGATACTAGCTCTTAGTTTTATTGAGTGCACACCACCACACCCAGCTAATTTTTTTTTGGTAGAGACAGGGTCTTGCTGTGTTGGCCAGGCTGGCACACAGTGGCACAATCATAGCTAACTGCAGCCCCAACCTCCCAGGCTCAAGCAATCCCCCCACCTCAGCCTCCCAAGTAGCTGGGACCACAGGCATGCACCACCACAGCCAGCTAAATTATTTTATCTTTTGTAGAGACAAGTCTCACTGTGTTGCCCAGGCCGGTCTGGAACTTCTGAGCTCAAGCACTCCTCCCTTCTTGGCTTCCCAAAGTGCTGGAACTACAGGAATGAGCCACTGTGCCCAGCCTCCTCTGTGTTTCTTTTCTTTTCTTTTCTTTTTTGAGACAGAGTCTTGCTCTGTCACCCAGGCTGGAGTGCAGTGGCATGATCTCATCTCACTGCAACTTCCGCCTCCTGGGTTCTAAGCAATTCTTCTGCCTCAGCCTCTGGAGTATCTGGGATTACAGGCATGCACCACCAAGCTCAGCTAATTTTGTATTTTTAGTAGAGATGGGGTTTCACCATGTTGGCCAGGATGGTCTTGAACTTCTGACCTTAGGTGATCCACCCTCCTCAGCCTCCCAAAGTGCTGGGATTACAGCCGTGAAGCACTGTGCCCGGCCTGTGTCTATTTTCTTGACTGTTCTCCTAGGACATCACCAATTAATACCCAGGTAGTTTCTTGTGCCATGAGCCTTCCACAGTCTTTGGAAAAAAAATATTTTTTTCAAGGATTGCTTCCTTCAGAGATCAAGATGGATTTGGACATAAACCTTAGGGTGTCTATATGTTTCATATGGGAAAGTTTCTGATCTCGCTTCTGCTTGGGCCTTTATCTCAATTCCAAAGCGAAGCAAGAAACTTGGTAGAATCCTAGTGTTTGCCAGCAAAATAATCTGTTTCTTGCTGCATAACTTCATTCTCTTCTAGTCCTACCCTGCTTGTTACAGATGGCAAAGTAGAGAAGAAAGCTATTGAATGTTTCCAACACAAAGAAATGATAAATGATTGAGATGATGGATATGCTAATTACTCTGATATGATCACTATACATTCTATGTATCAAAACATCACTATGTACCCATGAATATGTACTATTATTTGTCAATTAAAAAATTTGTATACTTAAAAAATGGCAAAGCTAAGACATAGAATAATGCTATGTATCAAAACATCACTATGTACCCCATGAATATGAACAATTATTTGTCAATTAAAAATTTATATACTTAAAAAATGGCAAAGCTAAGACACAGAATGATGCTATGCCTCCATTATTTATGAGAAGAGATGGGATGGTATCTCCCAGCCTGTGAATTCACTGAGTTGGCTCAAAGTTCCGTTTCTGCCTCTGTGCTTTCTTTGGCAGTGGGATCTATAGAGCCATGCCAGCTGGGATAGTTCCCAGCCTCCTCCTCCACCTCCCCTTGGCATCTGGACAAAAATTCCTGGTATATATACAACCATCTAGCTCTGGTAGTGATTTTACTGGCTGAGTGTTTATCCTGCAATTTAGTTTGCAGACCAGATAGCAATGGTATGCCTATAATTACCCAGATTGATTGATGCGTTGATCCATTTATTTAACAAACATTTGTCTAATGTCTATGTGCCAGGTATTAAGATAGGTGCTGGTGCGAGAATCCACCATGAAAATATCACCTTCATTTGAATAGAGGTGAATTGTAATAGAGGTGAAAGGCAGATTCCTTGTTTATTTGCTTGAATTTTCCAGGAGATTGTGTGATTCAGCAATGCTGACTTGTCCAAATTTGGACTATCTAGATGATTGTAGCTAAACCAATAATAGGCCTAATCGCCACTTACCTGTTGGATGCTTTCCAACATGTGGATATCAAGATGCCTTTCTGGGATGGATGATAGTAAGTAAACAAGGTGCTGTTACTGTTGACCAAAGTTCTTGAGAGATGGCTTTACATCTAGATACTGGGGCTGTCAGATACAACAGATGGCAAGATGTTGTCATAGACTGTCTGAGTCTAAAGTTGGGAAGGGATGAATCATTCTGACCTTGTCATTGGAATTTTCTTTTTTTTTTTTTTTTTTTTTTTGAGACAGAGTCTCACTCTGTTGCCCAGTTGGAGTCAGTAGAGCAATCATGGTTCTCTGCAGCCTCAACCTCCTGGGCTTACATGATCCTCCTGCCTCAGTCTCCCAAGTAGCTGGGACTACAGGCGTGTGCTAACATGCCCAGCTAATTTTTGCATTTTTTGCAGAGACAAGAGTTTCTCTATGTTGCCTAGGCTGATCTTGAACTCCTGGGCTCAAGCAATCTTACTGCCTCTGCCTGGATTTTACTTTTAACCTTTCTAAACCTACAAACATTTCCTTTTCATCACCTATGGATTCTGCCTCAATAAAAAAGTTTTGCAATCTGATGACGGCAGTAAGTCTCTGCATTGTGAGAAGGTCTTATAGTGAGACTTTCTTTGCTGTTTTTGCAAGAAAGGCTTCAACATTGAAGTTCTTTGGAAAAGTGTGGTCTCTGCTTTCTGGTATTATACTAAGTCATATCTAGTTTTCTTCTCCTTTCTGAACATGTGGGAGGATTATTCTTTCTTGTGACCTTATAGTAAGGCAGGGCCTTTTGATTAGTTCTTGTCAATGGGCCATGAGTGAAAGCAATATGTGTCATTTGAGGGCATTTGTCTGTTGCTGTGAGACACTCCATCGCTAAGATACATGTCTAGAAACAGACTTGCTAGATTGGATTTCAAGGTACGTCTCTGACTTTATTATAGAGTGTCCAATTTTGCTCTCCATAATGGGTGTGATAATTTACACTTTGACCAACATGATATGAGAGGCCTCATTTCTCCACATCATTGCCAAATTTATAAGCCTTAAAACGCTTTGCAATCTAATGGTATAAAATCACCTGTTTTTTGGGGGTAAAATTTTGCATCTCCATCATTACTAGTGATATTGGTAATCCTTTCATATGTTTTTTTTTTGTTTTTGTTTTTGTTTTTGTTTTGAGACAGAATCTCACTCTGTTACCCAGGCTGGAGAGCAGTGGTGTGATCTCGGCTCATTGCAACCTGTGCCTTCTGAGTTCAAGCCATTCTCCTGCCTCAGCCTCCTGAGCAGCTGGGACTACAGGTGTGTGTCACAATGCCCGGCTAATTTTTTGTATTTTTAGTAGAGATGGGGTTTCACCATGTTAGCCATGATGGTCTCAATTTCCTGACCTCGTGATCTTCCTGCCTTGGCCTCCCAAAGTACTGGGATTACAGGCGTGAGCCACCATGCCCGGCCCCTTTCATATGTTTACTGGCTATTTGGGCTACATTTTCTGTGAACTGTTTGTTTCTTTCTGTAGGGATCATGCTTCATTTATTGCTGCTCCAAGTATTTTCTCTACATCTTGGTAACTGTCCACATTCTGAATCCCACTTTCACAAGAATGATGGCAGCAAACTTGCATCCCCCGGCTCCCTTGCAGCTAGGGTGCAGCATCTAATCTAGATCCTTTCACTCACATGAGCCCATGAAAGACTTGTGAGTGGTTGTCCTTAGGGTGAGTCACAGCAGTTGCTGCTGCAGATCAATTTTACCTTCTCTGGCCTGAAGCACAATGTACATTTACTTGTCACTTTCCAGAGTCTGATGTGAGAGTTCCTTGTAATGCAGCCCTCCATGTGGTCACTCAGGGGCTCAAGGCTTTTTTCATCTTGTGGTTCTGCCCTTCTCTAGGTCCACAGAGTCCTCTCCATTCAGGCAGGGGAGGAAGCAAGAAAAGATGACTTGCAGGAGGCTTTTACTGGCTCTTCCCGGAAGTGATGCACTTTTCCTCTACCTACATTCTATTGGCTGGAACTCAGACAGTCACCACATTTAACAGTAAGGAAGTCTGGGAAATGTGATCTAGTCATGGGTTTTGGTGACTGCATAGTAGTTTCTGCTACATGCTGGAATTGATCTTCTAGCTAACATGGGGACAGATGGCTGGTCCTTGGGAAAACTTTTTATTTTTTTGGAGAGAGGGTGTCTCACTGTGTTACCCAGGCTGGTCTTGAACTCCCAGCCTCAAGTGATTTTCCTGCCTTAGCCTCCCAAAGTGCTGGGACTACAAGTGTGTGCCATTCTGCCCAGCTAAAAGCTCTTTAATGTTCAATCTCTAGGGGCATAGAGAGTGAGCAGTGGGGGCTAAGATAGTTCCTTACAAGCCCCCACAACATAGCTGGGTGTTGTTTCTACCCATATGGTTCCAGCAACTGGCTTTCTAACTCTCTCAGCAATTATGTGAATTGTCTAATATCCTTGACCAAGTTCCTACTCTGTTAAGTCTGTGTGGCTTTCATGGGCTGCAGCTAAGAAATCCGGGGTCATTTTATTTATTTTTGTCTGTTTTTGTTTTGGTCAATTGTATCTATCTTTGAGATTGGGCCTCAGGGACAATATCTCTACTGAAATAAGTAATGGTGTTTACTTCTGTCTGTGTAATAGCCCATAGAACAAGCCTAAGCTCACATGTGTACAAAAGCATATCTACAGCAAATCCATTCTGCAAGTTTCAGGCCCATGAGAACAAGGTATTTCTATGCAGTTTCTATGCAGTTGAGGCAGGACAGTCTCATCTAATCTTTGACCAAAGAGTAGTTTATTTGAAATCCCATTATTGCCACCAGTGATAAAGGTGTGGTGTCAAGAATGCAATCCCAACTCTAGGAGGGGAGTTGTCACCTATGTTTCCCTCCCTGTAGGGAGGCCTTCAGGCTGGGCAGCAGGTTGTGACATATAGCTGGGAATCCAACTGTGTGCATTTGGATATTGACCAGAGAGAGAATCAAGACTGACTTAGAGATCATGATTGACAATTTATAGATTCCTGGGCTCAGGGAGTGATATGGTTTGGCTGTGTCCCCACCCAAATCTCATCTAGAATTGTAATAATCCCCACATGTCAAGGCTGGGGCCTGGTGGAGATAACTGAATCATGGGGGTGGTTTCCCCCATACTGTTCTTGTGGTAGTGAATAAATCTCACGAGATCTGTTGGTTTTATAAAGGGGAGTTCCCCGCACAAGCTCTCTTGCCTGCTGCTGTGTAAGATGTGACTGCTCCTCCCTTGCTAGCTGCCATAATTGTGAGGCCTCTCCTGCCATGTGGAACTGTGAGTCCCTTAAATCTCTTTCCCTTATAAATTACCCAGTTTCAGGTATGTCTTTATTAGCAGTGTGAGAACAGACTAGTACAGGGAAGGGCAAGTGTTGAAAGTTTCAGAGTGGAGTACAAGTTCCCTGATCACTGAGGCTCTTCAAAATCAGCCACTTTTCAGTTCATACTAGATTGAAACCATATCTGAGGGTAACCCATTTAATAATGACATTATTTCACCCTTTCAGCTTCGGCAAGTCACTTAAATTTGTTGAATCTCAACTTCATCATATGTAAAAGTAAAGAGTATCTTCCAGTCCCCACTTCTGGGATCTCATTTCTCTAGCAGACTGCACTGATTCTCATTATTCTTTGTTGCTTTCAGCATTCTCCACCAGATGGCTCCAGTCTCTCAGTGTAAACCCACGCCCACAGCTTCCTTTGGAGCCCGGCTTGCTTTTGTGGATTCCTCCCCTCTGCACACTCAACTTCTACTCTTCTCCAAGTTTTTAAACAAAACACTTCATATGTTTGAAAGCATTTTCTTCCTCCTGTCTTCCATAGCACATTACTCTCCTCATTTCAACCATAGATCAACCATTTATTTTAATTCATTTTTGATGACACAAAGCTAGTCTGTACCACAACCCCTATTGTGGACTGTGGCCAGGGGTCACACTCCAATGCGGGCCCATTGGTGCAGTTAAAAATGGGACAGGAAATTCCTGTGAAAGTCAATGAACTGAGATTCTGGGCTCTTTTGTCTTGGTAGGTTCCTTACTCTATTTGACCTGCTGAAGCCATTAAATTTTTGGGGGCTGTAAAGAATTTTAGGAAGGCAACTGGGATGAGTCTACTCATCCATATTTTTCTTTTTGTTTTTTTTTAAGAGCTGGGGGGTCTTGCTGTATTGCCCAGGCTGATCTCAAACGCCTGGCCTGTCGAGACCAGCTAGGTTGTGGAGACCCTAACCCAGTGGCACTAGAGGAATTAAAGATACACACACAGAAATATAGAGTGTGGAGTGGGAAATCAGGGGACTCACAGCCTTCAGAGCTGAGAGCCCTGAACAGAGTTTGACCCACATATTTATTGACAGCAAGCCAGTGATAAGCATTATTGCTATAGATTACAGATTAACTAAAAGTATTCCTTATGGGAAACAAAGGGATGGGCCGAAACAAAGGGATGGGCTCTGGCTAGTTATCTGCAGCAGGAACATGTCCTTAAGGCACAGATTGCTCATGCTATTGTTTGTGGCTTAGGAACGCCTTTAAGCAGTTTTCCTCCCTGGGTGGGCCAGGTGTTCCTTGCCTGGTAAGGTAAGGAACACACAACCCAGTAAACCCACAACCTTCAGTAAGGGTGTCATGGCTATCATGAACATGTCACAGTGCTGCAGAGATTTTGTTTATGGCCAGTTTTGGGGCCAGTTTATGGCCAGATTTGGGGGCCTGTTCCCAACACTGGCCTCAAGTGATCCTCCTGCCTTGGCCTCCCCAAAGCACTGGGATTACAGGCTTACAGACATGAGCTGCCACACCCTGCTGTGTATATTATTTTCTTTTTCTTTTTTGAAACAGTCTCACTCTCACCCAGGCTGGAGTGCAGTGGCATGATCTCGGCTCATTGCAACCTCCACCTCCTGGGTTGGGGAAATTTTCCTCCCTTAGCCTCCTGAGTAGCTGGGATTACAAGTGTGAGCCACCATGCCTGGCTAATTTTTGTAATTTTAGTAGAGATGGGGTTTCGCCATGTTGGCCAGCCTGGTCTTGAACTCCTGGCCTCAAGCAATCCTCCTGCCTCAGCCTCCCAAAGTGCTGGGATCACAGGCATGAGTCACCATGCCAAGCCTGTGTATATTATTTTCATTGCTCATTTGCTAGTTGGGTAGCAAACAAAAGTGAAAGCAACCTTAAGCCAAGTCTGAATGATCAGTCTGAAAATTATTGAATTCAGATCAGCTTTGTGATCTTGTCCAGCTCAGTCCCTTATCAACTGTATTCCTGCAAAATAATATTGACATCATAGAGATATTTGTATATATATGTGTGTATAATGGGTAATTGAAACATTAACCTGAGTTTTCTTCTTGTAGACTCAGCTAGAAAGAACCAAGGACGCTTTTCCATTTTCCATCTCTGAGATATGCTGCTTTTGAAGATCTAGGGCCATTCAGCATGGGGTTTGTTGGCAAAATAATGTTTGATAGTATAAGAAAAGGAGGAGGTTTCAGTCTTGGCATATTAAGTTACTCATTCAACAGATACTTGTCCCTAGCTTGTGCCAGGCACTTTTCTAGGCATTGGATATATATCAGCAAATAGGATTGGAAAGGATCCAGCTCTCACAGAATTTGTGTTCTTCTGAAGAACACAGTAAACCAACACATAGTCCACAAATCAGATTGCTTCAGCTAGTGATCAGTATTGTGAAGAAAATACGACAGGGCTGTGAGACATAGAATGCCAGGAGGTGTTATCTAAGCCGAGGGCTGCAAGGGCCGGGGAGTTAGTGGCTATATCGCCCAGGACTAGGAGGAGTGTGTGTTTCGTAAACAGTGCAGAGCTGACCTCCCTTGAATCCAACATCTCAGGGATGGAAAGACATCCAAAGGCAATGACTGCTGGGCTGTCTGAGTCTTGGTTATTAAGGGACATTCCTTTGTGGCTGAACTTGGCGTGGAGGGAATACAACTGCCTGCCATGGAACACATGCAGCACACACCCTGGACTAGGAGCAAGCAGTGCACATCATCTTGGGGGCAATGAGCAGGTCCTCCTCCTTTGTTTTTTTGGATCATGTAAAGCCTATGGGTTCTTATGCTTATGGAAAGGAGAAATAACTCCCCCAAATGACAGACATGAAACTTTTCATCACCTTTGGAAAGTAGGGTCTCATTAGATTCAATCTGACTAAAAAAATTAAGGAGGCATTTCTTGTATCCCCAGTGTCACAGAGTGGCATGTTACACATATATTTTTGATAGTTGCCTGCCTTGTTTTTCCTATTAGAAAGTAGGTGCCTTAAGGTCAGGCACTTGACTTCATACACAGAAATTTCCAGTGATATAAATCTTAACATTTTGCTGGCTGTGGTGACTCATGCCTGTAATCCCAGCACTTGGGAAGCTGAGGTGGGAGGATCGCTTAAGGCTAGGAGTTTGAGACCAGCCTGGGCAACACAGTGAGACCTGTCTCTACAAAAAATAAAATAATTTAGCTGGCTGTGGTGGTGCACACCTGTGGTCCCAGCTACTTGGGAGGCTGAGGTGGGGGGATTGCTTGAGCCTGGGAGGTTGGGGCTGCAGTTAGCTATGATTGTGCCACTGCGTGCCAGCCTGGCCAACACAGCAAGACCCTGTCTCTACCAAAAAAAAAAATTAGCTGGGTGTGGTGGTGTGCACTTGTGGTCCCATCTACTCAGGAGGCTGGGTGGGAGGATGCTTGAGGTTAGGAGTTTCCAGTTACAGTGAGCTATGATTGCACCACTACACTCCAGCCTGGGTAACAGAGGAAGACCCTCTTTCTAGAATATAAAAATTAAAACAAACCCCCAAACCTTAGCATTCAGTAGCCACTTCAGCACAATTCTGTTCTCTTTTTTAACCAAACAGACCTGTGTGAATGTGGGGAGAGCTGTGTGAAAATGGAGAAGTGCTGGCCTGCCCAGGGTGGGACGAGAAAATGGCTAGTTAAGGAGACTTGTTTTTCAGAACGTGTGGAGTCCTCCTTTGCCATTACTTGGTGGTGATGATTTTCCTCCACGAGTTTTCTCCTGTCTGGGTCTCTCTCTTTACTTTGTGGCTGTGTGACCTGACAGGCTTCTGTGACTTAGAAAATGCAGGACCCTAGTCCTTGTGGGACGAGTGACAGATCCTGGATGGTTACGCCAAAGGCCTTGATGAAGCACCAGGAAGCAAGTTCCCAGGAGGTGCTGGCTCCAGAAAGGCCAGAAGGTGCCAAGAAACCTACAAGGAAAGTGACGTTGCCTCTGCTGTGAGCGCCTGCTGCATCTGCCAGTGAGGATGCTCACCACCTGTTTCTCTATGCTCCATGGATGGGGGCCGGGAGTGGGGGCCTGAGGACGAGAATGCAAATGTGAGCTTCCGACCAGGCCATGTTGCCAGGAGCCGGTCCACTGAGCTGTGTCCTCACTCTCTCCCTCTCAAACATCTTGGCTGCAACAAAAGGTGCTGTGTCAGAAGAGTCAATTGTGTGGCGGTCTCTTGACTGCACGCCAGTTTGCTGAGTGGGCAGGTGTTGTTATCTGTTGGAGCTAGTTGCTAGGGTTTGAACCCAAACCAGGAAAAAGGTGGGAGTGAAGCAGGGCAGAGTGGAGAGGGAGAGCAGCTGCAGAGTGGGGGTGGGCATCAGCCGGAAGAGCCTCCCCGTCCTGGCCTGGCCACACCTCTGGCACTGCAACCTGGAGGCCAGCCTCACCTCCCAGTCCTGACCTGCCTGCCCCTGACAGTCCAGACCTACTGTGCATGTCGCTGGGCTGCTGAGAAGCATCTTGGGGTATTTAGGCAAACTGTGCCCTGCCAGACCTTTTAGGTGTACATGGGGCATTTTCTTCCACCCCCCTCTCCTTTTCTTTCTCTCTCTTTTTGGTGAGCTCCTCTTCCCCTAGAATCTATAGAAAAGAAACCTTGAACTCGAAGCCTGACCTGCTTCCTTGCTTTGGTCTGCTGCCTTCCCTCTTCCCTTCAGCTCTGGGCTTTGTGCAGGGAGACAGTGACCCCATGAACGTGCGTTTCCTGCCTGACATCCTCTGTCCTATTGGGAAGTCACTCCCACTCATTGGAAGTCACTTAGCCCTATTCCCTCTTCTTGGGCCCCCCGCAGGGCTCAAGATATTTCTCTGACAAGGCTGCTGAGTGAATTGATAAGTGATTTGGAAACAGACAAGGCTAGGTGGCAAGGAAAAACACTACTCTCCCATCTGTCACCCTCTTCCTAAAAGGGTAAGTGTGGATGACTGTATTTTGGCTGCAGGGGGTGTGAGGACTCTTCCTATCTGACTTCCAGGAGAGATGGCATTAGCCCTGTGCCTTTGGGTCTCTGGGTCTCTATTTCTTTACTTGTAAAATGAAGAGGTTCGTAAAATGTAAAATGATGACCACAATCTCTTCCATCTTTAAATTGCATGGCTCTTTCCTTGCAGGTGGGATGGCAAGAGCTCATGTGTAGCTGGCTGTGGTTTAGGAGAGGTCACTAAGCTTTGCTGGGATCTAGGTGGGGGCAGCATATTTGGCCTGGGGAATAAGTGTTTCCAGCTCTGAGGTTGATAGCCCTGGAGGCTAAGCCAGATTGATCAAGATGACAAGACACCAAAAGTGCCCTCTAATTAATTACCTCTTGTAGCAACTGAAAAATTCATATGAGTCTCACTAAGACAATTCATCTTTTCTTCCTTTTTCAGGTGTCTTTCAGTTATGGAAAAATACTTTGGGCAACATAGAGCAATTGTTTTTGCTAAGTGTGGTGCCTGGTGCAGTAATGGAACTGGCTAGCATAGAAAACAGATAGTTTTAAGTAGTTTTAGTTGTGATTTGGTTGTTGCAATGAAAGCTCCTGTAATCCATGGTAACTATTGTGCTATATCTTTGTGCTATTTTCTTGGCATCCTACCATCAAAATCACCTGGGATTTTTCTTTTTCTTTTTCTTTTTCTTTTTCTTTTTTTTTTGAGGTGGAGTCTATAGCTCTGTTGCCCAGGCTGGAGTGCAGTGGCACGATCTTGGGTCACTGCAACCTCCACCTCCTGGGTTCAAGCGATTCTCCTGCCTCAGCTTCCCAAGTAGCTGGGATTACAGGCACGTACCACCATGCCTGGCTAATTTTTGTATTTTTAGTAGAGACAGAGTTTCACCATGTTGGCCAGGCTGGTCTTGAACCCCTGACCTCAAGTGATCCACCTGCCTTGGCCTGCCAAAGTGGTGGGATTACAGGCGTGAGCCATCATGCCCGACCGGATTTTTCTTAAAAAGATCACAAACCTACTCCACAGGTACTAAATAAAAATATCTGGGAGTGAGGCTCAGGAATCTGTGCTTTAAATACGTTTTTCAGGTGCTCTTATGCATGCTAAAAAAAAAAACTGATTCAGAGCCTATGCCACATAATTTCCACTGTTATATGCCATGATGCTATTTATTTCTTTATTGTTTAAATGTGTGCCACCCTTGCCTTTCCTAACTTGATTGTAAGCTTTTGGAAGGCAGCACACCAGCCACTTCTTTTTCTGTAGTGTCAGCACATATTGGTGCTATACACCTCTGAGGTTTACAGGGTGTTCTGTGGATTTGTAACCCCACAGCTTGACACAGCTCAGGGATTTGGGCAGTAGCTGCCCATCTTTATTAGTGTGTTTTCACGCTGCTGATAAAGACATACCTGAGACTGGGTAATTCATAAAGAAAAAGATATTTAGTGGACTTACAGTTTCATATGGCTGGGGAGGCCTCACACTCATGGTGGAAGGGGAAAGGCACGTCTTACATGGTGGTGGCAAGAGAGAATGGGAACCAAGCAAAAGGGGTTTCCACTTATAAAACCATCAGATCTCGTGAGACTTGTTCATTACCACGATAACAGTGTGGGAGAAACTGCCCCCATGATTCAATTATCTCCCACAGGGTTCCTCCCACAACACATGGGATTATGGGAGCTACAATTCAAGATGAGATTTGGGTGGGGACACAGCAAAACCATATCACCATCCTAGGGAGGAGGATGTGGTGAGGGCAGAGAGAGGTCAGGTTTGATTCTCTGGATGCATTTGCCTCTTTCCCCTCTTTTCCTGGAAAGCATTTGGTCTCTGGGATCCTTCCTCTCCCTGGAAGTTTGGGTAGTTTGGCACTGGATAAAGGGTCCATAAGGAATAGCTGGGCTCTGAGAATGGCACGGAGGAAGGCAGGGATGAAAATGACAAATACAAGTCATTGGGATCCCTAATGACTGTCTTGGTTCCTACAGGGAGGGTGATGTGGGGAGGTGAGGGATGCAGGACAATGCTGAGGCTCCAAGGAACCTCAGCCCTTGGGAAAAATTAGCCACATGGCTCCTGGATGCAGGTTTTTGCTTAAATGGTGCAACTTTACGAAGTTACATCTTCTTTCTGCACATGGCAGAGAGAGTGAGAGAGAGAAAGAGAGAGAGAAAGAGAGAGAACGCTAGAAGTTGCATTAATTTCTTGGTGAGGGAGAAAAGCCCAGCTGGATGGAGTGAGTAAGAGACAGACCTCTAGGGGCAGTGATTGTAGGGTAGGGTGGCAGGCTGTGGGGTGGTGGTGGTGGCTCAGAAGAACTTTAGTGGCTGTGTCAAGGAGGGAACCAGTGGTTATGGGGGTCTCTAAGCCCCAGTGGCGGTGGCACTGGGGGAGAAAATAGCTTGGCTCTCTGGCACTGGCTGGCTCCAGGAATTGGATCACTCAGCACCAGTTGCAGACACAGAGACTAGATGAGAGAATACCATGTGGGGAGTTCTAGGACAGTGGTTTATTTGGCCGGGCTGTGGCTTGCTGATGGGGAAAGCACACCCTACTGGGAAAAGAGAGGGCAAACATCAGAGTTTTTGGAGCCAGAGGAGTCAGTCAGTCTTCTCCTCCTCTTCCTCCTCCTCCTCTTCCTCTTCCTCTTCTCCTTCTCCTTCTCCTCCTTCTCTTCCTGCTCCTCCTCTTCCTCCTCCTGCTCTTCCTCCTCCTCCTCCTCCTTCTCCTTCTCCTCCCCCTCCATGAGATGAGATCTCACTATGTTGCCCAGGCTGCTCTCAAACTCCTGGGTTCAAGTGATCCTCCCACATTTTCCTCCCAAACTCTTGGAATTATAAGCATGAGCCACCGCACCTGGCCAGTCCTCTACTTCTTACATGGCTGCACTCATCTACAAAGTGTATTGTATAATCCATCAGCTTTTGTAGGACAACTTCTTTCAATGCTTTAGGATTATTTCAGGAAGATTGTGCATGAAGGAGAATTCATTTGTGCCCCAGCATAAGCTAAGAAAGGGAGTGCATTACAACCAGAGCATATGAACTGCGAAGCCCCGTAAGATGGCCATAACATAGTCACTGAAGGTGCAAGGAATGAGAGAGCACAGGACTCCTTTAAGTTAGCCCCTCTACCCCCAAATTTTCTACTAAACCTCTAGCTCATATTATAATTAGTTGAAATCTTGAAACTGTATGAGACTATTTATATGATACCTACATTCAAGGAGTTTCAAGTTCTTTACTGCTGTCTGTTTTATCCTTCCTAACTCTAAAGGATGGCCAGAGGGCAGAAATAGGATTCCTATTTATGTAAATAGGAAACTGTTGGTTAGAGGAGCCAGGAGACTTCTAAGGTATACAGCAAACTGAGGGTAGAAATAGGAATCTAACTGTGTGTGGTCCATAGTTGTTGGGGATGACAGGAGTCTTCTCCCAGTCTGCAGACGTGGAAACTTCAGTCAAGGTGGGTTTGCTTTTCAGTTCTCATATTTGCATCTTTTCTTGGTGTGCCTCAGAGATAAAGCCTGATATCTGAGGCCACTGGGGGCAATTAACCAAGTATCAGCAACCCAAGGTACTCAGAGAAGTTTTGCGGTGGTATAATCACATACATGATGTTTGCTTTTGACATCTGCTTCCATTCCCTTCTTTCCTCCTCTCCATCTCTTAGGAGCTTAAGACCTGCCTTCTCAAGGTCTCCGCCCCCTGCTTTATCTTGCTGTCTGGAAGACAGATGCTACCTCTTGGGCCTTGAGGACAAGACTCCACCTCTGGGAGCAACAAGATAGAAGGAGCCTGGGCTCCTGTCACTGTGGAGCAACTGTGATGCTTGGGTCACTTCCCTGGATTTGTAGAAGCCACTGCCATTTTTTTTGGCTTGTTTGTTGATCATTCCAAGCTAACTCCTAACAAATAGAATGAAATCTCACAGGAGCCTGTGTAGATGGCTTCTAAACCAGACCAACTGACATAGGACCCTGGAAGAGCTTCTCTCTGGTTGCCCACCCCTTTGCTCCCATCTCTCAAGCTGCTGTGGCTAGTGGCCAAGACAAACTTTTCTTCTCAAAGGTCAGTTCTTGGTCGAGTTTAGTCATTAAAATTAAAATATACATTGGACCAACCCTCTAATCATCAGTCTGGCACCGATGTTTGTAGAGTCAATAAATATGCTGCCATACATTTATTTCCTGTTCTCCCTCTCTTGGGTCACTTCTCTGGATTTGTAGATGTCACTGCCATTTTGTTTTTTTTTTGTTTTTTTGTTTTTGTTTGCAAGGGTGGAGGTTGTATGCTGATTACCGCAAGCTAACTCCTAACAAATAAAGTGCAATCTCACAGGAACTCGTGTAGATTGCTTCTAACCCAGGACAACTTACATGGGACCCTGGGAGAGTGCTCTTTCACTATTTCCCAGTATGTGGTTTCTTCCCGTCTGTGATGCTGATGTGTATGCAAACCCAAAGTGTCTGAAACAGGTCTCAATCAATTTAGAAAGTTTATTTTGCCAAGGTTAAAGACACACCCATGACACAGCCTCAGAAGGTTTTGACAACCTGTGTCCAAGGTGGTTTGGACACAGCTTGCTTTTACACATTTTAGGGAGACATGAGGCATCAATCAATATTTGTAAGATGTACATTGGTTCAGTCTGTTAAGGCGGCACAACTTGAAGTAGGGGCTTCCACGTAATAGGTAGATAAGAGACAAACAGTTGCATTCTTTTGAGTTTTTGATCAGCTCCTTCCTTCCTTCCTTCCTTCCTTCCTTCCTTCCTTCCTTCCTTCCTTCCTTCCTTCCTTCCTTCCTTCCTTTCTTCTTTCTTTCTTTCTTTCTTTCTTTCTTTCTTTCTTTCTTTCTTTCTTTCTTTCTTTCTTTCTTTCTTTCTTTCTTTTTCTTCTTTTGAGATGTAGTCTCACTCTGACTCCCAGGCTGGACTGCAATGGCACAATCTCAGCTCACTGCAACCTCCACCTCCTGGGTTCAAGCGATTCTCCTGCCTCATCCTCCCGAGTAGCTGGGGTTATAGGCGCTTGCCACCACACCCAGCAAATTTTTGTATTTTTGTTAGAGACTGGGTTTCACCATGTTGGCCAGGCTGGTCTTGAACTCTTGGCTTCAAGTAATCTACACGCCTTGGCCTCCAAAGTGCTGAGATTACAGGCGTGAGCCACCAAGCCCGGCTGACCAGCCTTTCACTGAATGAACAATTTAAGTGTCAGGGGTATGTGTAGAGGAATAGTCACTTATGCTTTAGTCCGGCTCAGTGAACCTGCATTTTTACATGAACAATAGGGCAGAGGAAGGCAATCAGATATGCATTTGTCTCAGGCGAGCAGGGGCATGACTTTCTGTCTGGCACCTGTGAAGATAAGCTGTCAATTTACATTGCCAGGGTGAAATTCAGCAGAACTGTTTTAGGGTAAAGATCTTGAGACCCACAAGGAATTTCCTTGTGGGCAAATTGTGAGCGAGGTATGTAGTTTTTAAAAAAGTCTTTGTAGCTATATTATTTTGGAATAAAATGGGAGGCAGGTTTGCCTGACGCAGTTCCCAGCGTGACATTTCCCTGTGGCTTAGTGATTTTGGGGTCCCAAGATTTATTTTCCTTTCACATGCAGAACCAAGAAAGGGTGTGTATGTGTTAATTGCATGACTTTATTCCCTGGTTGACCAGTAGGAGAAGCAACAAGTCAACATCCCCCAGAAGTCCAACTCATTCCTTAAGTACACAAATCAGATTCATCATGTTCGTTCTTTGTCCAAAGCACAAATTCCTTGGAACTTTTCTTTTGACCTTCCCCCTCAAGGATGGAGCCAATTAGTCTGCACGTAGAGTGGACTTACACTGCAGTTTTCTTCTTTGGAATGTGTTTTTTTCTCACCCTAATGCAATTGCCAAAAGAAGGGCGATGGGCTCCCAGGTCAATTAGCAGTGGACGTATGCAGTTCAGCCTTAGTTGGATCCCCTGCTGACTTTTGAGATGACAGATGCAAATTATTCAATAGTTCTCCTTTTTGTCTTTCCCTTTCTCCCATTCCCTGTCTCTTACTACAAGGTCTGGCTGCTCTGTTTTGTTTCTTCTAAATTTACTAATTTAACCCAATTTATCTCTGCTGGCTATCTTGAAGCCATTTTCTTTTCCTACAAAAAGGATTACCTTCTAAATTGTCTCTGATTAGCACTCATTTTTGGTCTTGAGGCAAGATACGGTTTGGCTTTTGTTCCCATACAAATCTCATCTTGAATTGTTATCCCCAGGTATTGAGGGAGGAACATGGTGGGAGGTGATTGGATCATGGGGGCGGTTTTCCCCAGGCTGTTCTTGTGAGAGTGAGTTCTTACGAGATCTGATGGTTTTATAAGTGTTTGGCAAGTTCCTCCTTTGCTTTTGTCTCTTTCCTGCTGCCTTGTGAAGAAGGTACCTTCTTCCCCTTTCCACCACGAATGTAAGTTTTCTCAGGCCTTCCCAGCCATGTGGAACTGTGAGTCAATTAAACCTCATTTGTTTATAAATCACCCAGTCTTGGGTAGTATCTTTATAGCAGTGTGAGAATGGATTAATACAGGGCACCTGCTCTTCCATTTCCCCCACCTCACCCCATTGCTAGCCACCTTCCAGAGTTAGGACACCAGTGAGCTTTCAATAGTGTCATTTAAGGGCAATAAAAACAACTTTGAAAAGATCTGCGTCCTTGTGTAAGACTGGAGAGAGCCCAGTAACAACCCTGTCTGTGATTCCTTTCTTTTAAAAGTTTGAGGCCAGGCGAGCTTGCTCACGCCTGTAATTCCAGCACTTTGAGAGGCCAAGGTGGGTGGATCACAAGGTCAGGAGTTCAAGACCAGCCTGGCCACGATGGTGAAACCCCATCTGTACTAAAAATACAAAAATTAGCTGGGCGTGGTGGCAGGTGCCTGCACTCCCAGCTACTCGGGAGGCCGAGGCAAAGAATTGATTGAACCTGGGAAGCAGAGGTTGCAGTAAGCCGAGATCGTACCACTGCATTCCAGCCTGGGCGACAGAGCGAGACTCTGTCTCCAAAAAAAAAAAAAAAAAGAGTTTGGATGTCAGAAGAGGAAAAGAGGACAAGGAGAAGGGGCTGCAATTGGAAGGTATGAGAGGCCACCCAGGACTCTGAATGCTGGTTCTGAAGTTGCATAATGGAATTCATTCCAGGCAAAAGAAAACAAAGCTCTATTTTCTCCTAAGTATAACCCATATCCAACTTTATACCATGAAGCTAAGGGCAACTCCAGCTCAGATACTCGACTCACTCTGCAGTGACTGTCTCATATTGCACTTGCCAGGATCTTAATGTTTTTTGTTGGCAAGTGGAAGCATATCCTTACATCCTGAACTATGACTATTTCACCAGGGGTTTATTTCTTTTGTAATATGTTCAGCAATTTTTGTTGTTGTTGAGATAGAGTCTTGCTCTGTCACCCAGGCTGGAGTGCAGTAGTGCGATCTCAGCTCACTGCAACCTCTGCTTCTCCTGTTCAAGTGAATCTCCTGCCTCATCCTCCTGAGTAGCTGAGATTACAGGCACACGCCACCAGGCCTGGCTAATTTTTGTAGTTTTAGTAGAGATGGGGTTTCACCATGTTGGCCAGGCTGGTCTCGAACTCCTGACCTCAAGTGATTCGCCTGCTTCAGTCTCCCAGAGTGCTGGGATTACAGGCATGAGCCACCATGCCCAGCCAATATGTTCATCATTAGAAAGGCTATTCAGGCCGGGAGCGGTGGCTCACGCCTGTAATCCCAGCACTTTGGGAGGCTTTGGGAGGCTGAGGCTGGCGGATCACGAGGTCAGGAGATTGAGACCATCCTGGCTAACACGGTGAAACCCCGTCTCTACTAAAAACACACAAAAAAATTAGCCGGGCATGGTGGCGGGCGCCTGTAGTCCCAGCTGCTGGGGAGGCTGAGGCAGGACAATGGCGTGAACCCGGGAGGCGGAGCTTGCAGTGAGCCGAGATCACGCCACTGCACTCCAGCCTGGGTGACAGAGCGAGACTCTGTCTCAAAAAAAAAAAATAAAAATAAAAATAAAAAAGAAAGGCTATTCATTAATTTTGTGAATGTTTCCATTTTTCCTTATGTTTCTACTCTCGAATTGATTTGCATACAAATTTCAGTGAGGAAATCATTTATGAGAAGATTAATATTATTTGTCAAGATTGATTTATTTGTCCCTGACTGGCCTGTTTTAACAACATACCCTTCTTTGTTCTGCCTTTGAATGGTTTGGCTGTTTCTGAAACATTCTCTGGGCTATATCTTTATCCTCATGTCATATATTTGGAGATATTCAGATAGTTGTGTCATTAATTTTGAATCGTATAGCCATGAGTATGGTGTGATTTCAAATCTGTTCTATGACTATTCCAGTGGCTTAAACCAAATCTTCAGTTAAAGACCAAAACCTGGCTAGGATTTTTATCTTTGTCACAAATCCTCAACTGGATGCTACAAACACTCTGTGGAAGCCCATTATAAAGCTGCTTTTTAGACAATCACTTTGTTCTAGCTACCGCTTGCCTGGTTTTGAGAACACTTCTGGGTCACCTGCTAAGTTGCTGAGACCACAGAAACTTCTCCTGAGTACAAGAGGAGGACTAAGCACAGGTCTACTTGACTCCAGATTTCTTAATCTCTAAGGTGAGTTGCCATAAAAAATTTTGAACCATAAGAACTTTACAGCAAAAGAAAAACTAACACTAACAATTTCATCAACATAAAGCACCTCAAACTTACTTCCGATCTATGTGATTAAACTATTGCTAAGAGGTGTGAATGTACAATTGCATGTTCTGATATTTTTATTAAGACTCTTATTCCGAGTTATTCATGTCAACATTACATTCACATCCTTGATATTCATATAATTCATCTAACATTGTGTAATTCATATAACGTGGTTTTACTGATAGGCCGTGATATTTCTTGTAATTCATTTGTTATTGTGTATTCATTATGTCTTATTTCCAATTAATAGGATTCTTGGCTTTAGCAACAAAAACCACAAAATGATCATTTGGCCTCAAGCCACAAGCTGAGAATTACTTAATGGCTTAGCTTTGAGTTGAGAAAGGGTCTTGTGGACCTGAGAACCTTTTTCCAAGCTGGATACATGTTAGTAAGCAGTTTAAAGGCAGCCTTAAAAAAATTAAAAACAAAACAACAAAACAAAGAATATACAAATAACAAATAGCATCTCTTACTTTAACACAAAGTGACCAAATATTATTTGTATTTATTATTTTACATTCCAACCTAGTGTTTGTACATATCCATACAATGTACACATTTTACAACTTGTAATTACACTGTACATGCAATTTACAACCTGCTTTTTTCATTTTACATGAAACCACAAATAGAGGCTTTAAAATCATTATTTTAAGTGGCCGAATAATATAACAGTAAGAAGCTATTGCAAATAAAGCTGTGGTCTACTTTCCTATTTGTATCATTTAAAAAATTCTGTTGCATTATTTCCTGGAATCAGGATCAAAAGGTAACACATTTCATGATACCTAAACATATTATAATGTTGCTTCCCAATATACAATGATGAGTTTAGCAAATATCAATATACAAAGTATGACCGGGCACAGTGGCTCACACCTGTAATCCCAGCCCTTTGGGAGGCCGAGGCAGGTGGATCACTTGGGGTCAGGAGTTCGAGACCAGTTTGGCTAACATGATAAAACCCTGACTCCACTAAAAATACAAAAATCAGCTGGGTGTGGTGGCAGGTGCCTGCAATCCCAACTATGCAGGAGGCTGAGGCAAGAGAATCGCTTGAACCTGGAAGGCAGAGGTTGTAGTGAGCCGAGATACTGCACTCCAGCTTGGGTGACAGAGCAAGACTCCATCTCAAAAGAAAAAATATATATATACACACACACACACGTACATGTATGTGTATATACATATATACACACATATATACATGTATGTGTATATACATATATACACGCACATATATGTATATATGTATATATACACGTATATGTATATACACACATATGTATATGTATATACACACATATATGTACATGTATGTGTGTATATACACACATACATGTATATATACACACAAAGTATGAGTTTATCCGTTTTTTAACAATTTTGATAGCACTAGATGTTACCATCAAAACATATTCTGGAGCTTGCATGCTGGCAGGGGCCTGTAGTCCCAGCTAATGGGGAGCCTGAGGCAGGAGGATTGCTTGAGCCCAGGAGTTGGAAGCTACAGTGTGCTATGACTGCACCTGTGAATAGCCACTGCACTCCAGCCTGGGCAACACAGAGCTCGCATCAGCAAAAAACAGTCAATCCCCCAAACCCTCCAAAACTAAAATAACGTTTTCTAGGGTTAGCTTAATAGTTGTAAAATAACCCTGCTGCATGATCAGACATGGATATTATTGCTATCGGATAGTGAATAAATGACCCATGGCTGCCTTAAACAATCTTGTATTCAGTTGGAATAATTTGTCAAAAGAACAGCTTGCCTTTCTGTGTGTGGCCTAGACTGGTAACGGTAATGCAAAAAAACATTAAGATGCTGTAAGATGAACAATCTACTGTTTAGCAATGAGTATCTTCGTATTATTTTTATTTGGCTTGTGGGGTTGTGGAGGGAGTTAAGGCCTCTGACTAAACACTAGAGGGTAGTCCTGGCTACCGAATAGCTCTGCCCTTTCTTCCCATTCATGTTTCCTTAGTATTGTCTTGGGGAAACTGGCCGTGACACCAATGCACGTGGCTTAATACATGCTGCTTGATTGACTTTTTGGCACGATAGTTTCAGGCGATCCGAAATGCAAAGGGATGTTCAGCCCTTGGAGACTCATGTTCCCTTTCCTTTTCTTCCAGTAATGCACTACTTGGGTATTTTCAGGAACAAAAACATCAAAAGAGTTTTCAGTAGAGGATAGGCTGATGCTTACATAGAACCTCAGGCAGCTCTCTATGGAGGATTGTGCAGCAAACCGAGGCGGCAAGGATTGCTGAAGGGCACAGGAGCTGAGCTGCAGGCCTTGGCATTTGGGGATCTTAATGCTTTTGTGGATTGGAATGGAGGCTGGGCCGGGACGGGATCAAAAGTAGGCTGAGCAGGCCAGGCAGATATAGTCACATTGGCCTCTGGGAGGGATGGAAAGCAAAGGAGAAGGAAGCAGTCTTGAGCCCCCAGAGGCAGGACTGACCATCAGAAGAGAGGAGGCAACATGGCCCCGCTAAATAATTAGAACAAGAGTTTGTCCTAATTCTAGGTAGCCTGTTTTTCTGAGGAGCTCAGAAGATATGATCTCATTAGCCCTGAAAGTCAGGATAACTGACAGTTAACCTTCAGGATAACTTCCTCTGGTGCCATTTTGTCCCCCTGAGTAGGACATCAAGTTCCCAACAGCGGAGGGTCACGGGGCTGCACAGGAGCGGGCACCATGTTTAAGTCTCATGCAGTGAGTTGACCGTGGTGGTGTGGGGTCTCTCTTGGTCTGTCTGTGGGCTGAGGTGAGGCTCAAGAGCACCAGCCTCCCATAAACTCAGGTCTTCCCCAGAGCCTTGAAGCCTTTTCAGTGTTCGATCTGAATTTCTCTTGGATCTATCTTCAAACAAATTCAGGGTTTTCCTACATTAAAAACAAACAAAATCCCTTCAATCACTCTCCCCTCCACCTGCCATACCCTGGAGCTAACTTTCTGTCTTTATCGTTCTCCCCAACATCAAGGAAGATGGAGCTTTATAACATTAAGAGATTTGAAACAATGATGATTGTCCTAGCTGTTGACATGAACTGTGGTTTAGTTTTGCAAAAGTTGGGCTCAAAACATTGAAAACAGCATTTGAAAACTATTTAATTACATATAAAAATTCTTCAGATATAAGTTCAGTGAAACAATCAGGAATAAACCTGCATATAAAGTGTGATTCCAATTAAAAAACCCAAACCTCCCTAATATATGCAGAGAAAAAATGTCTGGAGGGAACTATCCCGAGATGTTTATAGTGTTTATCTCTGGGGGTGGGAGGATGGGAAATGTAAGTTTTCTTTATACTTCCTTAAAAACGTTTTGCAATAAATTGCTATGAGTTTTTATAATCAGAAAAGGGCTGTATTGTTATGAAGCTGTCTTATCTCGTCCACTTCCTCCCACTGACTACGTCCTTAACTAACCTAACCCTTGCATTTCACTTCCCATTGCGACGTCTCTGCAGAAATGGTTCTCTCCAGGGTCACAAATGGTCACCTGCTTATTTCATGTAGTGTGTGTGTGTTTGTTTTTTTTTTTCCTCCCTCAACTTCAGCCTACCCCAGTGAAGATCATTTCTACCTTCTTCACTGTCTTCTAAACATTCCCAGCCGGGTGGCACACGGACCTAATTTTCACAATATTCAAAACAGAACAAATACTCTTTATTTACCTATCTCAGTCTCTCCTGTTCTCCTTCCCAACCCAAATATCCTTCTCATTTTAAACTTTCTGGCTGGGTGCAGTGGCTCACGCCTATAATGCCAGCACTTTGGGAGGCTGAGGTGGGCAGATGACCTGAAGTCAGGAGTTCGAGACCAGCCTGGCCAACATAGTGAAAACCTGTCCCTATCAAAACTACAAAAGAATTAGCCAGCCATGGTGGCACACACCTGTAATCCCAGCTACTTGGGAGGCTGAGGCAGGAGAATCACTTGAACCTGGGAGGTGGAGGTTGCAGTGAGCCGAGATCGTGCCACTGCCCTCCAGCCTGGGTGACAGAGCGAGACTCCCTCTCAAAAAAATAAAAATAAATAAATAAAATTTCTAATGTGTCATTACCTTGTTTACATAGACCTGGACCTGAAGTAGCAGGCCCAGTCTGACACCTCCCTCTTCCCTGTTTTCTTCCCCATCCACTCATTTGCCAAGTCCTCTGAATTCTACTTCTGTAGTTTCTCTTTCACCAAACCACCCGTTGTTTGTTCTCACTGTGTCTCTTCTAGCTCAGAAACTCCCTGTCTGATCTCTGGATCATGCCGAGTATCCTAACAGTTTTCTTTGCCTTTAGTCTTTCGCTTGCACCAATCATCAATCCACCCACTGCGGAGGACGACAGCCTGGCTCTGGGCGGATTTCTACTCTGTGCAGAAATCTCCATGGTCCTCATGGCCTGCTAAACCCCAAACAGGTTTCTTAGGTTTTCCTAGGCCGAACTATCTCTTTCAGTTTTGTTTCCTGCCGCCTCCAATCCAAGCCTGTCGGTCTAAGCAGAGCGCACACTGTTACCCTGAAAACAAATGTGAACCTGAAAGAGCTATTCCTTCGAGATGGATCCTGAGTGGCTAACTGGACCTATTTTATTTATTTATTTATTTATTTATTTATTTATTTATTTATTTATTTATTTATTGATAGGGGTTTTGCTACACTGCATAGGCTGATCTTGAACTCCTGAGCTAAGGGAGTCTTCCCACCTCGGCCTCCTAAAGTGCTGGTACTACAGGCCTAAGCCACTTTGCCGAGGCCTGGACCTATTTTAAATAAAGTCAGGCAGCCATTTGCTGACTACAGGTCACATGTGTACTCTGAGTTCCTCAAAAACCCACATTCCTACTTAACTTTAGGACTTTCAGAGTTCACCTGAATCAATCAATCAGAGCTCACCTGCCTTGGCCTTTCAGGGCTTAGTTTTATCAACCTATCAGGTTTCAGCTGTATCTACCAATCAGAACTCACGTGTTGACCAATCAGAACTAAGTAAGTTTGAATTCTGCATTTGGGTAAGTAGACCTGATTGGGAACCTGGGTGAGAAATTTGGCTATAAAACCTGAACTCTCGGCAGGGTGTGGTGGCTTACCCCTGTAATCCCAGGACTTTGGGAGGCTGAGCTGGGTGGATTACCTAAGGTCAGGAGTTCGAGACCAGCCTGGCCAACATGGCAAAACCCTGTCTCTACTAACAACACAAAAATTAGCTGGGCGCAGTGGCAGGTGCCTGTAATCCCAGCTACTAGGGAGGCTGAGGCAGGAGAATCGCTTGAACCTGGGAGTCAGAGGTTGCAGTGAGCCTGGGTGACAGAGTGTGACTGTCTCAAAACAAACAAACACAAAAAAAACAAAACCAAAAACCTGAACTCTCCCTTTGTTCTCTGGGTCGCACCTTCACTTTAAATGGAAGGCTACGTCTCTCCTGTTCGCAGACTATTCAATGGAATAATCTTTTTCCTCCAAATTCCTTTTCAGAGACCTTCTGTTCAAAATCCAAACATTCTCTACCAAATGCTTGCTTTCTTGTGCCATTCAGAGAATCACAGATTCAGAGGGGACCAGGGTTAACATGTTAAATTCCTTCTGTCATTCTTTCTTGTCCAATGTCTTTTGAGTAAACTCCAGCTTGTTCATGACCCTTTAAAATTTGGTTCCTAGAACTAATTTCAGCATTCCGAGTTCAACATGCTTTTGTCTGGGAAGGGCATTGGAGATGAAGAGTTGATGCTGGAAACGGAGACTGATTATTCACAGAGACTTCCATTTGGCACTGAAGTAGCTTGCCTGACCGTGAGTATGAGACTCTGATCCCCAACAGAGGTGCAAGGATATAAAAACATGTCTAATAGTCTGAGGTGGCTCAGACGAGAAGAATGAGGTCTCTGAGAGGAACTCACTGTGAGAACAAGAAGAGATGAGCTCAAGCCACCCTCAGCATTGGGTCCACAGGCTTGGAGGAGTAGATACTACTGGTTATGGAATTCATTAGGACCTAGCCAGGCTGGGGTAGGTGGAGATGGTGGTGTGAGGCTGGTAATTCTGATTATGTGGATGTGAATTACATGGATGGTAACATTTGAAGACACTGGCATCTTTGCTGTGGGATGCCCCATGCGTAGGGAGGGAGTATTTTCTGTCTTATTTCATTAAACAGGTCACAGCACCATAAAAATGAGAGACTGGCTGTGGTGGAAATTTCCTTTGCAATTAGTACTGAAGTCATTGGTTATAGAATCTTGTCTCTTGGATTGAGTATAAAAGTTCCCATCCTCTCATCAAGAAGTGAGGAGAGGCCAGGTGTGGTGGCTCATGATTGTAATCCCAGCACTTTGAGTGGCTGAAACAGGAGGATCACTTGAGTCCAGGAGTTCAAGACCAGCTGGGGTGACATAATGAGACTCAGTCTCTACAAAAAATTAAAAAATTAGGCCGGGCACAGTGGTTCACACCTGTAACCCCAGTACTTTGGAAGGCTGAGGTGGGTGGATCACTTGAGGTCAGGAGTTCAAGACCAGCCTGGCCAACATGGTGAAACCCCGTCTCTACTAAAAATACAAATACAAAAATTAGCAACGTGTTGTGGCACGTGCCTGTAATTACAGCTACTCATGAGTCTGAGGCAGGAGAACTGCTGAACCCAGGAAGCGGAGGTTGCAGTGAGCCGAGATTGTGCTAGTGCACTCCAGCCTGGGCAACAGAGCAAGACTCTGTCTCTTAAAAAAAAAAATTAGCTGGGTGTGGTGGCGCACATCTGTAGTCTCAACTACTACTCAGGAGGCTGAGGTGGGAGGATCACTTGAGCCCAGGAGTTTGAGGCTGCAGTGAGCTATGATGGTGCCACTGCACTCTAGCCTGGGTGACAGAGCAAGACCCTGTCTCTGAATTTAAAAAAAAAAAAAAAAGTGAGAAGAAATCCAGAGTGAATTCTGGACACTTTTAAGCTCATCTGGAGACTCTTGGAGATATCCAGGGAAAGAAATTCTAGGAATAGGCTGGACTTCTTGTGATACAAACCTATGGAGATAAGGAACATTGAGATCTGGAGTGGTATTTCAAGGTGGTCCTCGTGTTCACTTACAGGCTGGTGAGGCCAGAGATACCAGTTACACAAGTAACATTCTCCCAAAAGATTGTGAGCTCTGTGAGTATAGGGTTATGTCTGACTTCTCATTATAGCAAACCTAATGCCTAACTCTTAATAGGCACTTCATCAAGGTTATGAAGGGATGAGTGAATGAATAATTAAATGAATAAGGAGTGTGATTGATATAGAACAGGAAATATGGTCAACTTTTAAAAATAATAATATTAATTATTTTATTAATTTGAGAGGGGTCTCACTGTGTTGTCCAGGCTGGTCTCAAGCTCCTTGCTCAAGCGATCCTTCCGCTTCAGCCTCCTGAGTAGCTGGGACTACAGGCCTGCACCACTGTGCCTGGCTGATCATCTGTATTTTAGAGTCTATCTTTCTATTCATGCAGCCCAAGACTGCATGGGTGTTTGTGGGTGCTATGTTACATTCATTCATGATTGACCCTGATCTTGCTGTAGACTGGGGTTTTAAACTGAAGTGTGTTTGTGAAGCACTTCAAAAAACATATGGTTGTCTGGGTCTACTGAGTCAGAATCCCCAGTGCATGGGGCCCAGGCTTGTATATTCCACTGGGTTCATCCGGTTAAACCTCTGCTGTGGCCTGAAGCACCGACGTAGTTTTCACAAGCATGGCTGCCACATCCTATTTCCTTCCTTTCTATGTTTTTGTAGTTAAATTTTTGAACTCCTGCTAAATTTTGTCTTGTCAGTTTTAGCTCATTGCACTAGCTCATCAACCTCTTTTTGATCATGCTTCTGTCATTTATTATATTAGCTATTTCCCCTTGGATTTGTGTCACATGCTAATTAGATAAACTTGCCTTTTTTATCTTTAGGCAAGTCATTGAAAAACATGGGGAACATAAAAGGGTTAGGATTGCAATGGACTCATCAATTAATACCCAGAAAGAAAATGAGCTTAAACATTTTTTTTAAACGCAATTTCTTCCCACTTGCAAATGCAGTTTAGAGGAAAATAATGCTGGGACACAGTGTGGAGATTTAATCTGTATTTCCAGCTTTCCCAATAAATATTTCTATGACCTTGGGAAAGTCACTTACTCTTGGGTATTACTTTCTGTCTGAGGAAAACCATGGGGAGGAGAGATTAGTGCTTTGGGCTGACCCAAGTCCTCTCTTTCTGTGGTTTCCTCTCTGAACCTGCCTCAGTTCCATTTATTCCTTCTAGTACCTCAGCCTGACGTGGCCCCTGCTATCACTATGCCTGGCCAGCAGGACATAATTTCCCTGCTGTCAAGTCTGGTGTAGACAGATCACTTGTTCCTTCATACCAGCCTGGATAGGGTAGACATTTTTCAAAAGAACTTTTTTGATGGGGCGTGGGAAGGGAAGAACCCTAAGGAAATAGACAGGAAACTGTATGAACAGAGAAACGGGGGATATTATTCATGCAGTGAGGACTTGTGGAATTTCTGTGATGTCAATCACAGTGTCAATTACTGTTTTGGGTCCTGGGAATACAGCAGTGAAACAAAGTTCCTGCCCTGATGGAGCTGACATTCTGTAGTTGGGAGAGAAAGCTAACACATCATCAGATACACCAGGTGGTATAACTGTTCCCGAGAAAACAAAGTCTGGTAAAGGAGATGGGAGTGTGGGTGGGCAGTGTTATTTTATGTAGGGTGTTGAAGGAAGTCCTCTTTAATTAGCTGACATGGGTGCAGCGATCTGGAGGACGTGAAGGGGTGCTGGGGACATAGTGAGATGGGCACAGAGTGGGAACCTTGAGGACAGAGATTGCCCGTGTGGTCTATGAGCAGCAAGGAGGTAGGGGCAAGGGGAAGATGAAACCTGGAGGGAGGAGATGGAAGAGGTGGCAGAGGGCTGGGTTGCTTAGGCCCTTGTAGGGCTTTGGATTTCACGCTGAGTAAACTGAGATGCCATTGGAGAGTTTTTGAATAGAAAAGTGTCATCTGACTTAGGCCTTTAAGGGAGACCAGTTAGGGGGCCAGGGAACAGAGTGGAGGTGGAAAGGGGGTAAAATGGTTCAGATTGGGAATGAATTTGAACTTGGAAGTTCTGCCAGTGGGATGCGCTGGTGGGTTTTATATAGGATGTGTGTGTATGTGTGTCTGCGGGAGGCAGGAAGGCAGAGAGAGAGAGAGAGAGAGAGAGAGAGAGAGAAAGAGAGAAAGAGAGAGGGAAACTCCAAGACTTTTTATCTGAGCAACTGGAATGATGGAGTTGCTATTTGTAGGAAGGTTTGGGAGTGAGCATGAATTTGATCTTAGACACATTAAGTTTGAGATGATTTTTCAACATTTGAAGGAGTCAGGGTTTGGTTTGGAAGACAGAAACCACTATGACTGTGTCAAGGAGAATCCGTATCTCCAAGGGGAGTGTTCTAAAATGAAACCTACACGCGCCCTGTCTCCTGAAATCTGTCCTAATCTCCACGTATTCATTCTGACTCATTATTTTTGCACAGAACATCCTTATTTACCATGTATTTACCACCCACCAAAGGCCGATCTTCCCTTTAGAGAAGGCTGACTTTGACTTTGTTCAGCTGTGATTTTTTTTTTTAATGAACTGGTCCCTATCACAAGCATTCCTGACAGAGGTTGGGCCAATCTGATGGCTGATAGAAGACTTCTGGGCTTTTTCTTAATTCAAAACTGAAGTCTCTGCCTGCCTACTAAACTCTCATTTTCTGTTAGAGGATTACTGCTACCGCTACCTCATTTGCAGAGTAGAGGTGACTAAGATACCATGAGCCTGAGCCGAGTATCTTTGCAGAGGTAATCACCTCCCCAGTTGCCCTGTGGTGACTCAGAAGAGTGCTCACATTTAGCTGGGCATGGTGGCTCATGCCGGTAGTCCCAGGAGGCTGAGGAGGGAGGATCCCTAAGCCCCAGAGATGGAGGTTGCTGTGAGCCGTGATAATGCCACTACGTGATCATAATCATAATTCTGATTATGTGGATGTGAATTACACGAATGGTAATTACACTGGTAATTACACTGCACTCCAGCCTGGGTGACAGAGTGAGACTCCGTCTCAAAAATAAATAAATAAATAAATAAATAAATAAATAAATAAATAAATAAAAATAAAAATAAAAATGCTCCTTCATCCCTCCCCTGCCTCCCATTGCCACCAGAATCTGGACACTGCATGTTTCCAATAGAAAACTATTTTGAACAAGGTCTAAATAAGATAAGAATAGGGCCAGACATGGTGGCTCATGCCTGTAATCCGAGCACTTTGGGAGGCTGAGGTGGGCGGGTCACTTGAGGTCAGGAGTTTGAGATCAGCCTTGCCAACATGGTAAAACTCCGTCTCCACTAAAAAAAATACAAAAACTTAGCTGGGCGTGCCTTAGTCCCAGCTACCTGGGAGGCTGAGGTGGGAGAATCGCTTGAACCTGAGAGGTGGAGGTTGCAGTGAGCTGAAATTGTTCCACTTCACTCCAACTGGGGTGATGGAGTGTCTCAAAAAAAAAGAATTGACATATTCATATTTCATTCTATAAATGGGGGAGGGAATGAGCTGTCATTAGGATAGACAGCATCCCAGGATTTGAGTATCAAGGGTCATATAATCACACAAGCATTAAAGAAAAAAAGAGAAGGAAAAGAAAAAAGCAAAAAATAGAGAATATGATTTTTTACCTTGATTCTAAGGAGGACTCTGTAATTAGAATAAGATGATGCCTAAGACATCAAGTAAACCATTTCTCTGGCTCAGGTGAGGTTGGGATTCATAACATTTTACCTCCTACCCCTTTTGAGTTTTATTCCTTTAATTCTCTCTGAAGGTGTTAATGAACAGTGAATTGCTTAAGGGTACACTTGCTGACAAGGAAGAATAAAGGCAGGAAACCAATGACAACAGGGAGTTTCAAAAACTGTTAGGAGCAAATTATAAATGAAATCTTCTGTAGAACCTCAGATTAAATAGATTAAAGCGGGGCTGTTTTTCTCCGGCTCCTACTAACTCTCCCACTCCCGCCCTATCCCATTTGTTTATTTTTGCAACTGTTGTTGGCCTTTTCCTTGAAGTCCTCCAGAGAAGAAAGTTCTATATACCCTTAAGCCATGGATTATTAAGGGCCGAGAGATGACTGAGTAATCTTGGAGGTGTTTTTCTTCCTCTAGAAGGGTTTCCTCCAAGCCTAGGGCCTTTCACTGAGAAATCAAGAGCCAGGTAGAAAGAACCTGGGCTGAAGCTAAACATGGGTTTAGGATCTGTGGACCCCAAGCCATATGTTGCCAGTGCCAACTTGAGAGTGAGCATTTGAGGTTCCATTCACCTTGTGACTGAGAAGGTAGTGTAGGAGCATGCAAGTAACAGAAGGAAACAGAGGGGATATTTACACTACACCCCTGACCTTTGCAGAAAGCCTAGTCTTTTTCTTCCCCTAATTCTCCAGAGTTCTCTGTCTTTGCACCCACTCCATCTTAGACTCATCATTCTATTAATAATTGTTTTTTACTGTGAAAGTGCGCACATGGCTCCCAGATGGTGGTTTGAGCCTCACATCAACAGAGTGGCCTGACAGTGATGGCTTCAGCTTTGAGCAGAGAGGAGGGTGATGGGCTGTGACTCACTCTAGGAGTTTCCATCATCTGCGCTGGCCAGTCAGCCCATCCATTATCTGTGGTTTGTCTCATCCTGCCTAAGCCTATTAGCTCATCTCTTTTTGCCAACTTGACATTCGGTTCTCTTCCTTTGTTCGACTCCCTGGGACTGTCTGCCGCATTACCTTCTTATGTGCTCATTGTCCCATACGGTGTCATTTGCAGATAATAGTAACATGCCATTTACGAGCTCCTGGATCACTAATAAAAATGTTAAATGAGTCAGAAGGTGACACCTCGCTTTTGCCATCTGCAGCATGTTGACATTTGTCATTACCTTTTAAGGCAGAAACCAGAGCCTGCAATCGTAGCAGTCTAAACTAGACCCACTCAAACTTGACTATCAGCATCACAGTGACAACACCCTCATTAGCCATCATCATCAGTCTCATTCACCCACAGTGGTGGCCTCTGGAGCACTCACGGAGCTGACCAGGGTGAAGAAAGAGAAGGGGAGCAAAGGGAGTTACGGGATCTGGGCGGATGGTGCCAGATCTGAGATTCAGTGGGTTTGGCTCTCTGGATACTTAGAGTCTGCAAGTAAATATCAGTGACATGTTGTCATGTTGTCACCAGGACAGCTTGGTGAAGGATGCACTGGCACAGGGCTAGCTCTGCTGGGTCATTTGAGATGCAAAGCAGATTATTTTTGGTTAGAATTATCTGGCTGCCCTGCCTACTGTGATGAATTGATACTTTAGCATATACATAATCCAGAGACTTATAGAATATTAGTTATCTTATTTCCAGGGCTGAACTATTAAGTACTGATTTAAACATCCTTATTTGTCAACTCTGTGGTTTGACTTTTCTTTCTCTTTTGTTTTTAGACAAGGTCTCACTCTGTCTCCCAGGCTGGAGTGCAGTGGTGTGATCACAGCTCACTGCAGCTTTCACCTCCTGGGCCTAAGCAATCCTCCTACCACAGCCTTCCTAGTAGCTGGGACCACAGGCGTGTGCCATCACACTCAGCTAAGTTTTAATTTTTAAAGAAATAGAGATGGGATCTTACTATGTTACCTAGGCTCATCTCAAACTTCTGGGCTCAAGTGATTCTCCCACCTTGGCTTCCCAAAGTGGTAGGATTACAGATGTGAGCCTGGTTGACTTTTCTCTTTTTCATAAGTTATTCTGATTTTTTTAAAAATTTATTTTTGGTCTGGGTGCAGTGGCTCACATCTGTAATTCTAGTACTTTGGGAGGCCGAAGTGGGAGGATCTCTGGAGCCCAGGAGGTCGAGGCTGCGGTGAGCTGAGATTGCACCACTGCACTCCAGCCTGGGTGACAAAGCAAGACCCAGTCTCAAAAAAATACATATTTTTGGATCTTCTCATTAATTCACTACTTTCCTTAGTTATTAGCTTGACTTTATTTCTCAATAGGAAATTCTCTCTTTTTTTTTTCTGGAAAATTGAACTTACTCCCCCTGTGTGTTTAACTCTGAACTGTATACATTGGTAGAACACAATCTTACACGTTTCCATGTACCGTTCATTTTTGGTGTGTATTATTCTTTCCTCTATATGGGTTTGAGTGATCCTTTGAAAGTTCATGCTGCAGGTGTTATTTCTCAGGACAACTGAAATTTCACTTTGTAATTTTCTAGTTTGGTTTCTACACTTTTGATGGATTCCAGGGTGAGCTGTGAGTCTTTTCCTTTTTTTCACCAGAGAAGGAAATGAGACATTGACATAATGACAGAAATGTATGAAGCGAGATAATGGTGACATCATAGTGACAACGGCTGTGACAGTGATGCAGTCCCTGTCACGGAGAATTCTGGCAAGCCACGGTCATCGGGTGGTGTTGCGCTGGGAAAGTGAAGCTAGAGAAATTCTGAAATCAAGGACTGGTTTATGTGGAGCACTAGAACTTGGAATGTCTGTGCAGGGAATCTGAAAGCAGGAAAAGAGAATTTTGGAATCAGCAGCCATACACATCACACTTATCATTTCTTGGAACAGTTTCTTGGAAAAGGCAGTAACACAGGCAGGAAGAGGGTGAAAAATCAGCCTCTATGAACTTTTAACCATTTATTTAACTACAATTGATTGTGCCAGGCATTGAATTAAATGCTGTCCCTGCATTAATAATAATAATTTATTAAAAAGTGATGGTAATAATATTATTATTATGGAGAATAATAATTCGCAACAATCCTCCATCAATCCATTCAGCTTAGAGAGGTTAAGTAATGAAAGCTTTCCAAGGTCACACATAAGAGGAAGAGCTTGAATATGATCCTATTTGACTGCAGAGTTCAAGCTGTTACCATTAATTTAAATGTTACAGATGCAGAGATGAATTAGATGATGTTGGCCCTCAGAGATCTTATCATCAAATGAGAAGGCAATGGAGTTCATGCAAGCACATTTTAAGAATAGTGTGATAAGAGTTATGATAGAAGCATGCACAGGGATTATTGGGGTACAAAGAGGTGCATATACAATTCTACATAACAGGGGCATTGAGTCAAGGTATCAGGATGGTGCAAAAGTAATTGCGGTTTTGCCACTGCTAATGGCAAAAACCGCAATTACTTTTGCACCAATCTAATGGAAGGAAGGGGAGATGAGCCAGGTCTTTAGAGATGGCTTGGCCAGAAATTGTCATCAGACCACCTTTCTAGACTTTCCTTTGACTCCGAAGTCACCAGGCAATCTTGGATTTGATTGCACTTTCAGGACGGTGCCTTTAATTCAACAAGTGTTTATCCAACACCTGCTCCACAAAACGCTCTTTGCTGGAAGTTGAGTGGGAATACATAGAAAAGAGAAGACTCGGCCTTGGCTCTGCAGTAGACAGCACCAGAGAAGGAGGAATGCAGATGTGCAAAGCTCAAGCAGTTCAGAGCAGAGGGAGGTGGGTGTGGGTGGGTCTCTCGGAAATCTCCGTGGTGAAGGCAGCTGCGGGGACCTGAGGCAAGAGTGAGAGGGGGTGAAATTGGGGAAGGGATGGTGCTCCTGGCTTGGGCACATGGCATGTGCAAAGGCCGGGAGCTGAGACGGACCATGCTGCTTTCAGAGGAGAGGTGAACTAGTCTGAGGCACAGGATTCTGCTGCTGGAAATGGGGGATGTCAGTGCGAGTAGGAGGGGAGAAGCCTGCTTCTGGAACTCCTTCCTGGTGTCAGGCCCAGGACGTTGTCCCTTCTCAACTGTGTTGCCTGCCAGCTGCCTGTGCTGCTGCAGAGCATGCTGCCTGCCCCAGTGGGGCTCTCACTTCTCCCCCAATCTCTGCCTGTGATTGACTGCCCTTCCCCCACCAACCCTACTGCCAGGTTGGGAGAGTCAGCTCCCTTTCACTCAGGTTGCCTGGTCACTGTCTTCTTAGCTAATTCCAGAGTGGCTTCAACTTCTTCTGGACTTGGTCCTTCTTATTCTTTTTTAGAGACAGGGTCTCGGCCAGGTGCGGTGGCTCACGCCTGTAATCCCAGCACTTTGGGAGGCGGAAGTGGGCGGATCACAAGGTCGGGAGATTGAGACCATCATGGCCAACACGGTGAAACCCCGTCTCTACTAAAAACACAAAAAATTAGCCAGGTGTGGTGGCATGTACCTGTAGTCACAGCTACTCAAGAGGCTTAGGTGGGAGGACTGCTTGAGCCTAGGAGTTAGAGGCCAGACTGGGCAACCTAGTGAGATCCTGTCTCTAAAAAATATTGTCAGAATTTAAAATTGTTTATTTACAGAATTGTAAGCATGTGGTGTATTCAAGAAAGATCTATTCCCATCCCAGCCTTAGCCTTGCTGTTGTCTCTGGTTCACCTTCCGTCCTTAGGGATGGAAGCCACATTTTGCTTTCCTAGGTGCCAGGATCATTTTAAAGCTGACCCAGGCTCAGATCTTTGTCTATGAGTATCTTTTCTCTGAGAGGAACTAGCAACATTTTCTTTCCTTTTCTTTTCTTTTCTTTTTTTTTTTTTTTGAGACAGAGTCTCACTCTGCTACCCGGGCTGGAGTGCCGTGGTGTGATCTCGGCTCGCTGCAATCTCTGCCTCCTGGGTTCAAATGATTCTTCTGCCCCAGCCTCCTGAGTAGCTGGGACTACAGGCGCACACCACCATACTCAGCTAATTTTTGTATTTTTAGTAGAGGTGGGGTTTCACCATGTTGGCCAGGCTGGTCTCGAACTTCTGACCTCAGGTGATTCACCCACATTGGCCTCCCAAAGTGCTGGGATTACAGGCATGAGCCACTGTGTCCAGCCTCTTTCTTTTCTTTTTTTGATTGTCATTTTTATTTTATTGGGAATTTATATTTTTAATTTTTAATTTTAATGGGTACATAGTAGGTATATATATTTATGGGGTATATGAGATGTTTTGATCCAGACATGCAATATATAATAATCACGTTAGGGTAAATGGGGTATCCATCACCTTAAGGCAGCAAACATTTTCTTGTTTGTGTTGTCTCTAGGTCAAGGCTGACTTCCTAGTCCATAGGTGAATCTAAGAGCAGGTTCTTCCTTCTGACCTAGAGAGCAGAGATTCCAAGCACCTCACTCCTTTGTGCCTCCCAAGGTCCAGTGGGAGAGGGGAGGGATCCCTGCCCCCAGAGGGGAAGGGTCATGACTTTTACTGCCCAGGCTGGGGATAGGCAGCAGAGAGGAGGGGAGTGAGTGCTGCCCCTTGGCCTTTGTTGGGCCCTGACTGATGGGCCAGCTTCCTCTGGTCAGGGGAGGAACTGCATTCAGAGATGGGTACAGTAGGTGTAACAGCAATGGCACCAGCAGACAGTGGCCCTCCCACAACAGCCTGGCAGGGAGGCAAGCAGGCTCGTATGGGGTTAGCCCAGGAGTGCCCAAGATCCTATGGGGCGCCTCAGGCTATGTGTGCACCACCACATGCCAGTCCTTTCAGCGTGAATCACCAAATCAACTGGACTCATAATTTATACTCAGCTTGGGCTGGGCACAGTGGCTCATGCCTATAATCCCAGCACTTTGGGAGGCTGAGGGAGGCAGATCACCTGAGGTCAGGCGTTCGAGACCAGCCTGGCCAACATGGTGAAACCTCTGTCTCTATTAAAAATACAAAAATTAGCTAGGTGTGGTGGCAGGTACCTGTAATCCCAGCTACTTGGGAGGCTGAAGCAGGAGAATTGCGTGAACCCGGGAGGCAGAGGTTGCAGTGAGCTGAGACTGTGCCATTGCACTCCAGCCTGGGCAGCAAGAGCAAAACTCTGTCTCAAAAAAAAAAAAAAAAAAAAGAAAGAAATTCACACTCAGCATCTGTGGCCCAAACTCTATCAATTACTTTATGATAAAATCACATCATGCTGTTTATTAATTAGTGCCTGTGGTCTCCAGTAGTTTAGGGGATAGGTGTGTGGCCAAGAGAAGACACCTCACTACATGGTAGCTATGGTTTGAATGGGGGTAACCCACAGTGCAGGGTGGGAGGGTGGTTCCTGGACCTAAAAACCAATACGTCAAGGTAAACTCAGCCAGGAAAGAAAAACGAGTCTACTGCCAAGTTCAAAGAGGCATGAATTGGGAGAGGATGATGTGGTGATGTTATTGCATGGTCTTTGAGCTTGTGGTCTGAACTTGCTTAGTAGACCATTTTATATTCTCTTCTCTAAAAAAAAAAAAAAATCAACATTTCCCAGGTGTTTGGCATCCTGCTAAATGCTTCACATGCATTATCTCCTTTAATCCTCTCATGAACCATATCAGTACTGTTCTCACTTGACAGATGAAGAAATTCCATGCTTATCCTGTACCTACAAATTCTTCATGCACCCGTTCCACTTGATGAAGCCCCAAAGACAACATCTTTGTGTTTGTGCTTCCCGTGTGGACAGCCAGCAGGTCTTGCTGCTGGACCTCTGTGCTGTGGTGGTGAAGTGAGTGCAGACAGCAAAGCAAACCACAGGGCAGCACAGGCTGCTGCAATCCTGAAGCAGGATCCTGGGGCTTCAGTTATATTGAGCTGTGAGCACTTGCAGACAGATATGGCTGTCAGTCCCCCTCTCCTCCAAAGCTCTGAGGGAACCCACGCTGAGTCTTCAGGGCCTGACATCTCAAGGATCTCCTGTCTGGGAAATAACAAAGTGGCTGCTCCTGGCCAAGCATGGTGGCCCACACCTATAATCCTAGCACTTTGGGATACTGAGGTGGGAGGTTCGCTTGAGGCCAGGTGTTTGAGACGAGTCTGGGCAACATAGTGAGACCCCGTCTCCATGAAATTTAAAGAATTAGCCGGGCCTGGTGGCATGCACCTGCAGTCATAGCAACTTAGAAGGCTGAGGCAGGAGGATCACTTGAGCCCAGGAGTTCAAGTCTGCAGTGAGCTGTGATGGCACCACTGCACTCCAGCCTGGGAGACAGAGTGAGACCTGTCTCTAAATGAACAATCAACAAACAAACAAAAACAAAGTGACTGTTCCTCCATCAAGGAGTCATGGTTAGTGGTTAGTATGAATATCTTGTATTCTCATCTCACTGCCACAAGCCACAATTTAGGGAATCTCCTTTACATTCAAGCATGATCACATATTCCCCATACGGGAAGAAGGGCAGACAAGGCTGCTGAGCCTCAGAAATAAAAGGATCTGCCTCATAGTTTACTGGCAAAGGAAGGAGTTTCTTCCCAGGTTTGACCACTTTTCACTCTACAAGTTCAATGTTTCTTAATCAACTTGGTTCAGATCTATACATGATGATTCAAGGTACTGTTGCAGTAAGATGCCATTTGTGTGCTCTTGGGAATGGTAGGGTGGGGTACAGGACATTGGGTGGAAGACAGGTTGAGAAAGACCCCTAGACAGCTGGCAGCCATCATCACCAAGAGAGATAGCAGAAAAACAAGTGGAAGCTTCAGTTGGGATTATGCGAGAAGAGAGGTCAACATTGGCACCAACCGGACCAGCGACACTCCTTCCATTTGCACACCTGGCTGTTAGCACAGAGAGTTAGAACCAGGACTCCAAGATGAAAAGAAGTTTGAGTGCTTCTTAAGAAATGAGCCAAGGACCTGGGCAGAGGGCAAGTCCAGGTTCGGAGTCCACTCAGACCTAACATCAGGGTAAACCCCACTTGCCCAGGCCAAGTGTATTAGTCAGCGTTCTCTAGAGGGACAGAACTAATAGGATATATGTATATATGATGGGAGTTTATTAAGGAGAATTGACTCAGACAATCACAAGGTAAAGTCCCACAACAGGCCGTCTGCAAGTTGAATAACAAGGAAGCCAGTGGTGGAACTGTCTGAGTCCCAAAACCTCAAAAGTAGGGAAACCAACAGTGCAGCCTTCAGTCTGTGACCAAAGGCCTGAGAGCCCTTGGCAAACCACTGGTGTAAGTCTAAGAGTCCAAAGCTGAAGAGCTGAGAGTCTGATGTTCGAGGGCAGGAAGCATCCGATACAAGAGGAAGATGAGGGCCAGAAGACTCAGTAAGTCTGCTCTTCCATCTTCTCCTGCCTGCTTTATTCTAGCAGTGCTGGCAGCTGATTAGATGGTGCCCAACCAGATTGAGGGTGGGTCTGCCTCTCGAAGCCCACAGACTCAAATGTTAATCTCATTTGGCAGCATCCTCACAGACACACCCAGGAACAATACTTTGCATCCTTCAATCCAATCAAGTTGACATTTGATATTAACCATCTGACTGAGTGTCCTGGAAACAAATACTCTAAGTTCAGTAAATCCCTCTCTTTCTCCTTCTTTCCTTTTCTCCCCCTTGTCCTCTTTTTTCTTCTCTGCTCCCTCTGTTGTAGCATTTTTTAAAAAATAGTATTTAGTTCTTGGATAAACTTTTCAGAAGAGAAACTGTGCCATAGATACCTGGACTAATTCATTTCCACACCTAAGGGGTGTGAACATCTGTGGTCTACAAAGAACATGGGTCTTCAACTCACCAGTGTGCAAAGTAAAAATCAAAGCAACACTCTCACCTTACTTCTATCCCCCCACTAATAATGTTTAAAAAAAATCTCAGATGGGCATGGTGGCTCATGTCTGTAATTCTAGCACTTTGGGAGCCCGAGATGGGGGAATCTCTTGAGCCCAGGAGTTCCAGACCAGCCTGGGCAACATGGTGAAACCCTGTCTCTACAAAAAATACAAAAATTAGTTGGGTGTGGTGGCACCTGCCTGTAGTCCCAGCTACTTGGGAGGCTGAGGTGGGAGGATCTCTTGAGTCAAGGAGGTTGAGGCTGCAGTGAGTCATGATCACACCACTGTACTCCATCCTGGGTGACAGAGCGAGACCCTGTCTCAAAAACAAACAGGTTGGTGCGGTGGCTCACGCCTGTAATCCCAGCACTTTGGGAGGCTGACGCGGGCAGATCACGAGGTCAGGAGATGGAGACCATCCTGGCTAACACGGTGAAACCCCGTCTCTACTAAAAATACAAAAAATTAGCCAGGCTTGGTGGCAGGCGCCTGTAGTCCCAGCTACTTGGGAGGCTGAGGCAGGAGAATGGTGTGAACCCGTGAGGCGCAACTTGCAGTGAGCTGAGATCGCGCCACTGCACTCCAGCCTGGGGGACAGAGCGATATTCCATCTCAAAACAAAAAACATAAAACAAAACAACAACAATAAACAAAACTCAACCTCAAACCATTTCATTAAAATTCATGAGAAAGTAGACATTGTATCAATGTTTCAGAAGTCATACATGTGATTAACTTATCCAAGCAACAAAAAGCAATCATATTACAAAACTATATTTAGCAATTCTCTCTCTCTCTCTCTCTCTCCCTCTCCCTCTCCCTCTCCCTCTCCTTCTCCCTCTCCCTCTCTCTTTTTGAGACAGGGACTTGCTATGTGGCCATGGCTGGTCTCAAACTCCTGGGCTCAGGTGATCCCCCTGCCTCAGCCTGTCTAGTAGCTGGGATTACAGGCAGGCACCACTGCACTCAGCTGGTTCTTTAATAAACACACCATGAATAGTGTTCTCTCAGGAGTCACTTCTAGAGACTCATGGGGTTACAGATCTTCTCTGAAGACTGTAGGACTTTGCAAGCATCAGGAGGCAGCCTGGATAGCGCCAGGCAAGAAAATGACCCATTGGAAAATGCTGAGTCCACATTTAATAACTAACATTTAAGGGGTGCCCGCTATATGCCAAACACTACACTATCATACTAACACATATAATTTTATTTAGTCATGAAACGGCATTGAGAGGCAGATATTAACAAAAAGGATCTGAGACTCATAGAAGGAATACAACCTGCCCGATTTGGCCCTGGCAAGTAAGTGGGAGCACTGGGCTTTGAAATGATGTCTTCTGAATTGAATTCCTGGGTTCTTCCTAGCCTACTGTCATTGCTTTGAATTCCTTGGACAAAATGACCCACAAAAGTACAAATCTTTACCTTCTCATTGCCTGTGTCAGCTATGGTGAAGAGAATAAATACAGGTGGGGAAGAGCCAAAAATCGGGTGCATTTGTAGATAGGTTGGTGCATGAAACAAACAGGAAGATATAAAGTCTTTTCTTCTTGGGTCATCAGACACTAATTAGGAGCAATGGATAACGATGCAAACCTATGAAGGCTTAATGCAGTTGCAAAGGGTTCACAATATGAAGCTTCAATGAAAGAGTGACTTTTTCCACAAACTTAATGGGGAATAGTTATTCAATACCTGGTACAAATGGTGAGGGTGAAGAAAGTTGTGATTTTTTTTTTTTAAGAAAAAAATTTGTTTTGCTGGGAAGTCATGAAGAAGCAATGTCATCTCAGAGACCTAATAAGGCACGATGGTCCTGGACTTAATGGCTGTGGGAGCTGTTCATTCGTGACCTCAGGACCGGGCTGCTGCTTCCTGAGAGTTATTCCACCCTGGAGTTAAGACTCCGCTGTGCTAGGACCACTGTGAAACCACAACACACACCTAGTGGTTCTATTTTCATGGACTGAGAAAAGCAAGTTGGAGCCACTTCCTGATCTGGCTGCCTTTGCCCAGAGTCTGTTCCCGGGGTGCGGCATGGGGGCTGTGACCCTGAGGTCCTGCCCTCTCCTTCTCCTAGTCCCAACCCAAACCGTGAACCAGAAAATGGAACCCTGGCCAGGCCTGGTCTGAGGGACCATGTTCACATTTGACATCTTTGTGACTCTGGCAGGTCACAGACCCATCCCTCTCTCCTTCCCCAGCCCCCTCAGAATCTCCAGGGTGCCTGTGGCTGAGGTTTGGGTCCTCAGGATGGGGCAAGACTGGGGCAAGTGTGGTGGCCCATCAGTGAAAGAGCCTGAGGGAGGGTGATGGAGTTTGGATGTTGTCCTCTCTGAATCTCATGTTGAGTTGTAATCCCCAGTGTTGGAGAAGGGTCCTGGTGGGAGGTGATTGGATCATGGGGGTGGAATTCTCATGAATGATTTAGCACCATCTTCTTGGTTCTGTCCTCAAAATAGTAAATGATTTCTCATGAGATCTGATTGTTTAAAAGTGTGTGGCACCCCCCACCATCTCTCTTGCTCATGCTCTTGTCTTGTGATGTGCCTACTCCTGCCATAACTAAAAACTCCCTGAGGTTCCCCAGCAGTTGAGCAGATGCTGGTGCTATGCTTCTTGTACAGCCTGCAGAACCATTAGCCAATGAAACCTCTTTTCATTATAAATTACCCAGCCTCAGTATTTCTTTAAAGCAATGCAAGAATGGCTTGACACAGAGAGCATAGCTGAAATTATTAGGAGAAAGTCAAAGACCAAAGTCATGAACACCAGCTTGAAAGTCAAATTAAGAGTTAAGCCATCCCCAGAATGTGGGACAAGGCTTGGAAGTGTGCAGAACTGGAGTGGAAGGAGAGACAGGTCAGGGTAAAGGGAAGCAGACTCCAAACTCTGTATGATTTCCCCACCTTGGAAATTCGTTGCTCTTCCTGACCCACCACAGGCGAGCCACCCTGGGCTTTCTTTCAATCCCTCACATATCCCAGGCTGGCTCTGCTCGCAGGACCTCTGCACCTGTTGTCCCAGCTGCCTGGAATGCCCTGTCCGATATTCTTCTTAGTACTTAGATATCAGCTCAGATGTGACCTCTCAGAGAAGTCTTTCTCATTCTCCCCAGATAAATGTAGTAACTTTACCTCCTAAGTCACAATTGCATTGCCCTAACTTCATAGTATCAATTACCGGTATTACAGTGCTGCATGTGTGTATGTATGGATGTCAGTGGTCTGTCTTCCCCAATGAGATGGAAATTCCAAGGGGGTGGAGACTTTGCTTTGTTCTATGCTATATCCCTAGCACCTAGGATAATGCCTGACACTTAGCAGGCACTCACTAGATATTGCTGAATGAATGGAGATCCTGGTTGATGGCTGGGACTGGTGTGGAAGTGTAAATGGCTGTCTGATTGGCTGCTGGCCATTGATCAAGGATCAAAGAAGTCTTTCTGCATAAATCTGGGGAAATCTGGGGAAGAAGGCGAGGACAAATTTTCATCTCATTTGGCTCAAAGTAAGAACCAGTCCCTGCTTCCATTGCAAAAGGGGAAGAGGAGCACTTGTCTGGGTGTAATCAGATCCTTGGGATGAACTGGTACTTGCTACGCTGGAACACCAAGTAGAAACATGGCCAGAGAAAACAGATTGTCTGAAAGCATCGTATGGAAGGCACTATGAAACTGAGACAGCCCTGTCTGAAATGTAGGAGCAGGGTTTGCACATAGGCTTATGTATTCGAATATGTGAGCTGCTATTACAAACTCCCAAACATATAATGACTCTAACAGAGTAGAAGCTAATTTCTCCCTCACTGTCATCTCAAACAGGTGTTCCTGGTCAGCAGGCAGTTCTCTTTTAGACAGCAACTAAGGGATGCGGGCTCCTCCATCAAGGCTGCATCAGCTTGACATGCAACTCCTACGGTTCCCATTTTAGGCTGCCTGAAGCCAGGAGAAGAGGAAGGAAAGGGTGAAGAAGGTGTACTAGCTTGCTAGTGGGCTCAGCCCAAAGGACACGTACCAATTCTGCTCCTGCTCCTCATTGTGGAGCAGGACAATGTACCCCACTACACACCAGGAAGCAGGAAGTATAGTTTTGGCTAAGCAGTCACTTCCCCTCATAACACCATGCCCTGGAAGGGGAAGCGTCTGTCGGGGCGGATGCTTAACCTCCCTCCCAGAGGTTTGCAGTGAGATTTTCTCAGGGATCACATTGCCCATTTACTACAGCATTAGTTTAAACTGGCTGTTCTATGGAGCAGAGCTGGTGGCCAGTGGGACTCATGACAAAGGCAGCCAGTGGAACACATGGATTATGCTTCTCAGTGGTTTGGCAGCTAGGGTTGTAGAGATTGGAGAGTGTGGGTGTGACAGGTGTGGCAATCTCCCACTGATGCCATCCCTGAACCTTCCATCTCTATCCCTTGGTTTAGCAGCCCAAACTAATCCGGTTCTAGGTCTAGCTTTCCCAGGTACCTGGGACCATTTCCCTCGAGTGTCTCTGGCACTTGCAATCTCTGAGTGGGTAGGCCCATGGAGGTCATTTTGCTCTCTGCTTCCTCTGTCCCTCAACCCAACCCCCTACCTGCCAGTGTTCTGAGAAGGGAGCAGACAGGATGTGCTATTCCACATCAGAAAAGTGGTTTTCCTCTCCCTAGTTCATCAACCAAATGCAGGAGAGGAAAGGATCAACATTAACATGGGCATCTGAACATGAACAGCAGTTGAAGAGATGTCAACTATGAATGTTGTGAACACATTTTCAATGACTCTATAGGAGTATGGGAAATGGCTTTAAGTTTTAGAAAAAAAATTGTTTATTTTCCATTTACTGAGTATCATTTTGTATTATACAAATAATCTATGGATGACAGTTTAATGCTGCTCCATGCAGTGCTAATTTGTTAGAGCACTATTTGTCTCTGGAGCATTTTCCTAAAATAGATGTGTGTGTGTATGTAAAATAATCAGTTGCAAAAAAGTCATATAACTTGTGTTTTTTAATATAAAACTTCCATTCTCTGAATGTTTTTGAAGCTAGGAGCAACATTACAAGCTCTGAAAGAAACACCAAACTACAATTTTGAATCAATTCCTTGGACAAAATTAGATATGATGGGTTCCAATTCTAATTTATGGGAAGCCTTGGTAGGCTCTATGTTGAGGTGAGCCCTTTGAAAATTTTAGTACAGGTTGCTCTACTGTGTGTCTCAGCTAGGTAAACATGAGACAGGTACCATCACTGTCACCAAAGATGATGATGAATCCAGATCCCCCTTAGAGACCAGCCTGGTGAGGCCAAGGTCCCTTTTAAAATTAAAATTAAAACTAAACATGCTCTGTTTCTTATCATCATGATTGCAGTTTCTTTCTTCATGTTTGCTGACATACAAGAAGCAGCAGCAAAAGTTTTTTAAGTAATTCCATTTTATAATTATATAGTTTTAACTTTACTTCCTGGGAAAGCAATTCTTTAACTGAAAAGCTCATAATAACCAAAAATATTAAAAACTGTGTTTGTTGTAGGAAACCATAGTCGTTTACTTTTCATTTTTTTTGAGACGGAGTCTCATTCTGTTGCCCAGGTTGGAGTGCAGTGGTGCGATCTTGGCTCACTGCAACCTCCACCTCCTGGGTTCAAGTGATTCTCCTGCCTCAGCCTCCCAAGTAGCGGGGATTACAGGCACCCACCACCATGCCTGGCTAATTTTGGTATTTCTAGTAGAGACAGGGTTTCACCATGTTGGCCAGGCTGGTCTCGAACTCCTGACCTCAAGTGATCTGCCTGCCTCGGCCTCCCAAAGTGCTGTGATTACAGACGTGAGCCGCTGCGCCCAGCCTGTGGTCATTTACTTAAACCACAAATTGTTTGTATAGAAAATTGAATTTGCTTACTTAAGCTGTGTATGAACTCCCCAGTCTCACGTTAATTAACCCACCACTCTCATAAATGAATTCACTAGCTTTATGTTAATTGACTTTCCATTGGATATACTGTGTCTATTCTCTTGTTAGTCAGAAAGCAACCAATTCTAATCTAGTTTTCTCCCTGTAGGACTGTTTGAAATAATGGGTGGCTCATGCAGATTTTGACCCAAATATAGTGCAGAGCTTCATTCTTCCATAATATCCTCTGGGACAGTAAAAGCTAACTCTTCAGATTATACTTTTTTCTCTATATACATTGATTTTTCTATTTCAGGGCAATGGTCATTAATGTACCACACTGCAAATATTTTCAAACAATGACTGCTTTATCATTCTGTCCTGAATTGAGAGTATTTTGCAATGCATGTTGTTTACTCTGCCTGCCAATTATTTTGTGTTCTGGTGAATTGTCTTAACCCATAATAGTTCTCAAAGGTGTGTGAGTGATAGTGCTGGACCACCAAGAGCCACATGAGAATATCCGTGGCGTCTGGAGTTTATTCAAGGACATCGTGGAGGAAGCAGAGGGTAAAGTTCAGGAAGCAGTTGTGGCTTTGTGGATGTCCTTTGACATGATGAACAACACCATAAAAACAATTGCAACCTGGGAATGATTGGTTAATAACAGAACAAATGGAGGTCAGAAGAAACTGGGCAGAGAGTCTTGTTTTGACTTCAGTGGATTAGAAGAGAAAGCCCCATTATTACCAGGGTACGATTCCAGGGCCACATCTTTACTAAGTGAAATGTTACAACCACCTTGAGGGTCTGATAAAGTCAATGCTCAGTTTCCAGGAATGTGTACCCCTCCCCAATACCTCCACCAAGTCAAAGTCGTATTTATTTACGTTATTGCGTATAGTTAAAAAAACTAACCATCCAGTGAGAAGACAATGAAAAATGCAAGTCTCTATCCTCTGTTTTCCAGTTCCATTGTCTAGGAGTGACCATTGTTAGAGTTTCAGAAATTTCTAATACCTATATATGCATATAGGTGATTCTAAACAGGGGCAAACTTCAGGCCATACATTCAGGTGGCAGGAAGTAGAATTATTAATAGTATTTTTTCCTATAACATAAATTACTTCTATTTTTAAGCTGCCATTGGGAAATGTGAACTTAAGCACAGGCATTTCAGGGTTTACCCCCGCCCTTTCCTGGAGTTGTGACTGAGGGGTGGTGACTGAGGGGTGTGACTGAGGGTTGGTGGATGGAGGGTGATAGGGTGCAAGGTGCAAAGTGGATGAGGCAGGAGCTCCTTGGTGTCGCCTGCCACCCAGCATTTTGGGGCTCTTGCCCCATTCAGTATCCAGCCAGTGGTTCGTGCAGAGAGCTGTTGCAGACTTTCTCATTCTGGCTTCAAGGCCTCTGAGATCTGGCTTCTCAGTTACTTCTGGGACCCTTCTGGGTGCCTCAGGAAACACTTGATTCTCCCCATTCCTGAGTGGGTGTTGCACAGGGGAAGTGTGCGATGTCTCAGGGCCACGCCACTCAGTTGTCTCTGCTCTTCTGCTGCCATGTCCTGCAGCACATGAGGAACTCTGGAATGTTTGCCACCTCCCTGTAGTGAGGCTGTATCTTCTCTGCTCTCAGATCTCCCAGTGTGTCTGGGATTTCTACCATATCCTTCCCTGGTGCGTGGTTGGGGAGGGCCCTTTCTTAGGGACCCAATTGCAGTTAACTCACTTCCCTTTCCTGGTCCATGGAATCTCTGTTTAGTCTGAGAGTGAGCAAAAATGGGTTCAGCTGAGCATGCATTCTTCCAACATGATGGCTTGTGGCACAAATGATGTGATTTCAAAAGCCAGCTTCTTATAACTCAAAAACATTAGCTTTTGAAACTTTCAAAGCTATCATGCCTGCAGAATCAATAGCCTATTTAAAAATTCGAAAGCCAGGAATTGACATCTTTGTTCTCTGCGTAGTGCTTCTCTGAGGCAGTACATGTAGAATGTTCTGACTGCAGCTGGAGTGTCAGAAAGGTCACAGAGAAACAGGAAATATCAAGAACAAAGATTACATCACTATTCAAATAGTTCACCACTGTAAATGTTTATCCTTTGAAAAAATACTCACAGGATCAATATTCACCCTTCAACACCTTGTCTTTTCTGTTTCTTTGTTTAATTGTATATTTTGGAGACATTCCCATATCATTGCATATGGACCAAACTTACTCTTTTAAACATTTGCTTACAATTATTTTATATGGCTGCATCATAGTTTATTAGGTGTTTTCTTGTTTCTTTCTTTCCTTTTTTTTTTTTTTGAGACAGGGTCCTGCTTTGTTGCCCAGGCCAGAGTGCAATGTTGAGATCATGACTCACTGCACCCTGGGACTCCTGAGCTCAAGTGATCTTCCCACCCTGCCTCCCTAGCAGCTGAGACTACAGACACATGCCACCGCACCCAGCTAATTTTTAAATATTTGTTGAGATGGGGTCTTACTATGTTGCCCAGGCTGATCTCAAACACCTGGACTCAAGTGATCCTCCTGCCTCAGCTTCCCAAAGCACTGGGATTACAGGTGTGAGCCACTGCATCCAGCCTGGTTTATTTGTTATTACAAAAAATGCTCTGGCTGGGCATGGTGGCTCACATCTGTAATCCCAGCACTTTGGGGAGGTCGAGGTGGGTGGATCACCTGAGGTCAGGAGTTCGAGACCAGCCTGGCCAACATGGCAAAACCCCTGTCTCTACTGAAAATACAAAAATCAGCCAGGCATGGTGGTGGATACCTCTAATCCCAGCAACTCAGGATGCTGAGGCAGGAGAATCACTTGAACCCGGGAAGTGGATGTTGCAGTGAGCTGAGATTGCGCCACTGCACTCCAGCTTGGACAACAGAGAGAAACTCCTTCTCAAAAAAAAAAAAAAAAAATGCTCCAATGGGGGATGGCCTGCTGCAACATTACACCTTCGGGGCTTCCCTGGAAGGGGTTAAGCCCTTTGAGTAAACAGTTTTCTACATATAGTAAATTTTTGCCTAGCATTTCTCAGTGTGGTTATTTCTCTGAGTTAAATAGAGAAAGGTCTGTCTGCCCAGGATGAATTTGGCCAGTGGTGAGCTAGGACTCCCCAGGAGCTCACCTGAAAACCATCCCAGGACCTGAGTCCATGGAAAAGGCTTGTATAGGTGGCAACCCCGTTGGACGTTAAGTTTCCTTGAACCATCAATGAAACATGTGATCACCTGCTGGTGGTCTTCTCTAAGACAGCCCCCACTGTAGTCAAGATTTAAGAGAACAACCCTGTAATTGTTCTACTCAGGATCTTTGAATTATTCAATGAGGTTCTCTGGGGAAAAAAAATAGTTGGCCTGATTGAACCTTAGTACATAGCAGATGCTCTTAATACTAAACATAGGTAGCTATGACCAGCATTTACAAATACCAATTCATAAAGTTAGGAATATATAATGGAAAGTTATATGGCTATTTTTAATATTAAAATATGCTATTTAAGTAGCTTTAAAAAATTAAAATTCCTTCAGTAAATACTACTTCTGTGCTACAGTACTAAAATTTTGGTGCTAGTGACTCTGACTCTGTAGCAGGTGGAGAGAATATCAGCTTACGTTGGAAAACTTTTAAAAAATTTAAATTATTCATGCATGCATGTAACCAATGTTTATTGGACGTAAATGTCTACTGGGTATGTGCTGTGTGAGACACCCTGTGTTAGGCTTCCCTTATCATTGATCTCATCCATACTCCCATCAGCATCCTCACAAAATACTAATACTCCTTTTCTTTCTAGCATTTCATTTCCTATCCCCCTCTCTTCCAGGCTGCTGTTAACATTAGTATGACACTGTGGGGTCAGGAGGGGACAAAGCACACAGCACGTTTCCCAGTCCACCCCCCACACCTATCTCTTGTTCACATCAGGGCCAACCGAGAACCACCCACCTGGAAACAGAGGTGACACATTCTGGCCTCAAGGGCAGGAAGGGATGTGTTGATATCAGGGAGGGGGAGGACTTTCACTAAGACAAGAGAGACTAATATCTGTAAAATCCTTAGCATGGTGTCTGATCAATGATATGAACTCAACAAATGCTTCTGCTATGACTGCTGACCTCGTCTTTAGGTTGGCTGCCTTCTGCAGTGTCCTTATGGCCCTTACACATCTGTTCCTGCTGAGAGAGCAATATCTTCCTCTACTTATAGGGACACAGTCCTATTGAATTAGGGTTCCATCTTATAACCAACCTCATTTAACCTCAGTTACCTCCTTAAAGACCCTGTCTCCAAATACAGTCACATTTAAAGAAGAAATTATTCAATGATAATTAAAGAAATTATTCAGTGATATTTGTTAAAGCATGATAAGGAAGACTTTATTCAGGACCATTGTGATAGCTATAGAGACCACTGCAATGGGTCTTGCAGTGAAGGAGAGAGATTGGGATCAACTTTGAATACAGCATGAGCATGTGGGACTTTATAGTCAAGGAGCAGGATGGGCGTTGGTGGATGGAAAATTACTAAGAGGAAACATCAGAGGTAAGGGGGATTGTGGCTAAACCCACTTAACAAGATTCCAGCTGAAGACAGGCTAGGATGATCACACATCACCTGGGGGATGAGGAACCTGATCAGATGTCAAGAATGATCTGATGTTGAGGATGGGGGGGTAGGGTTCTTGCTAAACTGACTGATATGGTTAGGCTTTGTGTCCCCACCCAGATCTCATCTTGAATTGTAATCCCCATAATCTCCGTAATCCCCACATGTCAAAGGAGAGACCAGGTGGAGGTAACTGAATCATGGGGGCGGTGGGTTTCCCTCATGTTTTTCTCATGATAGTGAGTGAGCTCTCCAGAGACCTGATGGTTTGATAAGGGCTCTTCCCACTTTGCTTGGCACTTCCTTCCTGCTGCCTTGTGAAGGAAGTGCCTTGCTTCCCCTTTGCCTTCTGCCATGATTGTAAGTTTCCTGAGGCCTCCCCAGCCATGTGGAACTGTGAGTCAATTAAGCCCTTTTCTTTATAAATTACCCAGTCTCAGGCAGTTCTTAATAGTGGTGTGAGGATGGACTAATACACTGACTTAGCAGGATTCTTTGCTAAAACTAGGCTTTACAATGGAGTGCACAGATGGACTTGGAGAAAGTTTAAAAGCTTGACTCAGTTTTGGTCAACAGAGAATATTTTTCAGGGGGTTAGGGATTCAACATCAATTTTGGGGGGCACAGTTTAGCTTAAAATGCTACATAAGGCTTTTCTGCAAAATTTTTCCAAGTATATTGGTTTGCCATTCTTGCATAATTACTTCACAACACAGTGGCTTAAGACAACAATGATTTATTAGCCTTCATGAGCCTGTGAGTCAGCTGGGGCTCAGCTGATGTAGGCTGGCCTGCTACTCTGCTTCAGGCTTAGGCAGCTGGGGCAGCTCTACTCCAGATGTCTCTCATCCTCCTCTGAGGTCCAGTGGGTTAGCCCAGGCACGTTCTTCTCATGATGAAGGCAGAGTCACCACTGCGCAGGGGCAAGCCTTTGCCAGTAACTTACCTACCAGCATCCAATTGGCCAAAGCAAACCACATGGCCAAGCCCCAAGTCAAGGGGTGGAGAAATGCTTTTATTTGTTTATTTAGAGATAGGGTCTTGCTCTGTTGCTCAGACTGGAATGCAGTGGTGCTATCATGGCTCACTGCAGCCTCAAACTCCTCAGCTCAAGTGATCCTCCCACCTCAGCTTCCTAAATAACTGTGACTTGAGGCAAGCACCATGCCTGGCTAATTAAGAATTTTTTTGGTAGAGAGGTTTTACTGTGTTGCCCAGGCTTGTCTCAAATTCCTAGCCTTAAGCAATCTTCCTGCCTGGGCCTCCCATAATATTGAGATTACAGGTGTGAGCCACCATGCCCGGCCTATTGGACTGCAAAGTCACATAGCTAAAAGTCTGTGTGCAGGGAGGGATGAAGAATTGAGGTGAGAATGAAATCTACCAGTCTGTCTTCTTGGCCACAGTGATTTGCATTTTTCCCACATGCAAAATATGGTCACCTCATCCAAACTTTCCACAGACAAGAAACAGGCTGTGAAATTTGGTAAGCTACTAAAATGTGCATATTTTCTAATGTTCTCTTCAGACGCGTCCACAGAAGTGATAAGAAAAAAAAAGGACATTGCAGAGGGCAAAGCCAAGAGGTTTGGAGAGTGGTGGATAAGGAGCTACTCCAGGAAGCAGAACAAGGACTAAGTCAGGTAACACCGCCTACCCTCAGAATGGGGAAGACCTAACAACATTTGACTAAGTGATTTCAATTTTTTCGGACCAGTGGCGACTGTATGCCTGCAATTATTATTCACTATTTCAAAAAGAAAGGCTTATTGCAATTACACTATTTCTCCATTGTGTCTCAGGAATATGGAGGTAGATAATTTATAAGTCTCCAAATTAAGAAGAGTCACATCCAAACCTAATATAGATCACAAGATCCTAGACTTTGAGTCTGAAGCTATGGTGGAATGAGACTTTGGGGTTCTTGGGATGGCAGAAAGGAGTTGGGGTGAAAAGTACCATTCAATGCTGCAGGGACCTGGGTTTGAGTGTGTTTTTTCTACTATGTAAATTCACAAGGGATCATTCCCCTAGGAACCCATCCTTCCGTTATCTGTGCTGGGAAAATTGTAAGCGATGGTAATACTATCCCCAATCTATACTCACTGATGCCAAACAGGTAATTTGCTAATATTTATTTATTTATTTTTGAGACAGGGTCTCACTTTATTGCCCAGGCTAGAGTGCAGTGGTGTGATCATAGCTCACTGCAGCTTTGATCTCCTGGGCTCAAGTAATCCTCCTACCTTAGCCTACCAAGTAGCTAGGACTACAGGCGTGCACCACCATGTGCATGGGCTAATTTTTTTGATTTTTAGTAGAGATAGTGTCTTGATATATTGCTCAGGCTGGTTTGGAATTTCTGAGCTCAAGCAATACTCCCACCTCAGCATCCCAAAGTGCTGGAATTACAGGTGTGGGCTATGGCTTCTGGCATTGATTAAGTTTTAAAAAATTATATTTTATTTTATAAAAATCTTAGTCTTAACCAGGGAGAGATGCAACCTTGGCTTTTAACCATTTTTAGGATAGGGCCTCACACCAGTCTGTTACTGAGCCCAAGGGAAACTCGACATCTTGATTTTCCTGCTATACCAGGACTGTGAGAAGATGAGTAAAGAGAGAAGAATCTAGTGGGAGGTGGATAGGGTGGTATGATCACATTCTGCAGCACAAGTTGGCCATTGTCTTGGTAATAATGACTAATATTTTTGAGCACACGCAAATGTATTGAAGTGGTTCTAAGCACTTTACATGTTTTAGCTTAGTGACTCTATGAGGCAGGTACTACTCTTACCCCAATTTTTCAGATAGGAAACTGAAACACAGAGCTTAAGGAGCTTTTCCAAGGTCCCGGAGCTAATAGGTGACAAGGTTGGGATATGAACCTGGGCAGAATGATTCCTAATCTGTAGGCTTAATCACTGTATTAGTCTGTTTCATGCTGCTGATAAATACATACCCAAGACTGGGTAATGTATAAAGAAAAAGAGGTTTAATGGACTCACAGTTTCACGTGGCTGAGGAGGCCTCACAATCATGGCAGAAGGCACATCTTACATGGCAGAAGCAAGAGAGAAGTGAGAGCCAGTGAAAGGGGAAACCCCTTATAAAACCATGAGATCTCATGAGACTTATTCACAGGAGAACAATATGGGGGGAACTGCCCCATAATTCAATTATCTCCTACTGGGTCCCTCCAACAACATGTGGGAATTACCAGAGCTACAATTCAAGATGAGATTTGGATTTCGGTGGGGACCCAGCCAAACCATATCCACCACTATGCTATTTTGTCCTGATGATTCAGGAAAATGACCTGCACCTGAAATAGATTTACTACAAGAAACAGAGGCCAATTTTAGAAAAATATCTGCTGCAATTGTTCAAAAATATGTAAGGGGACATTTCCTCAGAGAAACAAGAGTCAGCTATTACAAAAAAAAAAATGTGAAAAATCCAAGACAAGAAAAGACTGTAATAAAGCTAAATATAACAGTATAATGATACCAGGTTGCAGGCAGCAAATAGCAAACTTGAAACCATGGAAAAGGGAATTCATATAGTAGAGGACAAATTTAAGGAGGGTTTCAAAAGTGTAAGAACAAAAGACTTAAACTGATGAGCTAATAGTTGGATGACAGGTCTTGGAGATCCCAATTCTTTGGGAATAACAGTTTCTGAAGGAAAAAACAACAAAGAGAACAACATGTTCAAAGGAACAAAGGAAAAATAATCTTCAATTAAAGAAAGTTTTCTGCTTGAAAATGAATGACCATTGGTTAGAGGTAAAACTTATGAAAAGAGATTGTGTTGGTTGTCTATTGCTACATAACACACTTCCCTAAAATTTAGCAGCATTAAAACAACAAGCATGCATTTATCTCAGTTTCTGAAGGTCAGGAATCTGGGAGTGACTTATCAGGATGAGATAAGTCAGGCTGTCAGTTGGGGCTGCAATTATCTGCAGGTGAAGTTCTAAATTTGATAATTAAAATATTCAATAAGTATATTGGCAAACATTTCAAAGAGAACACAAAAAACATACATAGACAATAAACACACGAAATAATTCAAAAAGAACTTTGAAGGAAATAATCTACATAGGTAAAAGTAGAAAAATAATGAGAAAATGAACAATAAAAACACATGCTAACTAAACAGTGTAGGAAAAAAGAGAGAATGATGTATTGATAGTATAGTAGCTGATTTATATTGCTCTAACTGCACTTTAGGCACTAACTCATTTATTAGCCAGGATTTTTGGATTGCTAGTGACAGAAACATAAATTAATTTATGCAAAACATTTATTTACAGAAAAGTTATGTGTGGATCTGTTTAGTTGTGGCTGGGTTCAAGGGCTTCAATGTTGTCTTCAGGACTCAGTCTCTCTCTCTTTCTCTTTCTTTCTCCTCTCGTCTCCCTCTGAGTTAATTTTATTTCCATGCAGCTTCTACTTTTGTGGTTCCAAAGATGCTCATTGCATAGGCTCTAACTTACATCTTTGGAGCTGGTGATGTCAGAGAAAAGAGGGCACCTCTTTTCAATAACTCCATCTAAAGTTTTAGCATTGGAGTCTTATTACTCTGGATTGAGGTATGGGCTCCTATCAAGATGATGGCTCAATTCCTGAGCCAGAGAAAGTGCCCCAAAATAAACGTGGTGAAGGTGAATAAAGGGAGTCAGTGGTCACTAGAAGTAACCATAACAAATTTTGTTGACTTATTACAAGCTAGGTGCTCTGCTACTAATACAGATTATCTCATTAAAACCTCACAGCACATTCCCGGGGCTCTATTATCCTCCTTTTACATGGGAAGAATTTAAAGCTCAGAGAGATTAAGCAAATTTTCTAAGGTCTCATGACCAGTGAATTATGGATGCTCAATTCAAGGTCATGTCTGTCTAACTCCAGAGTCTGTCTGTAATTTTAAAAAGTAAGGGAGGAAATCACTCACAATCCTGCCATCACCATCACAACCCTGCCATTTCAGCATGAGAAAACATTTTGGTGTATCTCTTTCCGATGCTGCTCTCGCTCGCTCTTTCTCTCTGTCTGTCTTTCATTTAATTATAGGTTTCTGTTGCTTGTCTATTTATAATTGTAAGCCTTTCATACTAGATTGAACTGGACAGTAAAGTAGAATTCTTCTTTAATGTATATAACAATATTTCTGTCAATTCAAAGTATTTCTCTCCTTTTTGTTATGGCTTTTTCTTGTTTAGCTTTCTAATAAACTATTTTTCACTTTGTAATAAACTCTCTTTAGTTGAGATAAGCTCACTTGCACCTTTTAATCTTTGCTTACGCTAATGCATTTCTTTCTTAATAATTGTCATTATGAAATGTATCATACACAAAAAGAGTATATAACACATATGCTTAAAGAATAGTAACAAAAATAACGCTCATGTACCCATGTGATATAGTGTGGATCTGTGTCTCTGCCCAAACCTCATGTCGAATTGTAATCCCCAATGCTGGAGGAGGGGCCTGGTGGGAGATGTTTGGATCATGGGGGCAGATTTCGCCCCTTGCTCTTCTCGTGATAGTGAGGGAGTTCTCATGAGATTTGGTTGTTTAAAAGTGTGTGGCACCTCTCCCCACGCCCCAGCTCTTCCTCCTGCTCCAGCCATGTGACACTTACCTATTTCCCCATACCTATTTCCCCTTTGCCTTCCACCATGACTGTAAGTTTCCTGAGGCCTCCTCAGCCATGCTTCCTATACAGCCTGTGGAACCATGAGCCAGTTAAACCTCTTTTCTTTATAAATTACTCTGTCTCAGGTATTTTCTTTCTTTTTTTTTTTTTTCTTTGAGACAGTTTTTCTGTGTTGTGCAGGCTGGGGTGCCGTGGTGCAATCTCTGCTCACTGCAACCTCTGCCTCCCAGGTTCAAGCAATTTTCATGCCTCAGCCTCCTGAGGAGCTGGGACCACAGGTGCCTGCCACCATGGCCAGCTATTTTTTTTTTTTTTTGTATTTTTAGTAAAGACGGGGTTTTGCTAAGTTGGCCAGGCTGGTTTTGAATTCCTGGACTCAAGTGATCTGCCTGCTTTGGCCTCCGAAAGTGCTGGGATTACAGGTGTGAGCCACTGTACCTGGCCCTCAGGTATTACCTTATAGCAGTGTGAGAACAGACTAATACACCATGATACACATAAAGGAAGAGGATGTTTCCAGAACCCTTGATGCACCTCTAGTTGTATCCCTGTCTTCAAAGATAACCATAAACATGACTTTGGGCGAATATTTCTGTTGCATTTCTTTCTATTTTTACTGCACATATTATGTTAATTGTGTGACTGTGGGAAAGTCACTTAACCTCTCCGTGTTTCAGTGCACTCATCTGTAAACTGGGAATAAGAAGAGTACTTATCTCACAGAGTTGTTATAAGGATTAAATGAGTGCAATTAATTAAATATGTACAGTGTTCAGACTAGCATCTGGCATAAATACTATATAATAATTTGTTATTTTAATTAAGTCCTAAACAATATATTATTTATTTTGCCTGTTCTTAAGCTTTATATAAATGAAATTATACTGTACATATTCTTCTGTGACTTGCTTTTTTGGTTCAGTACTGTCTATGAGGGATTTATTCCTACTGATGTGTGTGAACAGTTCTTCATTTTTACTGCTTTGTAGAATTCTATTGTAAAAATATACCCCAATTTATCCATCCTACACTTGATAGACATATTTTAAAATTTCTTGTTTTTATGAACTGTGCTGCTATGCAAAGTCTTACACATACTTCCTAGTGTCCATGTGTTGGAGTTTCTCTAGGTAATATACCTGGGGTGGAATTGCAAGATTATATAATATGCACATTCTCTATCTTCTATGAATCTTAATATTTCTTTTATATTTTCCAATTCTTTGTCTCCCTATGCTGCGTTCTGGGTAATTTCTTCAAAACCACTATAACGGATGGAGTCAGTGGTCCGTCTGTATGTATCCCTCTGTCTTTACCACATCAGTATGTCTGCCTAGCTTTTAACTGCCAACATCTGAATTTCATTGCTCTGGTTTTCAGAGCCCACTTTGCCACTCCTGTGAAGGTCAGAAGTGCCTGGCAATTAACGGCTTAGCAGGAACAGCCCTCAACCAGTGACCGATGGGTGAATGAACACAGCAGCTCAAGTGGGACAGCCTTGAGGTATGTGTTCTAGATGGGCTTCTGGAGTGCCTCCAGCATGATGAAGCTCCAGTTTCCCACAGTGGTAAAAAGCTCAGTATCACCTTAATTGGCTACTTTGCCTTCTCTGTGCCTTTTACTCACTTCTTCACTGGTGTTTCTTTCCCCTCCCAAATTAACTACTTACACTCAAATCCTTGTCTCTCAGGGCTGGCTTTAAGAGAACTCTGAGATATCTGTATATCTGTTCTTCTAGTTCACTAATTCTCTCTTTAGCTGGGTCTAATCTACTGTTAAACTTTTCATGAAGTTTCTAATTTCAGTTATTTTATTTTCATTTTTAGAATTTCTATTTGGTTTCTTAGTATATCTGCTTGGTCACCTTCCATAGTCCCTGATTCTCTATCAGTCTTTTAATTTATATTTTTAAAAACAATATTATTCATTCTTATTTTGTAGTCGATCTTTGGTAATTCCAACATCTACTGTCTTTGCCATTCTGATTCTGTGGTTTGTTGTTTCTGCCTCCTCTTCCTCATGGCAGTTTCTTTCCTGTAGTCTTCAGTGATTTTTGATTGTGAGCTTTGTCTGTGAGACTTATTTGAGGCCTGGTTTAAAAATATATATTTTTCAGGTAGGATGCTCATTTGGTTTTTCTAGGTGCCTGGGGGCATTTATCCACCTGGGACACTTTAAATTCCATTTTTGGCTTGAGGTTTCTTTTTCGTTATAGAGGTGGTTTGAGTTCTTATTCTAAATCCCTTAAATGTACATTTGTGGTTAGGAATTCTTAGGGTAGAATTTTTTCTTTCTTTCTCTTTTTTAGCTTCACCAAGAGCCAAGATGCGATAATAATGTATCCTACTAACTCCCTCTGTGGGGTATTTTTCCCCCTAGGTCATCCACTTAGAAAAGGATGTTTACCCTCTTGGGATCGCTGCTTTAAAAAGTGAATATCTTCAATTTAACCTCACATCCAGTTAAGGCCCCAGGCTTTATCTTCTTAGACCCCCAAAATAAATTTCCAGCTTGAACACTAGTTATTTCTTTCAATTTGAGCTTTCTTATCTTTTCTGGCCTTCAGAGAATACCTTTACTTTCTTGGTAGCTCATTCATGTGTTTAAAAGTTTTCATTTTGGAATGTATCCAGCTTTTATCAGTGTACTGTATTGGGAGAGTTTTCTCTAAACATCTGATCCACAATATTGTCATTTAAGGCTCCAACGTGCTTTGCAATAGTGATGTATCTTGCTGGCTTCCTCCTTTTCTTTTTAATATTGAAAATTCTTATTTTCTCCCATATATTTGATAATCCCAGTATCAGTTCCTTCAACCAATATTGAATGTGCCCAATTATGTGCCAGGTATTCTTCTATAACTTTCCTGTGAATGAATCAGGCAAGGCCATGGTCTTGTGGAGCTCACATTCCAGAGACAGTGTAAACCCAGAATTTCATTGCTATTATGCCATTGGGGCAGCTTTGAAATATACAATGTTAACAGTTATGCAAGGCTGAGAAAGATAGTGAGCAGTATTTTGTGTTTGGTTGCTGATATCTGCAAGTCAAAATAGGAAGAAATTATGGCATATTAATTTTTCTGCTTGGAAAGGTTAATGAATTGTATCTAGGTCTGAAGATGCAAGGTAGACAAGAGGTAAATGTGGATAAGCTTATTTTTGTGCATACAGAGGAGAAGAAGGAATGAGATTCTCATTCATGCAGCGTTATGCAAGGTGCTTTATATGTATGTTCCCATTTAATTCTGACCCCTTCCCAAGTAAATTCCACGCAGTAGATATGGTCTCTATTTTCAGGTAAACTGTGGTTGAAACCGTTAGTTGTCCCTTAATATTTTTTCCATTCGTCAATACCAATAGGTATTTTTAGCTGGTTATATGACTGTCTAGCTTAAAGATGATATTTTCCATTATCCCTTACAGTTAAGTGTGGCCATATCACTAAGTCTGGCCAGTGGGATTTAGAGTGTAGTAGGCAGTAGCTTATGACAATTTCTCTAAGAGACCGTTTGTATATGCCTTTTATTCCTTCTTTCATCCCGCTGCCTAGAATTGGAAACTTCTTAGGGCTGTGACAGTGAGGCCACATTCCAGAACAAGATTGAGAATGGAAGGAGTTAAGTCCCTGAGGGCTTTGGTCAGCCAGACCTTCATACCAGTCTTAGACTGCATATCTCTGAACTTTTATACTAGAGATAAATAATCTTCTATCCCATTTAAGGTACTGCTATTTATTTTTATTTTCCCCCTGAAATCTGTCATTGAACCTATTCCTAACTAATATATTGATTATGTAACTTGCCCACTAATACGTCTGGGAAGAGACAGAATAAAGATTTGAACTTTGTGCTTTGTATTTAAGTACAGTCATCCCCCTGGTATCTGTAGGGGACTGGACCTCCCAAGGATACCAAAATCCGTGGATGTTCAAGTGTATGATATAAAATGGTCTAGTATTTGCATTTAACCTATGCACATTCTCCTGTGTACTTTAAATCATCTCTAGATTACTTATAATACCTAATACTGTGTAAATGCTATGTGAGTAGTTGTTATACGGTACTGTTTAGGGAATAATAACAAGAAAAAAAGTCTGTCCACGTTAGTACAGATGAAATTTTATTTTCCAAATTTTTTTTTTTTTTTTTTGAGATGGAGTCTCGGTCTGTCGCCCAGGCTGGAGTGCAGTAGCGGAATCTCTGCTCACTGTAATGTAAGCTCCGCCTCCCGGATTTACGCCATTCTCCTGCCTCAGCCTCCGGAGTAGCCAGGACTACAGGCGCCCGCCACCACACCCTGCTAATTTTTTCGTATTTTCAGTAGAGACGGGGTTTCCCTGTGTTAGCCAGGATGGTCTCGATCTCCTGACCTCGTGATCCACCTGCCTCGGCCTCCCAAAGTGCTGGGATTACAGGCGTGAGCCACCACGCCCGACCCAAACATTTTTGATCCATGGTTGGTTGAATCCACAGATGCTGAACCCACAGATAGGGAAACCCAGGGATATGGAGGGCCGACTCCAATTATGGCTAAATCAATGACTAGTATTTGGTAAAAGGGAACTACTGTTTTATTTACACCAAGCTCAATTACTTGGTTGTTTTTTAGGCCTCCTTTGATTTTTCCTCCTTTTTACCCACCTATCCAAACTTTCCCTACAGTCTGTAACACACACTTCTTCATTGAGACTGGCCTCCTATGGCCTCTCATTCATACAGGTCTAGTTAGTCTGTAGCATATGGAGTTCCAACTTTGAAAGGCCGAGGAAGAATATTTCAAGCAAGAAAGAGAGTTAGAGTTGAACTTAAAGCTGGTCATGATGGCTCGCATCTGTAATCTCAGCACTTTTGGAGGCTGAGGGAGGAGAATTGCTTGAGCCCAGGAGTTCAAGAGCAGCCTGGGGCAACGTGGCGAAATCCTGTCTGTATAAAAAATACAAAAATTAGGGCGCGGTGGCATGTGCCTGTAGTCTCAGCTACTTGGGAGTATGAGGTGGGAGGATTGCTTGAGCCCAGGAGGTCAAGGTTGCAGTGAGCCGTGCTTGAGTCTCTGCGCTCCAGCATGGGCAACAGGATAAGACCCTGTCGCAAAGAAAGAGTTGGACTTAAAGATAAACATGATTTGGATGGATGCAGAGTGGGCAACAGGAATAAAGACATGGATGTACTATCAATTTTCCATGCAAGGTGGGTCCTCAGGTAATATATTGTGTCTCCCAGTAATTAAATTTTATGTGCTAGGAAAATCACATTAACATTATGAAAGAGAACAGTAAATGGGCCACTCCTTTAATGGTAATGAAACCTTTCAAGACTTAACTTTGCCTTCATTAAGTCATTTTAAAGGTTATGAGGACAGTGTAGATTATTGCTGTAGGATATCCTGGAGTTTGCCCTTACAATTAATTTCATGCTAAAATGAACAACAGAGCAGTGCTAATATGAATTTCTGATTTAAAAAATCCTTTTTTCATACCTTATTTTAGTTGTATCTATCATTCTTGTTTCTGGCTTTCAATACTCCCACACACATTGATAACTGAGGCTTTTGACTGGTATAAAAATATTTAGAAATGTAAGGAATTACTTTTAGAAAGAGATTTTAAAAATAATCTCCTGTTTCTTCTCTCTTGATACAGTTTCTTAAAGGACTGATTTTTAGAGACCTAGATCCTGAGGATAATGTGTACGTCAGGTAGTGCTGAATCCTGAAACCTGACTAGTAATGTGTGCATGTGGTTGCAATTCTAAGCAGGTGGATGCCCCTGGCTCTCCAGGATTGTCGGTGGTGATGGGATGATTCTAAAAGGCTCACTTTCTTTACAAGCATGCATAACCCAAGCCTATGGCTGTCTGATGGCTGTGATTCTTTGCTGATGGTGCGTTAGGGCTCATAGAGAAGAAAGGAAGGCTTGGTAGGGTATAAAGTAACTGATTATCATTAATCCAAGTCATTGCTTCACAAAGTGTGACTGTTGACTGATATTTAGCACAAGGGATTATGATAAGTTTAAAAATGTTAATCTGAACAGAGTTATACTGGTTTCTGGGTTGTTGGACATTTCAGGGTCCTTCACATGCTAAGGTGCTAATATGCATTGTGAATCTCTAAGAGCAGAATGGAGTAGAAAGCATTCCCAAACTTTGATTCCAAGACCCATTTTTTTTTTTTTCTTTGAGGCAGGGTTTAGCTCTGGCTCTGTCACCCAGGTTGGAGTACAGTGGTGTGATATCTGCTCATTGCAGTCTTTGTCTTCTGGGCTCAACTGATTCTCTCACCTCAGCCTCCTGAGTACCTGGGATGACAGGCATGAGCCACCATGTTGGGCTAATTTTTTTTTTTTTTTTTTAGAGATGGAGTTTCCCCATGATGCCCAGGCTGGTCTTGAACTCTTGGGCTCAAGTGATCTTCCCACCTTGGCCTTCCAGAGTGCTGGGATTACAGGTGTGAACCACCACACCTGGCCTCAAGACCTACTCTTTACTAATAGTCTGACAAAAATGATGCTGCATGGAAACCCCACTGATCTAGGCAATGTAGAAGTTTCAGGCTGTGTTGTAATGAGGACCAGGAGGTCAAGAGTGTGACCAGCGCTGTCAATCTCATCTGTGAGAGTGAGACTGGACCATTTCTGAACACAGAATTGTTTCAGTTTTCAGCCCAAGGACTCTACAGAGATCTAAGTCCAACCTCATCATTTTATATATCAAGGAACTGAGGCCCAGAGAGGTTCATAAGTGTGTTCAGGGTTGCATCCTGGTTAGTGGGAGCTGATGCTAGCACCAAGGTCCTTTGATTCTCAGAGCCCATTGAACTGCCTCATTTGGTGGGCAGGCTGCAGGGCACACTGTGAGTTCAGTTAGTGGAATGGACATTGGTGGTAGAGTGAGCAGTCCAAATGGGCTGGATCAGTGTTTGGTTAGGGATATTGCTATTCCTTCAATCATGCCTTGGTGACATAGTCCAGATGCCTCAGCAACCTGGTGACTCTGGACAAAGTCTAGTTTGTCAGTTTCCTTATAAAACATGGAGCCCACATCTAGTTTTGACTTTCCAGCTGTGCTTTGACCAGTGCAGAGTGCATAGGGATACTTCTCTTCTTGCATCACTATTGACATACTATTTTTGAATCAATGAAGACCAAGAACAAGATAATTATTTTTCTAGGAACCAGTTATCACTTTTTGGCTCATTTTAAGCTGGGTGGTTGACCCTAGCTCTGTTTTATATAAGTTACTGTCTAGTCAAGTTTCTCCTAAGCTTACTTGATTAATTTTTCAAACCTAAATGTAAATCTTCACATTAACCCTGTTTCATTTCATTTTAGTAATTTTGGCCCAGAACTCTTGAGTGTCAGGATTAATTTTGAATCTTGACTCATCATTTATTCTTACAACTCTCTCTTCTAGTACTGCAATAATCGTAGAGGTAGTATGCAAGCCTCTAATTTCTCTGTTTTTCAACCAGGCTGTTTCTCTGTAAGGACAAGGAAGGGAAGCTGAGGAAGATTTATTTAGCAACTATAATTTGCCAAGTACTGTGTCAGGTGCTTTACACATATTTTGTTATTTAATCCTCATAGCAACTGTATGAGACTGTAACTTCTTTTGTAAAAGGAGAATGGAAGTTCTTATCTTACAGTTCTGGTGAAGAATAAATGAGATAATTTAAATTATGTACTTATTAAAGTGCTGGCACACAGTAGGCACTTGATAAATATAAATTGCAGTTATCTCTATCCCTCTTCCTTCATCTTCTCTTTGGACAGAATCGGGAGAAGGACAGAAAGATATGTGATATGGTTTGGCTCTTTGTCCCCACCCAAATCTTGTCTCGAATTGTAATTCCCATAATCCCCAGATGTTGAGGGAGGGACCTTGTGGGAGGTGATTGGATCATGGAAGCCGTCTCCCCCATGCTGTTTTCATGATAGTGAGTTCTCACGAGGTATAATGGTTTTATAAGTGTTTGACGGTTCCTCCTTCACATGCTCCCTCTCGCCTGTCACCATGTTAGATGTGCCTGCTTTCCCTCCTGCCACGATTATAAGTTTCCTGAGGTTTCCCCAGCCATGCAGAACTGTGAGTCAATTAAATCTCTTTTCTTTATAAATTACCCAGTCTTGGGCAGTTATTTATAGCAGTGTGAGAATGAACTAATACAATATCCCATTAAATGATCCATCTCTCAGCTGCCACGGAAACACCAGTCAGCTCCTACCAGCATGACAGACAGTTTCACATCATGAATTATTTATTGTGCATTACAAATTGCCCCCAAACTTAGCAGCTTCAAATAATACACATTTATTTGCTCACAGTTTCTGTGGGTCAGAATCCAGGCACAGCTTTGGGATCCCTCATAAGAAGGCAACAGAAGTGCTGACCAGGGCTGCATTCTGATCTGAAAACTCAACAGGGAAGGATCTTCTTTCAATCTCACTCATGTATTTATGGACCCAGGGCAGTTCCTGGATGGGTGTTGCATTGAGGGCTTCAGTTCCTTGCTGGTAGTCAGGTGGAGGTCACCCTCAGTTCCCCACCATGTGTACCTCTTCAACTTGCCTCATCAGAGCAAACATGGAGAGAGTGAGAGCGTGGATAAAGACAGAAGTCAGTTTTTTGTAACCTAATACCAGAAGTGACATCCCATTACTCTTGCTGGACTCAGTTCTTTAGAAGTGAGTCATTAGGTCAAGCTCACATACAAGAGGAGGGAGTTACACAAAGGAGTGGACACCAGGAGGGAGGGGTCATGAGGGCCCTGCCAGCAGCTTCCAACCACATGCAATTATCTTCTTCATCAGCTCACCCAATGTATTCATTACTGGCAGTTCTGGGATATAAATCCAGGTTTCTAGGCCCTTGCTCTTTCCCCAAGAGTCTACCCTGGGAGGAATACTGATTGTCAATTGTAGTTGAAATTGTAAGCTGATTATGTAGCCATTTCTACCTACATTTTCTACATTTTTTTCCCTTGGCTTTGTTTTTGGGGCAAGTGCAATTTAGTTGTGAACATATTGCAATGAGGGGACTTTCCTCACATTTACTTATCCTTTATCCCCTCTCTCTCATTCTCTCAAGTAGTGTTTCAACCTCTTCAAGGCTTCAAATCTTTAACATTCTCACTCTCAGCAAATAGCTTTGTTTCCAGCTGCATAGAGAAAGTAGACAATATCAGCTGTGAACACTTTCAACTCCTGTCTCCCATGCACATGCTTCTCTCCTACTTTTTGGTTTGAGAGGATGGGAAGTCATTTCTTCTGTTTGCTCCTTCTTTGTAAAATTTCCTTTCCTTTCCTTCATATCTTAATTAATCAATTATTCACAATGTTGAGTCCACTGAGGACCAGTAAGCAGCCTTCTGTCTTTTCCACCTCAGTGCTGCACAATTCAGGAAGTGAATCAAAGAATAAAGACAGAGGCCACAGCAATATTATGGATAGAGCTGAGTTGGAGGATGTGGCTTGGTGTCTCTGTCAAATGGACCTGAGATCTGAACCCCAGGACTGGTCAGTTCTCAGCAGTGCTGTATGGTAGCCTTTACAGGTCAAAATTACATCATGGAGGAGCAGAGGCAAATTTGTGCCTTCTGTGGGCAGGTTCACTTCTGATAGGGCAAAGGGAAGACTTGAGCCAAGATTGCCATTTTCTTCCTAAATTTGCCAATCAAATAAGATAGAGTAAGCAATGTTAATTGAAGTCTTCCCACAGGAAGGCAATGTGTGGAATGGAGAAGGCTGCTTCAGCAACATCCTCTCCCATGCACCTTAAACGTCTCTTTCTTTCTCAGCTCCTTTCTGGAGTTAAGATGGAAAAAACTGGTGTGTGCTTATTGATGTAGCCAACAAGCATACATCAGTTTTTTCCAACTTAACTCCAGTATTTTCCCCAATTCATCCTGAAATTGCTGCCCTATCCATTCTCCCTCCTACACAGCCAAGATTCTTAAAAAACCAATCCAAATTTGCAGAATCTCCTCACTCATTTCTAACACATTTCTCAAGGGTTTTGACTTCAAAACTCAAGTAGAGTTTTGACTTCTACTCTCACCAGTGCATAGCAGTTGCCTTGGCAGGGGCCCCCAGTGACTTCCTGCTCATCAAAGCCAATGGACCTCTGGTGGTTTTAAGTTGAACTAACTTCTCTTTAATATTTAACCCTCCTGTACACTTCATTCCTCCAGAAAGGATCACTTATTTCCAGGCTTCATCGTTGATTCCTCTTGCCATGTTCACTATCAATGCTTTCCAGGACTCCTCTCAAATTTGATTAGTTTTATTCTGTTTACTCTTGGGTGAATTTTTTTTTCTTTGAGCTTTAACTGTCACCTCTTGCTAGTCACTCCTGAATATTCAGCTGGAGTCCAGACCTTTGTCTTGAATTCTAGATCCACATGGTACATTGCACAATCTGGCAATGCCAACCTTTCCACTCTCATATTTTCTACCTGTCTCCCCTTTACACACCCTGACCTAGCTATACTTTCCTGCATTATTCTTTGATCATTCTAAGCTTATTCTTACCCCAGGGACTTTGCACTTACTGTTACTTCTGCCTGGAATGCTCTTCCCCTAGAGGTGTACAAAGCTCATTTCTTTCATGTCTCTGCTTAAGTATCACAGCTTCAGAGAGTTCTTCACTCACCACTCCCACCTCTGTTTACATTTTATCGTAGAATTTATCACTATTCAAGTGTGTGCGTGAAGTGGGTGTGGTGTGTGAGCACACATATATGTGCTGATCCTAAAATAATTAAGTTCCTCAAGGGCAAGAACTTTGAATTATTCACTGGCATATCCCTAGTACCTATAATATGGATGCTAATGACACTTGTTTAATGGGTAAATGTTTGCTTGAAATTTGTCTTTATGACTCATCGTCTCTCACTAACTCCTACAAAGTGGTTTGTTACTAACATCCCTGTTTATGAATTTAATCTCAAATTTCTCTATTTAGTTTTCTCCTAAGTAACAATTTCAACAATTGAGGCTGGAATTTTATTTTCTTATAAGATTAGCTCAGAAAGCTAAATAAAACGCTTTGGGTTTTCTCATCAGAAAAAAGAAAGCTCAGGTGCACCGAGACTGGCCCCACAGTGTTTGCAATCGCTGTCATGATTGGGTTTCTGCAAGCTGGCCCCATGGGACAACTTCATCTTTCCTTTTCTGCCTGACGTCTTGCAATTGGGATTCCCGCTAGTACTGCCCTAAATCCTGGCAAGAAGACCTCTTGCTTTGAGCCCTATGCTTTAGAGAGCTCCACTCTCATCCTTCTTTGTTCCTTTCCCTCCCCATTAAGCAAGAAGTCCTTGGGATAAGAGAATAAAACCATCTGGACCCCATATATCTTCCTTCTGGAACACATTCCTGATACATGAGACCTCAGAATTCTCTGCCCAAATGGTCACAATTAAACTTCCAAGGCTTGTGGCCCTCTTTCTGAGGTCTTTCCTCTCTAGAGTGAAGTATGCTGACTGTGTGTGCCCACTTGAGCCAAGTGATGGTCAAATCATTACTGTTTCAAGGACCACGGGTGAAGCTTTAACTTACGTTCTTGGTTGTACACTGGACTGCTTGTGGTAGGAACTGGAGGTGGGAAGAGACCATTTTTCAGTAGATTTCTGGAAGTCTAAGGATTCTGAATTTGGGTATATTTGTGGAAGTAGCAATGTTTTAACTAGTGATGCTAGCTTGATATATAACTCATACATTGGATGTATAATCTATGTGGGCCTCCATTTGTACTCTTGGCCAAGGCAATGCTGATATTAGGGGTGAGCCTGGTTCCACAACTGTCTTCATAGAACTGCTGCCTTAGACTTATGTCTGTGTGGATGCACTGATTCTAGATGAGGTGTTTGCACTTTTTTTTTTTTTTAAAAAGACCTGAGTTTTTACATAACCAAAATCTTACCTGGAAACCCAGCATATAAATATAGATATAAAATGAATATATAAATATAAAGATGTTAAATAAGTATATAAATATAGATGTAAAAGGACTCTGGCTAACCACAGGAATGAAAGGCTCAGGGCTCTGTTGGCTCAGGGACTCCCCACTTTCGTCTCCTCCCTCCCTTTCTTGAGTAGCCTTGAGGCACAGCCATGGAACTCCAGGACTTCACGGGCAGACACAGTTCAAAAATTAGGGCTTTGATCAGCTTCTCACATTGGCATTTAGTGCACTTATGTTCCATGGAATGTCCTTGGAATAGTGCTATTTAAACAAGCTTGGCAGAAGCAGGGCACTCTTAGACCCCATCAGCAATCTCCACGTCCCGCAAAGTGAAATTCCTGCAGAAGAGAGACTGGTTTACCTTGTATAACCCAGAGTTTCTCTAGCATATCTTACCATGCAATTCTCTGCTCACAGAAGTCCTTTTAATAACTTGGTGAAATGTTATCTAAGACAATCCCCTAATGTGAAACAGAGCTACATTCCCATAAAATCTAGTCACTTATTTTTTCCCCTATAAAAGTTTAATGAGTAATTATAAATGATTAATATAAAATTTAGATTTAAAGGGATATAGCCCTTTAGAAATATTGTGATAAATCTCTCTGTACATTAAAACTATTTATTTTCACTACCTTAATTTTGTATTATGTATTTTAATGCTGTATTTAAAAATGTCTTTCAGCCAGGAATAGTGGCTCATTTCTGTAAACTCAGTGCTTTGGGAGGCTGAGGTGGGAGGGTCACTTGAGGCCAAGAGTTCAAGACCTGTCTGGGCAACATAGCGAGACCCCTTCTCTACAAAAAAATAAAAAAAAAATTACCCAGATGTGGTGGCATGTACCTGTAGTCCCAGCTACTTGGGATGCTGAGATGGGAGGGTCACTTGAGCCCAGAAGTTTGAAGTTACAGTGAGCAATGATTGTGCTACTGCAATCCAGCCTGAGAAACAGAGTGAGAGTCTGTCTGTTAAAGGTTTTTTTTGCTCTGTGGAGAAATGTCTAGCTTTCACTCATTTATTAAAAAATTCCGTAAGCCCTATTCACAGCTCCTGGCTTATTCTTGTAACTACCTCTGTAACTGGAATTCTATGTCTTTGCTGCAAATTCTGATCATAATAGCAAAAGATTTATTATGTTCTGATAATCTCAGGCTGCCAGAGTTCCTGGATATTGTTTGGATGTATGAGAACTAATTTTCCATTTAAATAGCTACTGTCTGCCATCTTCAACTTGGTGTTCAGCTGGAAGATAGAGACTAAACACTATATTAAGTCCACACAGTGTTTAGATTGGAAGTGGGATGGGTGGTCCTTCCCTACTGTCTCTTTCAGATTAGAAGACTCTTAGTCACTGCCTTCTTGTCATACCTGTATTGATATTCTTCATTAATTTCATGTAATACTTATATCAGACACAATGGGATATTTAGCTTCCAGCTCTTCTCAGATGCTAATGGTAACTTCAGTATTTGATTTTTCATCTGACCTATGTTTTTTGCACAGGAGGCCATGAAATAAAAAGCTTTTATTTCCTTTTCAGCTTTAAAAGGGTTACAGACAGATCAAGAAAAAAGTACAGTTTCTTTTGCTTGCTTTTAATAAGTTCTCAGAATATGACAAGATGCTGCGGATCATCAGTTCCTTCCTGCAGATGCCTCTGACCCTTACTATGCCCTCTAACATCCCACCCTGGGCTTCTCTGCCATTGCAGTCTGGGTGCCAGGTGCCTGGAAACCCACCAGGGCTCACATATGCATAAGCTGGAAGGCACTGGGGGTGTTAACACTTGGGGCATGACCTTTGATCAATGGGTTTTGGAAACTGGTGAATAAATGTTTCTTCCTCTATTCACAGTTCTAAAACATATTTCATATGGCTTGTCAAATAGTCCTTCAGGACTGAGAAGCCAATTACCCACAGTGGAGGCCAACTTGCCAATGCCCATTTCTAGGGACCCTTCCTCCTTGCTCACTTGCTGACACTGTCATTCACATCCTCTCCTTGGAATCATGTATCTCAGGAAAACAATCACACGTAAGTCTTTGCCTCAAGCTCTGCTTTCAGGGACACCCAAGCTAAGATAGTAATTAAGTTATAGCTATGTTTACTATATTTTACAAATGTGGGTTAAAAAAGTGAACCATCATTTTATGATTCTGAATGTGTTTATGAAATAAGTTTAGAGAGGTATGAGCATTGAATCACATTTACTTATACATTTAATAATTCTCCTAAGGCTGGGCACAGTGGCTCAACTGAGGCCAGGAGTTCAAGATCAGCTTGGGCATCATAGCAAGAACCTATCTCTACAAAAAATAAATATAAATAAATACATTAACTGGGCATGGTTGGATTGATAGAGCCCAGGCATTCGAGACCAGCCTGGGCAATATGGCAAGACCCTGTCTTTCTTATATTCAAGAAATAAAAATAATTCTTTTATAAGTGGGATAGTCTCAAAACTTTATCCATTAATTCTTCCTTCCATCTCTATTTGTTTATTTATTTTTTTAGAGTTGGGGTCTTGCCCTGTTGCTCAGAGTGCAATGGTGCTATCATGGCTCTCTGCGGTCTCAACTTCCTGGGCTTAAGCAATCCTTCCACCTTAGCCACCTCAGCCTATAAGCATGCACCACCATGCTCAGGTGATTTATTTTTATTTTTAGTTTTTGTAGAGATAGGTTTTTGCTGTGTTGCCCAAACTGATCTTGAACTCTTAGCCTCAAGCAATCTTCCTGCCTTGGGCTCCTAGCTTCCTGCTGGGATTACAGTCATAAGCCAGCATGCCTGGCCTCCATCCCTCATCTTTAAGACCATTCTGAAGATCCAGAAGGTGGAAGCTGCTTGCTGGTGATGTGAAGGACATTCATTTGATGAAACTCAAAAATATGAGTGACCATAGCATAAGAATCCTGGTCCTAGACTCATTGGGTACCATCATAGACATTCTCTCTGGACGTTTGCTTTCCTGCTCCACAATATATGTTGATGCTCTCTACCGACCTGCATAAATTACAGACAGATATATATCAACATTTATTCCCTTGGCTAGCATTTTATTTTTTATATACTACAGAAATAACAAAGAGGACAAAAAAATAAATAATGAAGTCAGGGTGAAGGAAAAGTGAGGGTAAAAAAAATAATACCCATATACATGTCATAGGCTCTGTGTAATGACTTCAAGAGCATTACAACTGGATGTGTGCTTCCTGCTAGCCAAAACAAAGGCAAAAATTAGTACAGTAGTATCCATAAAATAAAAATTTACCTGCTTCCTAGGAGATTCAGAGCTTGTCTTATACCCAGATCTGAGAAGAGTTTCTTAGGAGGTTCCACAGAGAGGTATTATATGCCTGGCCGATTAACACTCTCCATGACATCCCTGCTGCACAGGCAAAGAGGATGTCATAGGCCTGTTTCTTTTTGCATCCCTCAGTGTTGCTTAGGCAACTCCCTGATGGTCTCATTGACTGAGTAAGGGATGGACAGCTCCCCCTATCCTCCCCCTTTTTTTTTTGAGATGGAGTCTCACTCTGTCGCCCAGGCTGGAGTGCAGTGGCGTGATCTCGGCTCACTGCAAGTTCCGCCTCCTGGGTTCACGCCATTCTCCCGCCTCAGCCTCCCAAGTAGCTGGGACTACAGGCGCCCACCACCACGCCTGGCTAATTTTTGTATTTTGAGTAGAGACGGGGTTTCACTGTGTTAATCAGGATGGTCTCGATCTCCTGACCTCACGATCTGCCCACCTCGGCCTCCCAAAGTGCTGGGATTACAGGCGTGAGCCACCGCACCCGGCCGGACAGCTCCCCTTTTTAAAATTTTTTGTAAAAATGGGATCTCACTATGTTTCTCTGGCTGGTCTCAAACTCCTGGTCTCAAGCGATCCTCCTGCCTTGGCCTCCCAAAGCACTGGGGTTACAGGTGTGAGCCACCATGCCCAGCAAAGAGCTCCTTTTTGAGGCAATATTCCACAAATGTTATTTCTTCCTTGTGGACTTTTGATGAGAATTGGGCTAGCCTGGAATATGCCCTGGGACTACACTCTAAGTATAAGTAGGCACAATATCAATTAGATATGTATCTCCTCGTGTGATAAAAACTTAAACTCTATAGTGCTGTTTCAGGTTTTTGGGTGAAAAAATTATAGTAATTTGGTCAACAAGGAGACGGGACCACATTATCTGGACAGCAGAGTCCTTTCTTCCTTTTGTCAAAAGGAGTAAAGGCCACACTTCTATTAACACGTTGATTAGTTTGCTTTGCATTTAGTTGAACATTATTTCTTTTTCTTTGTATTTTTTGTAGAGATAGGGGTCTCACTCTGTTGCCCAGGCTGGTCTTGAATTTCGAGGCTCAAGCAATCTTCCCACCTCGTCCTTCCAAAGTGCTGAGATTTCAAGTGTGAGCTGCTGCGGCAGGCCAGTTGAATATTTATGTCTCTGTCTTGGTGACAGTTAATGTGGGGATCTGAGCTGTCAAATGCTGTCACTACTGAAAACATTTCCTAACTCTTTTCAGGGCCCTGGGCTGTTTGCTTGGGGGATTCTTCCTGAAACCCTGGGCCAATAGAAATCTGTGTTTTCAGACTCTGCTGTGAAGTGGAACCTCTAGGAATGGGTGCGACTCAAAGAGCATAAAGATGTGCGTTGTTTCTTGGGTTGGTAGTGATTTCCATGCCATCAAGAGTGTCACAATCATTTCTCACAGTCTCTGTGTGACACTCTTGATGACACGGAAATGAAATTACTATAATTTGTTCACACAAAAACCTGAAACAGCACTATAGAGTTTAAGGTTTTATCACATGAGGAGATGCATATTTAACTGATATTGTTTCTAGTAAGACTTAAGGTGTATTCCCAGGGCATACTCCAGGCTAGCCCAATTCTCATCAAAAGTCCACAAGGAAGAAATAACATTTGTGGAATATTGCCTCAAAAAGGAGCTGTTTGCTGGGCATGGTGGCTCACACCTGTAGCCCCAGTGCTTTGGGAGGCCAAGGCAGGAGGATCGCTTGAGATCAGGAGTTTGAGACCAGCCAGGGCAACATAGCAAGATCCCATTTCTACAAAACATTTTAAAAAGAGGAGCTGTCCATCCCTTGCTCAGTCAATGAGACCATCAGGGAGTTGCCTAAGCAACACTGAGGGATGCGAAAAGAAAAAGGCCTATGCCATCCTCTGCCTGTGCAGCAGGGATGTCATGGAGGGTGTTAATTGGCTAGGCATATAATACCTCTCTGTGGAACCTCCTAAGAAACACTTCTCAGATTTGGGTATAAGGCAAGCTCTGAATCTCCTGGGAAGCAGGTAAATTTTTATTTCATGGATACTGTGACTACTATACTAATTTTTGCCTTTGTTTTGGCTGGCAGGAAGCACACATCCAGTTGTAATGCTCTTGTAGTCATTACACAGAGCCTATGACATGTATTTGGGTATTATTTTTTTTACCCTCACTTTTCCTTTGCCCTGACTGACAGTGTCAATTGTCTGTCCTGTTTTATGATAAATAAGCTGACAGATATGTATGTGAAGGAAGAGTTCTGCAGTGAAACTTCTCACTGAGGAATTTTTAAAACTGATTTTTAAGTAACAAATAATTGTGTATGTTTATGGGACACAATGGGATGTTTTGATCTATTGTGCATTACAGAAAGATTCAGTCAAGCTAATTAATATAGCCATCACCTCACCAATTTGTGATTTTTTTTTGTGGTGGGAATGTTAAAAATCTATTGTGGCAATTGGAAATATACCATACATTATTGTTAACTGTGGTCAACATTCAGTGCAATAGATCACTAAAACATTCCATTGAGGATTAAAACAATTTTTTTCCAAGATGGCTCTTTTCTTGACTTTGATCTATGGTTTTAAACCTTTCAAAACTGACTCTAATTTCAAATTTTCTGTAAGGCTTTCTCTGACCTCTTCTGATTGAGTACAAATTTTCTTCCTCCAGGCTCCAGTGGAGCTTTATGCAAACCTTTATTTTAGAATTTATTATAGTTACCTGCTGTCATTCAATACTTGAGGTCAGAGACCAATCCTTTTCCATCTCTGTAAGCCTGTTGTCTTGCACAATATTTGAAAATGGGCCTTATAGAGTTCTTTAATGTGACCTGCCTATAGTGATCAATTTATTCTGGAACTTTTCTTTTCTTGTAAGGGATTACCTTATATATAAGATCCTATTGTAGAAACCAACAGTTATCTTTTGATAGACAATGAAAACCCCATTTGACCTTCCTTAATCTTCTAAGAAACCAAGAAATTTTCTGCTCATATGAGAACCATACAGCAAAAGTAATGAAGTCATGTGTTTGTAATGGGATAGATGATTCCATATTGCTCTTGTCTTTCCCGAATGATACCTTAAAAGCCGATATTAAAAGGATGTAAGTATTGTGTTTCCAAATAGCATTGCATTATTGTGCAGGATCATTGTGTTGACAGTTGGAAACTCATGAAAAGCTACAGTCACTGCAAAGTAGCCCCTCAGCTCTGCAGAAGCTAAATGGACCTTACCATAGGGTGTATTCCAGCTATCAAGTGGCCTATGCCAAGCAGTAAAGATGCCGTCTGTTGACAAGTAAAGCCATCGACCCTAAGTCTTTGCTCTGGAGTAGCTGTGTCCATCTTCTTCCTCTACTAACCTCTGCTTAACTGAGCTGTATCATAGATACAGCTTCCACTACTAACTGATAACACAGGACTATCACCACCTGAGAGTTAACAGTAGGCTCAGAGGGGAGAATGATTATGATCTTTCATGTATCCTAAAACACCCTCCATGACATGAAACTTAAAGTATTAAATTTTATTAAAACTTAAAGTATAATTAAAAAAAAGAAAAGATGCTCAATGATTATTTGAATAAATTTTTGGTGAGTAAATACAGATTAATGCCTCAGTTTTTCCTTCTGTGAAATGCTTTTATTAACTTTTTTGAAGGATAAAATAAAAATAGAAATATCTGCACAGAATCTAGAATAGCTAAAACAATTTCGAAAAGAATAAAGTGGGAGGAATCACTTTACCTGATTTGAACATGTTAAATATCTACTCTAGATCAAGGCAGTGTGATATTGACAAAGAGACAGACACATAGATCAATGGAACAGAATAGAGAATCCAGAATCAGACCCACACAAGTATGCCCAAGTAATTTTTAAATTAAAAAATTTCAGTTTTACTAAAAACACAACATAAAATGGGTCATCTTAACTATGTTTAAGTGCACAGTTTGCTAGTGTTAAGTACATTCATGTCGTTGTGCAACAGATTTCTAGAACCTCTTCTGCCCAGCTAGTTTTTGGCAAAGAGGCAAAAAGCAATTCAATGCAGGAAAGACAGTCTTTTTAATAAATGGAACTATAGCAATTGGACATCTATAGGCAAAAAAAAAAAAAAAAAAAAAGAACTAGACCTAAACCTTACACTTTACACAAACATTAACTCAAAATGGAACATGGACTTAGACATAAAATGCAAAACTATACAACTTTTAGGAAAAAAAGGCCCCAGGGGTTGGTGAGGAGTTCATAGACTTGACACTAATAATATGATCCAGAAAAAGAAAAATTGGTAAATTGGACATCGTTAGAATTGAAAACTTTGCTCTGTGGAAGACCCTGTGAGGGGGACAAAGAGACAAGCTAGTGGATAGGAGGAAATATTTGCAAACCACATATCTCATAAAGTACTAGTATCTAGATTAATAAAGACTCTCAAAAGTCAGCAGTGAAATAACACACAATCCAATTAGAAAATGGGCAAAAGGTGTGAACAGACATTTCACAGATGAGGCTGTACAGATGGTAAACAAGCACATGAAAAAGATGATCGTTAGCCATTAGGAAATGCAAATCAAAACCACAAAAATATATCAGTACATACCTATTACAATGGCAAAATAAGAAGTAGTGACAACACCAAATGCTGATGAAGATACAGAGAAACTGGATCACTCATACATTGCAGGTTGGCATGTAAACTGGCCAGCCACTCTGGGAAAGCACATGGCAGTTTCTTTAAAAACTAAACATGCTTTTACCATATGATCCAGCAATTGCACTTTTGGGCATTTATCTCAGAGAGATGAAAACTGTGTTCACACACAGACATGTACACGAATGCTCATAGCAGCTTTACTTGTAATAGTTAAAAACTGGAAATGCAATGGCTCAGGCCTGTAATCCCAGCACTTTGGGAGGCTGAGGCAGGAGGATTGCTTGAGCTCAGGAGTTTGAGACCAGCCTGGACAACACAATGATACCTTGTCTCTACAAAAAATACAAAAATTAGCCAGGCATGGTGGTGCACATCTGTGTTCCCAGCTACTCCAGAGGCTGAGGTGGGAGGATTGCTTGAGCCCGGGATGTTGAGGCTGCAGTGAGCTGTGGTCATGTCACTCTATCCTGGTTGACAAAGTGAGACTCCATCTCCAAAAAAAAAAAAAACCCAAAACAAAAAACTGGAAACAACCCAAATGTCCATAAATGGGCTAATGATTAAACAAATGGTGGTATGTCCATACCATAGAATAACACTTAGCAATAAAAGGAATAAACTACTGAAATACTTAACAACTTGAATGTATTTCAGGGGAATTATGTGAGTGAAAAAAGCCAGTCTCAAATGTTAAATACAGTTTGAGTCCATTCATATACTGTCTTAAAATGACAAAATTATAGACATAGGAAGCAGATTAGTGGTTTCTGGGGGTTAGGGAGAGGAGAAGGAGGGAGGTGGTTGTGACTACAAAGTGGTGGCAGGAGAGATTCATGTGAATCTTGACTGTGATGGTGGTTCCTGAACCTGAACATGTAATAACATTTAATGGAACTAAGTAATACACATATGCACACAGAGACATATACCACTTGAATGAGTGCATATAAAATTGGTGAGATCTGAATAAAGTAGGTGGATAATAGCAATGTCGATTTCCTGGTTTTGATGTTGTATTATATTTATAAAAGATGTAACCAGTGGAGGAAACTGAGGAAAGGGGAGATGAAATCCTTCTGTATCATTTTTTTAACAATTGCATCAAAATTTGCAATTATCTCAAAATAAAAGGTGAAAAAAATATTGGCCTAGGATGCAAAGTCCTCTGCTACAAATAAAATTTAGTGTAATCCCATTTTAGCTGGGGCCTAATAATAATCAACCGTGTTTCAGAGTTGCAGTGTTTGAGAAGATTAAGGAATTCACAGTCTAGCTGGGAGGAAATCTGCAGCTTCTAGAGCTGCACTGTCCAATAGACATTTCTGTGATGATGAAAATGTTCTCTATCTGTGGTGTCTAATACTGTAGCCACCTGTGCTGTCCAGTGCTATGGCCACCATCAATGTATGTGGGTCGTGAACACTTGACGTGTGGTTAATGTGACTTAGAAACTGAATTTTCAATTTTATTTAATTTAAAATAATGAACATTTAAATTTATGTAACACATGTGGCTGGTGCTACCATATGGAATGGTGTCATTTTAAAGAAGCAGTGGGTTCAGAAAGTGGGAAGGAGCTTTTTGAACATTGGTAGCTGAAAGGAGTCGACGCAAACCATGTTTTCTCATTGAAGGGGAAGTTTAGAACAGGAGAAAACTTTTGGTTAGAATTTTGGAAGTTACTAAGTCAAGTGACTTACAAAAAACAAGACTTGGAGAGTGTGTGTGGTGGCTCATGCCTTGTAATCCCAGTGCTTTGGGAAGCTGAGGCAGGAGAATCGCTTTGGCCCAGGAGTTCGAGGCTGCAGTGAGCTATAATTGTGCCAGTGCATTCCAACCTGGATGCCAGAGTGAGATCCTGTCTCTAAAAACAAACACTCCCACCCCTAATAGACTTGCAAGGGAGAGGTGAACCCAAGAGATATGACTTTTCCTGTGACCTAGGGTAATAATGGCTTTGCACTGGGATTGGTGAGCATAATAGTGGACTCTGAAGGAGAACTACACCAGACCACATCAACATCTTGTATAATATGGTTGGTGCAAAAGCGGTTGCGGTTTTTGCCATTAAAAGCAATGACAAAGACCACAAACATTTTTGTACCAACATAATAAATCATACTGGTCCAAGCTGAATGGCATGTAACTCTGAATCCCCCAACTGGTATAGCATATGTGTCCTGCGGCCCTTTACTCTTACCAGTGTCAGAAGTATGGAGCATAGAAAGGCTGTGGCCTGTGGCCCCAGTTGCTAATGGCTCTGACTGTACCCATGAGAGTTGGGGCCTCTCTCTGGGCCTCAATAGAGGATTGGACTTTTGGTACTTTCCGACTCTCAGGTTTTGTTTGCTTGTTTATCTATTTTAGCATGCATACTTCATTCAATTCAGCACATCTGAGGATATTCTATTGACAGAGCGCTTCCATGGGCAAAGTGCCACAGAATGACTGTGACCTTTAGATGCAGAGACTCTTCTCCCATCTCAAAAACTGAAAGTGGAATGCTATGCAAATAGCAAGAAATCAGATGAGAAGTCTGTTTGGTATATGATCCGTACTGTGATACTATGAATGCAATATTTGTTTAATTAAAAAAATTATAAGAAAACCCAGACTTAATCCAGGGATGATTTACTCTAAAAGACAAATTTTTCCTAGAGTGCTTTGGAGGGTCTTAGCTTAACAGAGAAGTGTGATTGCTTATTAGATAGTTTGCATATGGGGGCATATTTATTTATTTATTTATTTTTGCTAAGAAGCTCTGCTCTATCCCTCTGAATGCCTGCAGCACAGCTCTAAACAAGATATTCCCTCAGGGTCTCTTGCATTGACAGAACTAGGAAACATCTTATAATTTCTTCTGGCTTCTGGAGTGACATTTCTAGGATTAGTATTCAAAGGAGAATGCTTGCAAAAGAGAATGCATGCATAGACTTCTTTTTCTTAGGGAGCTCAGAGAACTTAATTGTCACTTTTCTGTGAGTCTCACAAGTGGTGCTGAGGCTTCTCTCTCCCTATTGTGTACTAAAGGCCCCGATCCCCTAGATAGACCTGTTGAACGTCCCTCTGCTTTCTCTACTAATTAGATCTCCTCTCTTGAGTTCAAAGTCTCACATTTACAAATAGAATGGTGTGCAGATGGAGAAGACAGAACTCTTTGAAGGAATTAAGTCCTGGAGGTCCCCAAGGAAACGTTGGTGAGATAGCTGTTGGCTGTTATTCAGGAGTTAGCAGACTTCATTTGGAAAGTTTCATGGCCAAAAATCCTTACTTGATGTGTGGCTGCAAGCATGGTACCTGTAAACACAGACCAGGGAACGAATGGATTTCACATGTACTACTCGATTTGTGTTTACCTTTTCTACAGGTGAGCTTGGACCACCTCAAGAGCAGAGTACTGGGGTGGCTGAGGGGCTTGGCATAGCTGGCTTCACATTCGTGTAATATCATGTATATTACACGATGTCATTTAGAATTTAAAATTTTATTTTAGCTTCTGGCCAAACAACTGTTAGTCAAATTCTTATCCACAAACATGTATGCCTTTAAGTAAAAGAAATTAACTATGAAGATTAATGTGGGACTTAGCCGGGTTTTTTAATGAGGAGCATGGTACCTAAACCTGTGTCCCAATCAGCTGAGACAGCTGCTGCTGCTGCTTTGTCATTTTTGCTCTTGGACTTTCTTGGACTTTGAAGTCTCTCTTGGTTTGAAGATTAAAGAGAGAGAGAGAGAGAGTGTGTGTGTGTGTGTAGTGTTTTGGGGAAAGGTAGAGGAGAATAAGAGGAAACCACTTTGGGTTTTTCTCTCTGGGTTTGCTGGCTTGTGTCTCCTGATTTATTAATTTCTTCAGACCAATTTCCTTTTTGGCCACTATATTATGTCTTCTCAGCAATGAATCTTTCCATGATATGGGGAAGATAGCAGTGGGATGAAGGAATCCAGTTATTTTAATGGTGCAGACACCTTTTTAAAGATTTGACTTGCTTTCATTAAGTCATTTTAGAGGTGATGAAGAAAGTGTAGATTATTGCTTAAGATACTCTCAACTTGTGTCCTAAAAATGAATTTTATGCTGAAATGGACAGCAGTGATGTGCCATTAAGAATTATAGATGGTAACATTGAAAAAAAAACAGTAGAAAATATGCATATTTCTACTGGTTATTCTTTTCAATGTTACCATCATGCATTCTTTATTGTGTCACTAGAATAAAGCCGAGTGATTGCAGGGATCATGTATCGAGCTGTTAATTTTCATTGCCTTTGACCTTCATTAATTACCTGTTTCAGAAATGAATTTTCTCATGTCCATTCTTAATCCTACAGAGAATTGTAGATGAAGTTTTAGGAAAATTTGCTCAGTTGTTTGGGAGATATCCAAATGCAAAAACAGAAAAAGTATTTGTCAGCTATTCAAAAAATTATTCAGATCTTCTGTTGTACTCAGAAACCTTGAAAATAGATCAATTTACATATGACATTTATTATAGTTATTTATAGCTTGATTTACAAAATATGCTCAGCATGCAAACTTGCTGGGTGCATACTGAAAGAAAGAATACTTAAAGGCATTTTAAGCTAAAGATAAAGTTTAAGCTGAACTCATGCACATGTTGGTGGAATGTGCATGTTTTTGAATGGGATATGTTTTGTCTATAAAAAAGATAAATGAATATGCCTTTATTAAAGTAAATGATTACAGGTTGAAGCCTTCAAATGAAGGCTTTTATCTTTAATTCTATTATTTATCTCTTTAAATTCTAGTTTAGATTGAGTAATACCAGGCACTGTAGGAAATGTAAGATATAAGACATGATTTCTTTTAGGTTCTTGCAGTTTAATTAGGGAGATATAAATAGCATGTGTGAAAACATTGCTGTATACGAGGCAGCGTGTAATCAGGAGGTGCATTGTGAGGTATGGGTTGTAATTACCAGTGAACTTTAGAAAAGGAAGAGAAGAATGTGGATTGGAATAATCAGACGGAAGAGCTGGTATACCGGTTGTGTCAACTTGAGTGATTTAAAATTCAAGCTTTCTAGATTCATTTGGCCCTCGAATGAATGAATGAATGAATGACCAATCCCTTCTTTTCTTTGGTTGGATCTCCTTCTAGAACTCTTTTTCATTTTATCCTTTCTGTTTCTTAACCTCTTCCTGATAGTTTCATCTGTTTTTGTCTCTTTGAGATTCAATTGAGCAATTTCCTCAGATCTAGCTTTTTGTACACCAAATCTCTCTTTTCCTATGTTGACCTTGCTCTTTGATGCATTTGCTGAATTTTATAATTTCGATGGCTATACCTATTTTTTATTCTTAGAAATTTTACTTATTTTCTTATTTTCTTATTTTTTTTTTTTGAGATGGAGTCTCGCTCTGTTGCCCAGGCTGGAGTGTAGTGGTGCCATCTCAGCTCACTGCAACCTCTGCCTCCCTGGTTCAAGCGATTCTCCTGCCTCAGCCTCCCAAGTAGCTGGGATTATAGGCGCCTGCCACGAGGGCTGGCTAACTTTTTGTATTTTTAGTAAAGACGGGGTTTCACCATCTTGGCCAGGCTGGTCTTAAACTCCTGACCTCGTGATCTACCTGCCTTGGCCTCCCAAAGTGCTGGGATTACAGGCGTGAGCCACAGAGCCCGGCCCACTTATTTCCAATGTATCTTCCTTCTCAGCTTTTTCTTTCCTGATTTTAATTTTTAAACAGTGTATTACTCTGAAGTTTTTTTTCCGTATCTTCTTTTATGTCCTTAATCATTTTAAACATAATTATTTTATGGTTTAACTTGAATTGTTTAATTATCTGAATTTACTGAAGATTAACTCTGCAGTTTATTGTGCCTTGGGTGGACAGATTCCTGGTATGCTTATAAACTATTACTTGTGATTTACAGTTATCGAGCTCCAAGTTCATCTTCCTTGGCACTTTATTCATGGGACTTCTATGTGGCTTGTATTGGGGCATAGCCAATACAGGGTTGCTTTGCATTCATATTCCAAGGTATTAACAACCTGGGACAAAATTTTATGTTGGTTTCTTTTTTTTTTCTTTGTTTTTGAGACGGAGTTTCACTCTGTCGCCCAGGCTGGAGTGCAGTGATGCGATCTCGGCTCACTGCAACCTCCACCTCCCGGGTTCAAGCAAGTCTCTCACCTCAGCCTCCCGAGCAGCTAGGATCACAGGCGTCTACCACCACGCCCGGCTAATTTTTGTATTTTTTTAGTGGAGACAGGGTTTCACCATGTTGGCCAGGCTGGGCTCGAACTCCTGACCTCAGGTGATCTGCTTGCCTCAGCCTTCCAATGTGCTGAGATTACAGGCATGAGCTACCACGCCTGACCTATGGTGGTTTCTTAGATTGAGAGTTAGTACATTACATGGCAGCCCAGACCCAGATACATGAGCTCCTAGGGCAGACTGTTTTTTCTACCCAAGGCTAGGCCTGAGACAGACAACTTTTTTTTTTTTAAAGTCTGCCTGGGCTGATGGTTGGTTTTTTCCCCCCTTTTTTCACCTTTTTATAAGGGTGGATTTTAAAGGATCCTAGCTTTACACAGAGGCCCGAATTCTAATCCCCATGTGGACAAAAAACCAAATCCCCAGGGTATCAATAACAAGGCCCATCCCCCTTCCCTGCCTTGGGAAGTGACGTTAGCTTGAAGGCTTTTTGGTTTTCAGCTCTTTTTTGTATCTGGAATTTGAGAATTTTATTTTCTTGCACATTCACCTATACTTTTAAAGAATGGCTTTTATATTTTATCCAGGATCTTTAGATTATATTGTAGAAGAATTCATTTCTTACTATTCTCCCCAGGAGGAGTTTTTTTAAACCTTCTTTCCCTGTTGCACTTCAGGTCTGCAACGATCCTTTACTTTCCAAAATTATCAATGAATCACTCTTTTGGGGGCATCTTTCTGTGTGCCTAATCCAAGTACAGATCTCTTTTATTTGGAAAAAGTTTTCACTTGACTCTCTGCCTTTTCTTCTTTCTGACCTAATTCTTTTCTGCCATTCACAATCGAAGCCATTGATAGTGTTCTAATAATACATTGCTCACTGTATTGTCTGATGATCAGCTCATTTCTGAATGTCTTATGACTTTCCTCTCTAGCACTCACCCAAAACCATTCTCTCCACTGTCACCAATGACAATGTATGCTATATCCAAAAGGCTTTTCTCCTCCCCCAGATCTCATATATTACTTTGCTTCTCTGAGGCTTCTGTGTTGATTGTCTCCTATTTTAAGTCTTATTTCTCTGATGCTTATGATGTAAGACTCTTCTAATTCTCCTCTGGTTCTCCTTCTACTGATGTAGGTCTACTCTCCTCCGACTTCTTCCTTAAATTCTTTTCTTTTCCTCATCCGTTAAATAGGAGTGTCGTTTCTCTTCTTGATCTTATGTTCTTCTTTCTCTATGTTGTCTTTACTTCTATATCACTTTTTTTTTAACAGATGATTCACAAATCTCTATCTTGCATCTCTTGAGCTAAAATCCCTGTTTTTCAGTTGTCTCTCATATACTTTATCCTGGATGTCCTGTTGGTGTGTCAAAATTGTTGGATTTCATACCAAACTCATGCTTTTCTTTTCCAAAATAGCTCATTCTTCTGATTTACTTAATTCTGTCTGTGTTATGACTACTCTTCTCATGGGCTTAAAAGTGATCAGAGAACTCTTTCGTTTTTGTTAAATTTTTCTTTCCAATTTATCTCTGATTTGTCCCTTATTTTCCAATTTTATTGTTTCTCTCTCTGTTTGAACCATGGGCACATTATTTGTCTGGTTTATCTAGCCACAGGTTCGCTTTTCTATAACCCATCCCACCCATCGTCTTTAGATTAGCCTATGTAATTCACCAATGGCCCCATCATTACCTGGCTCAAAAACCTTAAATGATTACCAAATAATAGCAGTATTAATGCCAAATCCCTAACCTGATGGTAGCACAATCCTGGAGAATTTAGTGCCGTTGTTCGAGGTCTGACTTTTTTGCTCTATGACTAATTTGTTTTGTGAACAGCGTGAAATCACAAGTTACCAGGAAATAGTTCTTTTTGCTCTAAAATGAAGTGCTAGGAAAGGAAAAATGGCCAAAAGAGATTTTCCCAAAAGGGCAGAACCAAATGGCCAATAAAAGATGACTAGATGCTCAACCACCATGAAATATCACCAAATACCACCAGAACAGATCATATAAAAAAGATAGGCAATACCACATTTTGACAAGGATGTACAGCAATAGGAATTTTTATATACTGAACAGACAACTCTAGTCCTAGGTGTATTGCCACCAGAAATGTGTACATATATTCACCAAAGGGCACGTACAAGAACGTTCACCACAACACTATTCAAATTAGCCAAAAACTTGAAACTACTTCAATTACCATAGAAGGGGTAAATAGTGGTGTATTCACAAATGGATAACAGTGTTTAGCAGTGAGAATGGGCCAACTGCACAATATGGATGAATCTCACCAACATGATGAAAGAGGCTAGGCACATACAAGTACATGCCATATGACATCATCTCTATAATGTACAAACAAGGGCACAATGAATCCATGCTGTGGTTACCCTTGGTGAGGGGCAGGGGTGGCAACTGAGAGGGAACACAGGAGGGTTCCATGGTGCTAGAAAGCTCTTTTCCCTGGCCGTTGGGCTGGACACAAAGGTGCGTGCAGTTTGTGAACATTAATTGGGATCTGCACTTGTGATATGTACACTTTTTGTATGGATATTATACTTTAATGAGCCCTTTGAAAGTGGGGACTCAGGGACAGAGTGAGACTCCATCTCAAAAAAAAAGTGGGGATTCAGGGTGCTATAGACAAATTGTAGAGTGTAGTAAATTATTCACCTAGTCCCCTTCCCAAATGAGATAACTTTACATCTGTGAAAATGCTACAACTGGCCTGGCATGGTGACTCACACCTGTAATCCCAGCACTCTGGGAGGCCAAGGTGGGTAGATTGCTTGAGGCCAGAAGTTCGAGACCAGCTTGGCCAACATGGCAAAACCCCGTTTCTCTGAAAATACAAAAATTAGCCAGGTATGGTGGCGTACGCCTATAGTCCCAGCTACCCAGGAGGCTGAGGCAGGAGAATTCCTTGGACCCAGGAGGCAGAAGTTGCAGAGATTGCACCACTGCACTCCAGCCTGGGTGACAGAGCAAGTCTCCATAAAAAAAAACAAAAAACAAAAAACAAAAAACAAAAAAAAGAAAAAGAAAAAGAAAATATTCTGACAACCATCTCTCCACATTAATGTCAACGAATGCAGAAACTGTACAATAACTGTGAGTAAAAAGAGAAAAGTCAACAAACACCAGAGCCATTGTCCCACATGCTCCTGCCTCACATGGTGGGGTTTGGAAGCAGGCAAAGGCAGATGAAACAAGCTCAGGGGAACATGCAGAGTGGACGCCAGTGAAGCGGCCTGAGTGTGGAGCGACCCCCAGCAGGATGAAATCCACCTGAAATCTGAAAATATTCAGAGCGTGACAGCAGAGAAGGGATCCGACGTATTCAGCCCTCTTGCTTTTTGAGTTTTTAATAATAACCATTCTGGCTAGGGTAAGATGGTATTTCATTGTGGTTTTAATTTGCATTTTCTTGATGATTAATGATGTTGAACATTTTTCCATATGTTTGTTGGCCATTTGTATTTCTTCTTTGGACTAGACATACTGTTTAAAGGGATAGACATTCTTTAAATGGGAAAATCTGATTTAAAAGGATGGTCTTTTGGGGAGAAAAGCTTCTGGGAGAGAAAAAGGCAAAAGAGAAGGAAGGAAGAAGCATGCTTTGGAACTTGGGTGGTGAAGAGGAAAAGAAAAAAGAGGAATTTTATTGTCCTACAAGACAAAAGAGAACTAAAAACTGGCAGCCTCCTAACCTGCCCATGCCACCAAAACAAACAAACAGATGAAACCCCACTGAAGTACCTGGACTTTTCCAGACAGAAAAGAAATTAAATGAGAAATCTTCTAAAATACTGCAGTATCATAGAAATGAATAAAAGGAAAGTTTTTAGAGAAATAGTTCAGAAAATGAGGGAATGCATTTGCATGCAAATCAACTGAGAAAAAGTCCCTTCCTGAAAAACAACCATGAAGCAGAAGAAAATTGTAGGTCTACGTTCCAAAATGAATTAAATATACAGTCATGCTTCGCTTCACGATGGGGATAAGTTCTGAGAAATGCGTCATTGGGCGATTTTGTCATTGTGTTGTGTGACCATCATAGAGTTTATTTATGCAAGTCCAGATGGTATACTTACTACCCACCTGGGCTGTGTGGTCTAGCCTATTGCTCCTTGGCTACAAACCTGTATAGCAGGTTACTGGACTCAATACTGTAGGTAATTGGAACATAATGGGAAATATTTCTGTATCTAAACATAACTAAATATAGAAAAGGTACAGTAAGAATGCAGCATAAAAATGGGGTACCTGTGTGGGGCACTCCCTATGAATGGAGTTTGCAGGACAGGATGTTGTTTGGGTGGGTCAGTGAGTGAGTGGTGAGTAATGTGAAGGCCTAGGACATTACTGCCCCTTTAGACTAAGCTAACTTTATGAAACAATGTTTCTTCAATCACAAAAGTAACTTTAACTTACTATAACTTTTTTTACTTTATAAATGTTTAATTTTTAAAAGCTTTTTGATTCTTTTGTAATAACACTTAGCTTAAAACACATATTGCATAGCTGTACAAAAATATTTTCTGTCTTTATATCCTTGTTCTATAAGCTTTTTTCTATTTTTATTTTTAAAACTTTTTTCTTAAAAATGAAGACACAAACACACACATGAGCCTAGGCCTACACAGAGTCAGGATCATCAGTATCACTGTCTTTCACATCTTGTCCCACTGGGAGGTCTTCAGGGACAGAAACATGCATGGAACTGTCATCTCCTGTGATAACAATGCCTTCTTATGGAATACCTCCTGAAGGACCTGCCTGAGGCTGTTTTACAGTTAACTTAAAAAAAAATAAGTAGGAGTACACTTTAACGTGATGAAAGTACAGTACAGTAAATACATAAACCAGTAACAGTCATTTAGTATCATGATCGAGCATTATTTATTGCACATAATTGTATGTGCAAGACTTTTATATGACTGGCAACACAGTAAGTTTGTTTATACCCACATTGCCACAAACATGGAATGCATTGTGCTATGACATTGCAATGGCTACGACATCACTAGGTGATAGGAATTTTTCAGCTCCATTAAAATCTTATGGAACCACTGTCCTCTATGTGGTCCATTGTTGACTGAGATGCCATTATTTGGTGCATGAAGGTGAAGCAAGCATTTGAGGATCTGGAATTCAAAAATTAAGAGCAGAAATGGAACAAAAAACAGGGAGAAAAAAAAGAGTTCCTTAAACTCAGGAAAGAAATGGTAGAAAAAGACAAAATTGTCTCAGAAATGAAGAATAAATTACAAGATGTACAAGGGAGAATGGACCAAATGAACATTTAAGAAGGGGCAGGAAAACAGGAAGACACCAAAGAAATGAAAATGAGTAGAGAAAAAGGTAAAAAGTCTCAGAAAGTAGTAAAAATGGAAGACAGGCAAAGAACAAATAATATTCATGTTATCTGAGTCCCCGAAGGAGGAAAATAAAACAAAGGAACAGAACTAACATTTAAAACTGTAATCTAAGAAAATTTTCCAAAAGTAGAAAAAGACGTAAACCCACACATTGAAAGAAGTCATCTGGCAAAATTAATCCAGAAACAATGAATTCTCAGACTTATCCTGGTATAACTATTAGTTCTCAAAAAATAAAGTTCTCAAGGCCTGTCTCCAGGTAAAAAGATGAAATCACTTACACAGACAAATGAATTAGGCTAGCGTCAGATTTTCAAAACCAGTATACAAAGCAAAGCGACAATGGATATTTTCGTATTCCTGTAAATCTCCTGGAGTTTCGCTCTGGGAGGCGTTAGAAACTGTAGATCCTTAGAAATGCGTAGATCCTTTCAGAGCTTGCTTTTTAGATTGTTAGGTGGGTCTGAGCAGTGCTAGTGTAGGGCTAATTATTTCCTACCACTGAGGCAAGATCTTCTTCCGTCCTCTACGTCACGCCCAGTGAGTTTTGAATTTCTCCAATGTGGGTGATGGGAACAGGCACTCTTATTGGCCCTGTGTGAGAGATGCTTTCTCTAACCCTTTTGCCTGGTTCTTTCCTTTGTCTTGAGTAGTTTGTCCATATACATCCATTGATCAGTACTCGGCTAAATGCTCAAGGGGGACCCTTTGCAGATTTCTGGGGTTCTCTATCAAGGTTGAGATAATGGCAGGAGGAAGCCTGAGATAAAATTGGAAAAATAACAGATGTAATTAATTGCTTTGTATCCTGGGTTTGTAGAGCTATTCATTCAGGTCGTATAGTACTGGATCTAAAATACTCAGAAGCTGGGATGAAGTAAGGAATAAAGGACATGACTTTGAGGATTTAATGACCCTAGAAGTCTAGACATACTTTTTCTTGAATTCTGAGTGTTCAGATTCCCTGAACATTTAGATCGAGTTGGATTGCCTCCCTCATTGGAATGAGGTCTCTTTATCATCAGAGCTCCTATTCTGTTTATTCAGACTGTTTTTCTACGAAGGAGACCTGGCAATGTATGTTTTTGTTATGGCTAATGTCATTGCTTCCTTAGGACAGTGGCCAGAGAGATAAATTAGCTGAGTTGACTAAGCTGGAACTAGTGACATTTCCATGCAATCCTATGTTTTTCTGCCCATTCCTTCTTTCATTCACTTAACAAAGAGCAACTGAGCCCCTACTATGTGCTAGGAATTACATTAGGCATCAGGAATATGAAGAAGAATAAGACATGAATTGTGCCCTCGAGATGCTGGCAGCATCCCATGCAGGGCCTGCTCCCCTTATAAGAAAATGAGCACCCCCAGGTAGAAGAGGTGAAATAATGGAAGTTTTTATGGAAAAGAATGTTGGTTTGGGGTGCCATTGTGGTCAGATTAGATCACTGGGTATTAAATTTTGGGGCTGAAATGTCCTACTGTTCTTCACACCAAACGTTCCCTCACTCTATCACAGTGACCTCTCCAGGACTCCTCTTTTACAATGCTACCTGTCCTAGCAGTTTTTGAAGCAATGAATTAAATTTTCAGAGGTGATCAAACCAGGCCTTGGGAAAGTGAGACAAGCAGGAAGGAGGCTAAGATGAGGGCTCATCCTGAAGCAGGAGCAAAATCTGGGAAAGGCAAACCCAGGACAGGTGGTGTTTGGGGGGCCTGGGGCTGTTATGGACCCCAAGAGGGTGCTGGAAGGAGTATTAGGTGGGTGGGGAAGGAGGAATGGGGAAACTATTAATAAATCTACCCATTTCTCATCAGCTATGGCTAAACATTTTGGATTTCAATTTTGATGTACTTCACTCTGGGTTCACCCACCCAGAAGGCAGGAATGGGTGCTTCAGTCCTGTACAAAACTTTCATAGCAACCAGGGTAAGGAATCAGGAAAGGACAGCTTAGGTTCTGCTTTTGGTTAATCAAGGCACACTGATGCACTGGGTAAGATCTGCTTTGAAGCTTAAAAGATGCGTTCAAAACCCTGAGTTTTTACTTACAAACTCCGTAGCTTCTGACATGTTATTTAACCTCTTTGAACCTTAATTTCTTCATCCATAAAATGGGAAGTAATAACACATAGTAAGGATTATCAGTAAGAATTAAAGGAGAGTGTCTCTATAAAGTGCCTTGTATGGTGCCTATTTCATAATAGAAACTCAGCAAATATTTGCTACATTCCTCTGTATACATCCAAAAGCAATTGAAACACAAAACTGGTCTTGTATCCTCCATACCGGCATCTAGCAATTATCCATATAAAAATGTATATGGATGGGCTGGGGTGTGGTGGCTCACGCCTGTAATCCCAGAACTTTGGGAGGGCCGAGGGGTGGGGGGAATCACCTGAGGTCAGGAGTTCAAGACCAGCCTGGCCAACATGGTGAAACCCCATCTCTACTAAAAAATACAAAAATTAGCCTGGCGTGGTGGTGGGCGCCTGCAATCCCAGCTACTCAGGAGGCTGAGGCAGGGAGAATTGCTTGAACCTGGGAGGCAGAAGTTGCAGTGAGCCGAGATCACGCCACTGCACTCCAGCCTGGGCGACACAGTGAGACTCTGTCTTGGGGGGAGAAAAAAAAATAAGTTATGTGGATGAAATCAACTACTCACTCGTCTAGATTGCTACTCAGTCAAGTGGCTTGTTAGTACAAATGAGTTACCTGCTATTGTTTCCACTGGAAAGGACATCTTTATTATGGTGCCTTGTGATTTTCCAGATTAAATCAATCTGGATTATTTTCATTAGGTGTTCCTTTATTACTATTATAGGTATAAGATGCAGGGAGGTAGATTTGGACGGAATGCAACATAGCAGAGATTTTCAAATAATTACTGTTTTCTGAAAATATAATGTCCTGAAGTAAGTTCAGAGTCCTGGTTATGTTCAAGGAGAGGTTAGATTACTACTTATCCAAAATGAAGTGGAGAGTTCGTCCAAATTACTTTCCAAGTATGATGTTTCCTAGACAGATAATTTAAGATTTATTACATCCAATGGAGGGCGGGGGGTGTGGACAGTCTAGTTAGTTATTGAAAAGGTCTTTCTGTTAAGTGAAAAAAAAAATACAAATAGCCAATTTGTAGACAATGGGTAGTATTTTTGGAATGTTGATGAAGAATGTAGATTTTTGTCTTTGAAATGCATGAACATTGGTGAGAAAAAAATTTCTTCAAGTATTATGAAAATGTTCTGATGTTTCAACAACTCAGCCATGGCTACACATTTTGGATTTTTGCTTCTGATTTATTTCACTCCCAAGTTCACCCAGGAGGCGGGAATAAGATGCTTCAGTCCTCTACAAAATTTCCATAGCACCCAGTGTAAGGAATCAGGAAGGAATAGTCGGAAGGTAAATTTGGAAACAGGAATTTTGAAATTATATCTTGACTTAGTCTTTGGTAGGTCACCTAATATAGATATGTCACCTGTAACTATCACCTACCTGTAGATAGTAATGAAAATTGCTGTATTACCTTACCCAATATGATCACTGTGGGACCAAATAGGCAAATTTTTAGGAAAACGGTGTGCCAATTGGCTGGGCCTGTACAAATGTTGGTTGCTATTATCTCAGCTTCACACATTCAGGAACTTAGGAACTAGACACATACTATCTTTCAGTCATGTTGCATTATCTTTGGAAACCCAGAGAGATAGTTTGATTTTGTTTCTTATATTTTATTGATTTCTTCTCACTTTTATTTTCTTTCTTCTGCTTGCTTTGGGTATAATTTGTCGTTTTTCTAGTTCCTTAAGTTAGACGGTTAAGTCATTGATTTAAGAACTTTCTTATTTTCCAATATTAGCATTGAATGCCATGAATTTTCCTTTAATCACTGCTTGACCTGCATCCCATTAATTCTGATTGTGTTTTCATTTTAAATCCAATACCAAATATTTTCTAATTACCCTTGTGATTTTCTTATTTTAAAGTGTGTTTAATTTTCAAATGTTTGGGGATTTTTGAGATATCTTTCTGTTACTGAGTTCTAGTTTAATTTCATTGTATTTATAAAACATACTTTGCATTTATTTAATTCCCTTTAAATTTGTTGAGGTTTTTTTATAGCTTAGAACAAGGTTGCTCTTGGTGAATATTTTATATATGCTTGAAAAGAATGTTTATCCTGCTATTGTTAAGTGGAATGTTACGTAGTATCAAGAAGGTCAAGCTGGTTTATACTATTATTTAGATTTTCTATATCCATACTAATTTTCTGTATATTTGTTTTGTTAATTATCGATAGAGGAACGTTGAATCCTCTAACTTGAATTCTCTAACTGCAATGTCAGCTTGTGGATTTGTCTATTTCTCATTTGAGTCAATTAGTCTTTGCTTCATGTATTTTGGAAAGTCATGTTAGGTACATTTAGGATTGTTAGGATTGTTAAGTCTTCCTGGTGTATTATATCCCTTTATCATTATGTAATATTCTTCATATTTTACAGTATTCATTGTTTGGAAGCCTACTTTGTCTGATCTAGATTTCTTTTGATTAGTGTTATTTTGTTATATCTTTTCCCCCCTTTTCACTTGCCTTTGTCTTTATATATAAAAAGTGGGTTTCTTGTAGACTGCATGTATCTGGGTCTTGCTACTTTTGCTACTTTTCTAATTTGACAATCTCTGCCTTCTAATGGGGAGAGATAGACTTCATTATTATTTAATAAAATTGTTGATATGGTTGGATTTAAATCTACTGTCTTGCTACTTATTTTCTAAATGCCACCTTTTTTGTTTCCTTATTCTCGTTTCTGCCTTATTTTGCATTATTTGAGTATTTTTTTTGTGATTCCACAATCGGATTATTAGTTATACCTCTTTTAAATTGTTTAGTAGTTGATGTAAGATTAACAAAAGACATCTTATCATATTACAGTCTATGGTTAAGTAATTATATTGCTTCCTTTATAGTACAACAGTATATTTTATTTTCTGTCTCATCTTTTATGTTATTTTTGTTATATATTTTACTTCTATATATGTCATAAATTTCACAATATATTGCTATTATTTTGCCTAAGACAATTTTCCTTTAGAGAGACTAAAAATCAGAAAAAATACTTTTATATATATTCTGATATTACCAATTTTATTGCCCTTTATTTCTTTGTGTGAGTCAAAATCTCCGTCTTTTATCATTCTCCTTTTGCCTGCAGAGCTTTCTTTAACTCCCCTTTTAATGCAGGTTTACTGGCAATGAATTTTCTCAACTGTTGTCTTTTAGACAATATTTTTATTTTGCATTTATTTATAAAAGATATTTTTGCTGGGCGTAGAAATCTAGGTTGATTTTTTTTCTTTCAGCACTTCAAAGATGCCTCTCTCGTCTTGTCTTGTCTTGTATAGTTTCTGATGCAAAGTCTGTCATATTATCTTTGTATCTCTGTATGTAATGCTTCTTTTTTCTCTGGTTGCCTTCAAGATTTTCTCTTTATCTTTGATTTCAGCAGTGTGAGTATGATGGGTCTTTGTGTCTGTGTATATTTATCTAGCTTGTGTTTCTCTGAGCTGTTTGGATTTGGTGTGTTGTCTCTAATTATGGAAAATCATCTGTTATTACCTCTTCAAATATTTCTTCTGCAGTATTCTTTCTCTCTTTTCCATCTGGAATTTTAATTACATGTATGTTAAACTGGTATTCTACCACAGTTCTTTAATGCTCTGTTTTTTCTTTTTTCTGTTTTAATTTGGATAATATTTTTTCACTCTTCAGTTTTACTTGTTTTTTCTTAAGCTATGTCTTATTGAAAGAATTTTGTATTTCAGATATCATGTTTATTGAAAGTGATAGAGCAAAAACAAATCCTAAACACATTGTATCATGCTTTTTATTTCTAGCTTTCCATGTGACTTCTTTTAAAATTTTAATTAATTATTATTTTTTTTAGATGGAGTCTCATTCTGTTGCCCAGGCTGGAGTGCAGTGACGCAATCTCAGCTCACTGCAACCTCTGCCTCCCAGATTCAAGCAATTCTCCTGCCTCTGCCTCCTGAGTAGTTAGGATTGTAAGTGTGCACCACCACACCTAGCTAATTTTTATATTTTTAGTAGAGATGGGGTTTTGCCATGTTGGCAAGGCTGATCTTGAACTCCTGACCTCAAGTGATCTACCTACCTGCCTCGGCCTCCCAAAGTGCTGGGATTACAGGCAAGAGCCACCATACCTGGCCATCCATGTGACTTTTTGATAGTATTGCTTTGCTAAAGATTTCTATCTCTTCATGTAAGTTACCCACTTATTCAACTAGATTATCTAAAATATTCTATGGTTGTTTAAAAATCTGTCTGATAATGCTAATGCTCATATCATCTCTGGGTCTTATTAATCTATTGATTTCTCCATGTCTTCATAGTGGTTTGCTTTATCTTATTTTGTCTGTCTTGTTATTTTTGATTGACTGCCACACATTATATGTAAAAGGGTAGTAGTATCTGAGGTAAGTCGTATTTATGTTCTGAAATGGGCATGACTTTTCTTATTTCATGCTATTAGTGTGCGAGCTTGAGTTACTCTTGTCAGTACATGTGTTGAGCTTAGGTTTTGCGGTTATTGTAGTTACCTTCAGTAGACTGTGAGCTTCAAATTCCTTCAGTGGTGGACTGCTGCTAACTTGCACTTGACATGGGGCCTGAGATGTTGAGAGTTTTTCTCTATATTTATGTTTCATCATTAGTTTTCAGCAGCCTCTGCATGGTTCCATCACAGATAGGATATTTATTCGTATTCTTGCCGTCATACCCTCAGGTGTAGACAGCGGTTGTATGTTATTTGGTGTGAGGCTTGTGATGCAGCGGGGAAGATCTTTGTTCTCCTGGTTCAGCATTTGTGTTAGGTAGGTCCTGTGTCATTGAGCCTCAGTGGTGGCACTTTCTCAGTATTCTTATCCCTCCCCTCCATTTCAGCCAAACTCTGCCTTATATTAGGTTGGTGCAAAAGTAATTGTGATTTTTGCCATAACTTTTAATGGCAAAATCCGCAATTTGTTTTGCACCAACCTAATATCTGTGGGAGCTCTTGTGTAGTCAGATTTTTCAGTTTTGCCTTCAGTGGCAACAGGCCACTGCTTTGTATGAGTGTAGGGTCCTGGGCTAGAGAGAGTTTCTCCTGTTCCAGAAGCTTTCTTACCCCTGTAGCAGAGAACTTTTGCTTTCTTTCCCTTTGAGATGCAGGAATCTTTGCCAGGGCTCTGAAAGTGGGAGGTTTTCTTGCTTTCTCCCCAGCAGCTTTAGACTTTTGCTCCATGTTAAAGAAGTAAGCGAGACCTTGTGCTTGTTCCACCGCAGCAGCAGATGTTCATGACCAGAATGTTGGCAACATTGAAGAGACTCACTCAAGTTTCCTATCCTGCCTGAAATCCTTCTCAAGAGTACCTGGTACAGGTTTAAGAAAAATAACTGGTGTGTGGGTGCAGATTCTGCTTGTATATAAGGGGTCTAGGGATTGCATATTGTGTCTTTAGCCTACACTTGACCTTTAAGAATTGGTTAAAATTGTAGCTGTTTTCTTTTTACCTACCTTTATGGCACCTGCCTTTTCCTTTTGTGCTCTGCCAAAAGGGAAATAGTTTGTGTGCCCTGTCTCTCCTTAGAGGGGTCTGTGACTCACTGGAACTTACTTCAGTTGGTTGCTTTGTGTTCTCAGCTCTGACGGGCTCAAGAATAGGTTCTTTGGCTTTTTCTCATTATTGGGGTGGGATCAATATTCTCTTGTGCTTTCTATATCCTAAGTGGAAGTGAAACTTGGGGAAAGTTTAGTAAAGGAATTATTTGTAGGAACGCAGATCAGATCTATGAAAACCACAGGATAATGCAGTGCCCTGGGGCAAGTAGTAACAGGGCTTTGTTACCATTGTGTTACGGGTTAAATTGTGTCCCTCCAAAAGACATGTTGAAGTTGTAACCTTCCGTTCCTCTGAATGTGATCTTATTTGGAAAGAGAGTCCTGGCAGACATAATCAAATGAAGATGAGGTCATTATGGTGGGCCCTAATCTTGTATGTCTAACATCCTTATAATAAGAGGAGAAGAGATATAGACAGAGACACAGGGAAAACATCAGGTGAAGCTGAAGGAGAGATTGGAGTGATGCATCTATAAGCCAAGGAATGGCAAGGATTGCCAGCAACTTTCAGAAGCAAGGCAGGTGCAACGAAGGATCTCACTTACACCCTTCGGAGAGAGCATGGCCTACTAAAACCTTGATTTTAAACTTCTGGCCTCAGAACTATGAGACAAATGTCTGTTGTTTGAAGCATAGAAATTTGTTATGGAAGCCTTAGGGAACTAACACACACCGTTAGGCCTGAAGGGGTGAAGGGACAGAGGGAAAGAGCTGTGTGGAGCTCTCATCTCAGGATGATACTAACATGGGACTGAAGGGGACTCCAGGGAATAAGCAACCCAACCTCTCTATCCTCTGTCCTTTCCTCCTCTTGCTGGGGGGTCGTCTTTGATTAAACTCAACTGGAAGTCAGAGGTCAAGTGTGTCAGTTGAGGTAGTCCATATAAGTCAGCCTCCTGGGGCAGACAGCAGAGTGGGGAAGACTGAATAGAAGATGTGAGAAACAAAAGGAAGATAGTGAGTCCAGCAGGGCTTTGTGTAACAGACAATATAACTCTCTAAATTTGTTTCTGGTAGGTGGTATGGTATCACTAGAAGGACCACAAAGTTAGCAGATCTGTGGTGTGTTCTGGCTCTGCACTGACTCATTGTGACTTGAACACCTCATTTAACCTTTCTGATACTCAGTAAGAAGGGATTAAGCTAGATGACCTCTGCGGTCTCTTCTCGGCCTTTTGTTGTGCTTACAGGAATGAGTAATCTTATGTCAGACAAAATGAGGTCTAAAATAAATGTTCTGAGTTCATAACTTGGAATTTTTATGATTTTTCAACCAGGTTCAATGAAGAAAACTATGATTATTGTTGATGATAATTATACCTTTACTTACCAGCTGTTAAAAAAAATGTGTTTTCATGTCTATTATCTCTTTTTAATGTAGTAGCTCTGTGAAAACTTTGCTACTTAGGGGTTAAAATTCTTTTTGTCTTTGTGTTTACAGTCCATATGGCTCATCTCAGAGAAAAGTTGAATTGCTTGTTAATGAGACTTGTTTTTGTCAAGGAACTCACCACTTACTCTTTGTAGTTCTTTCCTTTCAGGAACTCTTTCCGCATAGAGTTGTAGAGAGAGAGAGAAAAAGAGAAAGTTTTTGGGCCTTATGTATTCTCTAGTCACTAAGGAGCCAAAAGGTTTTTTTGTTGATTCTCTTTCAGCCTTTGAAGTCAAAGGTCTTCTCCCACGTGGGCTACAGAATTGTTGGTGTGGGGATGCCTGTGAGGGCTCTGACATTGCCGGTCCAGATGCTAGAGTTAGCTTTGAGCAAAGGCAAAGACTAATGACCCAGTAATGTTATACATCACAGACAAACCAGATGGAATCAGTTTCAGACTTCCTGGTGTCTGCAAAGGGAGATTTTTCTTTTGTGTGAGTCTCAACTCAATTGATGCCTCATTCAGAATGGCTCCTCTTATCTCAAAAATCCATGGTTATCATTTTCCTTCTGCTCTCCAAATATTTTCAGTTAATAGTTCATCATAGATGACCTTCTGATGTCAACTCATTTATTGAGGCAGGGATCAGGAAGACCTCCAGTATGGTGACATGGAGAAAGATACGCTTATTTAGGGACAAACAAAGCAACCAAATTCATGATAGACACATACTCATGAGAATATATGATTATGTTCTTTCTTCAGTATTGTAACAGGACTATAATATGTAGCTGTGCATTGGATGATTGAGTAGTAAGCGATGCCCTTGTAGGAAGCAACAGGGCAAGAGATATTAGCACCGGGTGGGAAAAAGGAATGACAGTAGGTATGGAAATAAAGAGAACAAGAGAAGGTAGTATTAGTTTATATAAATTCACTTGCCTTAATATGGCCTACCTCTTATGAATTTGGCAATAGTTCATCTGATATGGAGTAGCAGATTGCAAACTAGCTAAGTGTGAGTCAATGACCACAGAAAAAGGCATTGAGGCAGAGGGAAGCCCAGGATTCAGAGAGAACTGCTGGCATCTGCAGGTGAGAGTTTGACCATTGGAGAGGGTTTTGTGTTTACTTCTAAGAAGTGGTGTTTTTGGAACGTCTGGTGCAGAAAAGAAGTCTCAAGTAATCTTAGGTCCATAAACCAAGGGGTCTGTGGATAGAACTCAATTTTAATGTATTTGTTTCTTTTGTGATTCTATGTGTTTTAAAAACATTATTCTGCCAAAGAGGTCTATGGCACAAAAAAGGTTAAGAATTTCTGAATTGGTGGAATTGCAAAATATGGAACCAACCTAAATGCCCATTGACCAACTAGTGGAAAAAGAAAATGTGGCATACATACACCGTGGAATACTACTCAGCCATAAAAAGGAACAAAATAATGTCTTTTGCAGCAGCCTGGATGGAGCTGGAGGCTATTATTCTAAATGGAGTAACTCAGGAATGGAAAAACCCAATACCGTATGTTCCCACTTATAAGAGGGAGCTAAGCTATGAGGATGCAAAGGCATAAGAATGATATAATGGACTTTGGGGACTTGGGGAGGGAGGTTTGGAGGGGGTGAGGGGTAAAAGACTACATATTGGGTACAGTATACACTGCTTGGGTGACAGGTGCACTAAAATCTGAGAAATCATCACTAAAGAACTTAGCTATGTAAAACCACCTGTACCCCAAAAACTATCGAAGAAAATGGAGGATACTTAATGGTTCAATGAGTGAGACAGATTTATGTATTTGTCAACTTTGTTTTGTAGTAAATAAACTACAAAACTTAAAAAAATTCTGCATTAGGAAAACAATCCAATAAAAGGCATTTACTAGGTTCCATGCCAGCAGGTAAACTGAGGTCTGAATCGGCAAGCTGCACACACTGCTAGGTCATAAAGGCAGAACAAACAGCTGGTCAAGGTTGAGGTGATCAATGAAATGTCAACGTGTTGCACAGCCCTTACACATTCAATACATGATGTGTGCATAACACAATTTTTTTTGATATTTGAACTTAGTATGGTTTCCTGGTAAGAGTAACTCTTCCACCTGGTAAAGCTTGTTACCTACTTCCTTTCTTACATCAAAATAAATTCCAGAAGGATCAAATGCTTAAATGCAAAAATATGAATCTATAAAAACACTAGAATAAAACCTTCATGAATTTAAAAAAAAATCTTAGAATGGGTAAGACTCTTTTAGGTATGATGTAAAACTAAGAACCATAAGGAAGAGGATAAACAGATTTGCCTATACAAAAATAAAAAAAATTTACTTGAAAAAATACCATCAGAAAGGCAAAAGACAGCCTGGAAAAAAAATAATGGCAACACTTGTAACAAAAGGACTCATTTTCAATAGTACCAAAATTGCTTCTAAAAACAGGAAAGAAAAAGACCAAAATTCAGAGAAAAATGTGTATAAGACATAAAGAGGGAGTTTGCATAAAAAAGAATGAATCTGTCTTACAGAGACTCATGCTCACTGATAATGAAAGAAATACAAAATAAATGGACAGATTATCATATTACCCCCATTGGATTGGCAGAGATTTAATAGTTCGATAACTCCCTCAGTTGGCTAGGATCTATGCAAACAAATATGCCTGCACACTGTTGTTCCTGGGAGAACAAATTGGTACAAGTGTTTGAAGATCAATTTGGCAATATCTATAAAAATTTTAAATGCTTCATTCCTTTGACTCACCATTTCTACTTCTATGAATTTATTTTGTAGATAAATTCATGTAAACTTGCAAAGTTATGTGTACAGGCTGTTCCTTGCTGCTTTCTAATAATAACAAAAGCAAATATATAGACACAAGGAAGTAGCCTACGTGTTCATCCAAGGTGGCAGTGTACCCTCATGATGGTATGTTAATACAATGGCTTATAGCTATTAAAATGGGCCACACATATTGTATTAATATGGAAAGCTCTCTAACATACATTACATTAAAACATAAGTTGCAGAATAGTATGTAAGAAATGATCTTATTTCCTTTAAAAAACATTCAGAATATTCACAAAGCATGGAATGTTAGCAGTGGTTACCCTGGTAGTGCAGAATGGTAGGTTGGGATGGGGAGTGAAGAGGGAGCAGGAGAAGACTGGAGATTTGCAGAATCTTCCTACCCACTCCCACTCTATAGCTTCCATATTATTTAAAAATTTTAAAGCAAATTTATAAAATATTTTAGTAAAAACATAAATTTTTTTTTAAGAAAAAGGATTACTTACTGCTATGGTTTGAATGTTTGTGTCCTCTGAACCTCATGTTGAGATATGATTGATGTGGGGCCTTTAGGATGTGAATAGGTCATGGGGGCTCTGCCCTCATGAATGGATTAATGCCATTATTGCTGGAGCGGGTTAGTTATTGAGAGGCTGGGTTTGCTATACAAGCAAGTTCAGCCTAATTTCTTATCTCTGTCTCACATGCTCACTTCTGCCTTCTGCCCTCCAGCATGGGCTGACCCTTGCCTGATGCCAGTGCCATGTTCTTGGATTTCCCAGCCTCCAGATCTGTGAGAAATAAATTCATTTTCTTTATAAATTTTTCAGTCTGTGGTATTTTGTTATAGCAGCCGAAAACAAACTGAGACACGTACCAAGAAAAAAAGAATGCTTACCTAGATATTAGATATTCCCGTTTATATGGTGTTGAGAGACAGGAGTGACATATTAAGGTAAGGTTGGTGGCTTTGGGAATACCCCTAGACCAACCTCAGTGGTGTATGTTCACCCTCTTCTATTTTTCTAAAGGTAATATTTCTGTGGGCCATGCAAACTCAGGGTATTAAATCCTCTGGGATGCTACTCGTGGTCATTATCTTTTCCTAAACTCCACATTTTAGCCTTGTACAGAGTGATGTCATTGTAGACCCAGAAGTTACCTACTTCCTTTCTTACCTGTGGTTCGGCCTGTGGTTGTGGCATTCTGGGTTGACCAGGAGATGTGAGGCTGAGAGATGCTCATTGAGTGTGGCTTCCCTATTATCCCAGCATTGCAAAGCCTAGGAAGGTCTGAGCAGGACAGCACTGGCTGGGCCAGCCACACTTGTCCTTCCTGCCATAGTAAGCCTGCTACAAGATGTTGTGAAATGTTAAAGATGCAATGTTTCCACATGCACACTTCACACCCATGTGAGCCAGGTCTTTACTCTCTCCCTTTTCGACTTAGATCTTTTGTTGTGTAAGTGGTGTGAGCTTCAGCTAGAATGGTCTCCCTGTCTTCCATAGTCTCCTCTCTCCAAGGAGAGGTGCCATATCTGAAGAGGTGCTCTTGCAAATGATCAGTGTATTTACTCTCCTCCTCACTGGTAAAACCTGGGCTTTACTGTGCTATTTACTCAAGTCTCTATGAAGCAGCCCTGCTTCAGAGCTGCACGTTTTAGACTGGAGTTGGGTGAATGAATGAGAAGGCTCCATTCCAAGGGCTCTGAATCCCATCCAGTTTCCTGATTTTTCAGTCTGTATCTCTGGGTATTTCTTCCTTGATCCCTGGGAAGCATGGTGAATGAGATTCAGAAGCCTGGCATCTGTAGGTTTCTCCAGGTTATCATGCAGAGACATGGGCTTCCTGGTGATCATGTGACCTGTGGGTTGTCCAGGGAAGGTAGCTGGGAGGTGGTTGGGCATGGGGGTCTGAAGATCCATTTGAGGTCCAGTCACATTTGGAGGGAGCTGATGTGAAAGGCCCAGATGAAACTGCCCAAGGAGCATCTGCAGTGGCAAGAGTTGAGGGTGGGGCTGCATCATCAGGGGAGCACTATGGGCCCAGAGGCTACTACCCCTGAACTTTCCAAAGGTCTAAGACAATATCAGAAGCCCTTGTGGAGGGATTCAAGTGATATCATGTATAGGGTTTCTATGTTCATAGCTCCTTGAGGTCCCTGCAAGGTCTGGTTCTGGGATGGACCTCATCTGGGATTGCCTCCTCCCTTTGGTGTCCCACTATGGACTTGGCACTGCTTGTCTGGTCTGGCCTCTATCAGTGCCTCTCTCCATCCTCAGCCTTCTGTCATCTCCAGGCAATGGTGTCCTCTGCTGTCTCCAGGCAACAGTGTCCCTGTACTGCCCTGCCCCAGCTTCTCAGAACCCAGCCTGGTTACTAGAATCGCCCCTGCATACTGCCAGGAAAGGGCTCACTGTCAAGGGGCAGGCTCAGGAAGTATTGGACACATGATTAGACCTGATTTTGGCCAATTATTTTCCTCCTGATTATACGCTTTCCACTTTTCTCCTCCACCTTCTCTGCTACTTGTCCTGCAGTTTGCTATGTGGTTACAGACAAGTTTCAATGGAGAAGCCAGTTCCAAATGTAGAGGCTAATGAAGTCTGGCTGCTCATGCAGGAGAGGGAAGGAGCAGACTGTTGAGGCTGACTGTTGGTTTGCCATTGTCTTGCATTCCCTATGCCCACCATGTTAGGCTTCCAGGAGTCCACACTCCTGGCCCAAGAACTGTCACAGTAGTAGGGAAACCATGTGTCTAGGATGAGGTTTGTGAGCCCCCAACAGGACTAGTTAGTGGTGACTGGAATGGGGGTGGAGACTAGAATACAGAGGACTAGAAACTAGGCCTAGGAGGAAAGGTAGGGTGAAAAAGAAGGCAGTAGTGGAAATTGGGACCCTGATGAATATAGTGGTGGCAAATGCACAGGTTAAAACCAACAGAAGACAGCTGGGCAGGGCAATCCTTAAGGTAGGGTAGTGGGCAGGGATGATGTTGACAGGTAGGGACGAAACAAAAAGTTGGATGGAACAGGAGAGTAGGGTGCAGCCTGAGAATTGGGAAAAAATGAGAGAAAGGGCTGGATGATGAGAGCAGGAAGGAATGGAAAAAAGTGAAGGCTGGGGTTGAGATGGAGAAATTCAAGATAGCTGTCTTGACATCTTTTCACATGAGAGCTCTAGTTACTCACTTGTCCACAGGAGTCAAAATGTGCCCCAGGCCTATTCAGCATTTATCTCACACACCCACTCCTTGCATCACCCCATAACTGAATGCCCATTGTGAAACTCATTATGCCCCTCCCTTTTGATCTAGTGAATAGGCTCCACCAACCAGGAAAACGGTCCCAGTTTCTAGGTTTAAGAGTAATCATGGGGGCTGGGTGTAGTGGCTCACGCCTGTAATCCTAGCACTTTGGGAGGCTGGGATGGGCAGATCACCTGAGGTCAGGAGTTTGAGACCAGCCTGGCCAACATGGCGAAACCCCATCTCCACAAAAAATATAAAAATTAGCCAGGTGTGGTGGCAGGTGCCTGTAATCCCAGCTACTCAGGTGACTGAGGCAGGAGAATTGTTTGAACCCAGGAGGCAGAGGTTGCAATCAGCTGAGATTGCACCACTGCACTCCAGCCTAGGCGACAGAATGAGACTCCTTAAAAAAAAAAAAAATCATGGGAAATAAAGAGAAGAAATGGGCTACAGTATTAGTCTCTGTTCTTGGGATGTCATGTAGTTTTGCCCCTCAGTAGGCAAATGTTTATCAAAGGGCTAGAAAAGAGTTATGAGGTTGGGCCCTAGGAGAGCAGTTCTGAAGTGGGACTTGGGAAAGTGGGAGAAAGTCAGTGCCCCAGCCTCTTTAACTTACCACATTGTTCAAAGCCCTTTCCCATCATTTACATCACTGCATGAATATATGGGATTACAGAAGGGATATATATATTACGTTCATTTTACCAATGAGGACACTGAAGACCAGAGAGGGAACTACCATAGGCAGGTAGTAGATGACAAAGCAGGTGGGACTAGAATTTGGGGCAAAAGGAGGGGCAGGTAGGAGGGAGCACAAAATGGCTCAAAGCACCTAGCAGCAGCATTACCTCCGCCTATGTCTCTGGGCTGGGTCCTGTAGGGAGGAAGTGCTTAAGAGCAGAACTGTACTTTTTGAAGCTTATCCCTTGGTCCTGGTGGTCCATTGGTTTGATGCATTACTCTTAACCGGAACCAGAAACGTAGAGCCAAAGCTGGTAGAATAACTGCCCACTCCTGAGTGCCTGAAGACTAGATTTGGGCTTCCTTGATCACTACCTGAGCTGCTGACTCCATGGCAGATGATTAAGGAGGCTACTGAACTCTTCCCTCTTCTTTTTTTCTGATGTAGCAACCCTGTCTGCTTTAACATTCCTGGTTTCTTTGATCACTGTACAAATCGTAAGCCCCTTTGCTTTTCTATTCTCTTTAGTACTTTTATCACCATAATATTCTGATTTTTCTCCCTTGACCCAATACTCTTTTCCTCCCTTATTTGACAAAACTCTAAGTTGTACTCCCTAGAAGTCCAGGTACATAATTATCAAACTTCCCTATTTCCTTAGACTGCTTTTTTTTTTTTTTAATTTTAGATTCAGGGGGTACATGTGCAGGTTTGTTGCATGGACATATCGCATAATGGTGAGGTTTGGGTTTCCAGTGTGCTCGTCACCCAAATAGCGAACATTGAGCCCAATTGATAGTTTTTTTAACCTTCACTCCCTCCCACCCTCCTCCCTTTTGCAGTTCCCAGTGTCTATTATTTCCATCTTTATGTCCATGTGTACCCATTATTTAGCTCTTACTCAGAAGTGAGAACATGTGGTATTTGATTTTCCGTTTCTGAGTTATTTCACTTAGGATAATAGTCACCTCCACGCATGTTGCTGCAAAGGACAGGACTTCATTCTTTTTTATGGCTGCATATTTCATGGTGTGTATATATACATTTTTTCTTTATCCAGTCATCCATTGATGGGCACTTAGGTTGATTCCATGGCTTTGTTATTGTGAATAGTGCCATGATAAACATACTAGTACAGGTCTATTTTTTTATGTTATGATTTATTTTTCTTCGGGTAGATGCCCAGTAGTGGGATTGCTGGATTAAATGGTAGTTCTATTTTTAGTAGTTTCAGAAATCTCCATACTGTTTTCCATGGAGGTGGTAGTAATTTACATTCTTACCAAATGTGAGGGGTATAAGGATTCCTTTTTCTCAGCATCCACACCAACATCTGTTGTTTGTAGACTTTTTAAAAGTAGCCATTCTGAATGGTGTAATCTCATTTTGGTGTTACTTTGTGTTTCTTTGATGATTAGTGATGTTGAGAATTTTTTCATATGCTTGAGGATGCTTGTATGTCTTCTTTGATAAAGGTATGTTTATGTCCTTTACCCACTTTTTAATGGGATTGTTAGTTTTTTTTCTTGTTGAATTGTTTGAGTTCATTGTAGATTCTGGATATTAGTCATTTGTTGGAGACATAATTTGTAAACATTTTCTCCCATTCTGTAGGTTGTCTATGTACTCAACTGATTATTTCTTTTGCTGTGCAGAAGCTTTTTAGTTTAATTAAATCCCATTGGTCTATTTTAATTTTTATTGCATTTGCTTTTGAGGTCTTAGTCATAAACTTTTTGTCTAACCCAATGTCCAGAAGAGTTTTTCCTTGGTTTTCATCTAGGACTTTTGTAGTTTCAGGTCTTACATTTAGGTCTTTAATCCATCTTGAGTTACTTTTGTATGTGTTGAAAGATAGGAGTCCAGTTTCATTCTTCTGCATATGGCTAGCCAATTTTCCCAGCACAAGTTGTTTAATAGAGTGTAGTTTCCCTATTATTTATTTTTGTCAACTTTGTCAAAGATCAGTTGGTTTTAAGTATGTGGCTTTATTTCTGGGTTCTCTATTCTATTCCATTGATCTGTGTATTTACTTTTGTGCCATTACCATACTGTTTTAGTTACTATAATCTTGCAGTATAATTTGAAGTCAAGTAATGTGCTGCCTCTGGCTTTCTTCTTTTTGCATAGGATTTCTTTGGCTTTTGGGCTCTTTTTTGGTTCTATATGAACTTCAAGCATCGTTTTTTCTAATTCTGAAGAATGCTGTTGGTAATTTTATAGGAGTTACATTGAATCTATAGATTGCTTTGGGCAGTATGGTCATTTTAACAATATTGGTTCTTCCAACCCATGAACATGGGATGTTTTTCTGTTTGTTTGTGTCACCTGCAGTTTCTTTCATCAGAGTTTTGCAGTTCTTATTATAGAAATATTTCACCTCCTTAGTTAAATATATTCCTAGGTATTTAACTTTTTTGTAGCTATTGTAAATGTGATTGCATTTTTGATTTTGTCCTTTGGTTAGATCATTATTGGTGTATAGAAATGCTACTGATTTCTGTATGTTAATTTTGTATCCTGAAACTTTACTGAATTCATTTATCAAATCTATGTTTTTTTTTGGTGAAGTCTTTAGGGTTTTCTAGATATCATATTATCAGAATTTGACTTTCTGTTTTTCAATTTGGTTGCCTTTTATTTTTCTCCCTTGCCTGATTGTTTGGTAAGAACTTCCAGTACTATGTTGAATAAGAGTGGTGACAGTGGACTTCCTTGTCTTGTTCCAGTTCTTAGAGGGAATGTTTTCAACTTTTCCCCATTAACTGTGATTTTGACTGTGAGTTGGTTGTAAATTGCCTTTGTTATGTTGTGGTATTTTCTTTCTGTGCCTAGTTTGTTGTACATTTTTATCATAAAGTGATGCTGAACTTTATCAAATGCATTTTCTGCATCTATTGAGATGATCATATGGTTCTTGCTGCTCATTCTGTTTATGCAATCCATACATTTATTGATTTGTGTATGTTGCAGCATCCCTGCATCCTTGGGATAAATCCCACCTAATCATGGTGTATTATCTTTTTGATGTGCGGTTGCATTCAATTTGTTAGTATTTTGTTGAAAATTTTTGTGTCTATATTCATTAGAAATATTGGTCTATAGTTTTCTTTTTTTGTTGCGTCCTTATCTGGTTTTGGTATCAGGGCGATACTGTCTTCATAGAATAAGTTAGGTGAATTCCCTCCTCTTCAATTTTTTGAATAATTTCAAGGGGATTGGTATTAATTCTTTGTATGCTTGGTTGATTTTGGCTGCGAATCCATCTCATCCTGGGCCTTTTGGTTGTTGTTGTTGGGAGTTTTTTTTTTTATTATTACCAATTCAATCTTGCTGCTCATTATTTGTCTGTTCAGGGGTTTTATTTCTTCCTGGTTCAATCTCAGGAGGTTGTATGTTTCCGGGAATTTATCCATTTCATCTAGATTTTCTAGTTTGTGAGTATATTGTTGTTCATAATAATCTCTGATAATATTTTGTATTTCTGTGGTATGTACATTTCTGTGGTGTGTTGTAATGTCTCCTTTTTCATTTCTGATTGTGTTGAGATTTTTTCTTTTCTTGGTTAGTCTAGCTAGTGGTTTATCAACTTTGTTTATCTTTTTGAAGAATCAACTTTTATTTCCTTGATTCTTTGTATTGTCTTTTGGTGTCTATTTAGTTCTGGTCTGATCTTTTTTTTTTTTAACTATGGGTTTGTTTTGTTTTTGTTTTCTAGTTCCTTGAGGTATGATATTAGATTGTTAATTTATAATATTTCTACTTTTATGATGTAGGTGTTAGTGCTATATATTTTTCTGTTAGCACTGCTTTTGCTGTATCTCAGAGGTTTAGGTATGTTGTGTTTTCATTTTCATTCATTTCAAAACATTTTAAAATTTTCATGTTAATTTCTTCACTGACCTAATGATCATTCAGGAGCATCCTCTTTAATTTCTGTGTATTTGTATAGTTTCCAAAGTTTCGGCTGTGAATGGTGGCTCATGCCTGTAATCCCAGCACTTTGGGAGACCGAGGCAAGAGGATAGCCTGAGCCCAGGAATTCAAGACCAACCTGGGCAACATGGCAAGACCCTGTCCCTATTAAAAAAAAATTAGCTGAGCATGGTGGTGAGCATCTGTAGCCCCAGCTGCTACTTGGGAGGCTGAGTTGGGAGGATCATTTGATCCTGGGAGGTTAAGGCTGCAGTGAGCCATGATTGTGTCACTGCACTCCAGCCTAGGTGACAGAGTGAGAGCCTGTCTCATAAAAATGGTTCCTATTAGTATTGATTTATAGCTTTATTCCACTGTAGTCTGAGAAGATGCTTAATATGATTTTGATTTTATTTAATTAATTTATTATTTAATTTTTGTTTTTCTTTATTTCTTCTAAAAATAAAATGGGATACATGTGCAGAATATGCAGGTTTGTTACATAGGTATACGTGTGTCATGTTACATAGGTATACGTGTGTCATGTTACATAGGTATACGTAGGTATATGTGTGCCATGGTGGTTTGCTGCACCTCTTGACCTGTCTTCTAAGGTCCCCTCCCTCACCCCCTACCCCCAACAGGCCCTGGTGTGTTGTTCCCCTCTCTGTGTCCATGTGTTTTCTTTGTTCAACTTCCATTTGTGAGTGAGAACATGCAGTATTTGGTTTTTCTGTTCCTGTGTTAGTTTGCTGAGGATGATGGCTCCCAGCTTCATCCACGTTCCTGCAAAGGACATGATCTCATTCATTTTTATGGCTGCATAGTATTCCATGGTATATATGTACCACATTTTCTTTATCCAGTCTATCATTGATGGGCATTTGGGTTGGTTCCATGTCTTTGTTATTGTAAATAGTGCTGCAGTAAATATATGTGTGCATGTGTCTTTATAGTGGAATGATTTATACTCCTTTGGGTATATACCCAGTAATGGGATTGCTGGATCAAATGGTATTTCTGGTTCTAGATCCTTGAGGAATCACCATACTGTCTTCCACAATGGTTGAACTAATTTACATTCCCACCAGCAGTGTAAAAGCATTCTTATTTCTCCGCAGCCTTGACAGCATCTATTGCTTTCTGACTTTTTAATAATCACTATTCTGACTGGTGTGAGATGGTATCTAATTGTGGTTTTGATTTGCATTTCTCTGATGATCAATGATGTTGAGCTTTCTTCATGTTTGTTGGCTGCATGAATATTTTCTTTGAGAAGTGTCTGTTCATATTTTTTGCCCACTTTTTGATGGAGTTGTTGTTTTTTTTTTCTTGTAAACTTGTTTAAGTTCCTTGTAAATTCTGGATATTAGACCTTTGTCAGATGGATAGATTGCAAAAATTTTCTCCCATTCCATAGGTTGCCTGTTCACTCTGATGATAGTTTCTTTTGCTGTGCAGAAGCTCTTTAGTTTAATTAGATCCCATTTGTCAATTTTGGCTTTTGTTGCAATTGCTTTCAACATTTTTGTCATGAAGTCTTTGCCCATGCCTATGTTCTGAATGGTATTGCCTCGGTTTTCTTTTAGGGTTTTTATGATTTTGGGTTTTACATTTAAATCTTTAATCCATCTTGAGTTAATTTTTGTATAGGGTGTGAGGAAGGAGTCCAGTTTCAGTTTTCTGCATATGGCTAGCTAGTTTTCCCAGCAGCATTTACTGAATAGGAGATCGTTTCACCATTGCTTGTTTTTGTCAAGTTTGTCAAAGATTAGTTGGTTATAGATGTGTGGTGTTATTTCTGAGGTCTCTTTCTGTCCCATTGGTCTGTATATCTGTTTTGGTACTAATACCATTCTGTCGTAGTATAGTTTGAAGTCAGGTAGTGTGATGCCTCCAGCTTTGTTCTTTTTGCTTAGGATTGTCTTGGCTCTATGGGATCTTCTTTGATTCCATATGAAACTTAAAATCATTTTTCCAAATTCTGTGAAGCATGTCAATGGTAATTTTATGAGAATAGCATTGAATCTATAAATTACTTTGGGCAGTATGGCCATTTTCATGATATTGATTCTTCCTATCCATGAGGATGGAATGTTTTTCCATTTGTTTGTGTCCTCTCTTATTTCCTTGAGCAGTGGTTTGTAGTTCTCCTTGAAGAGGTCTTTCACATCTCTTCTTACCTGTGTTGTTAGGTATTTTATTCTCTTTGTAGCAGTGGCAAATGGGAGTTTATTCATGATTTGGCTCTCTGCTTGTTTATTGTTGGAGTAAAGGAGTACTTGTGATTTTTGCACATTGCTTTTGCATCCTTAGACTTTATTGAAGTTGCTTATCAGTTTAAGGAGTTTGGGCTGAGAAGATAGGGTTTTCTAGATATAAAACCATGTCATCTGCAAACAAAGACAATTTGACTTCATCTCTTCCTAATTAAATACTCTTCATTTCTTTCTCTTGCCTGATTGCCCTGGCCAGAACTTCCAATACTATATTGAACAGTAGTGTTGAGAGAGGGCCTCCTTGTCTTGTTCTAGTTTTCAAAGGGAATGCTTCCAGCTCTTGCCCATTCAATATGATATTGGCTGTGGGTTTGTCATGAATAGCTCTTATTATTTTGAGATGTGTTCCATAAATACCTAGTTTATTGAGAGTTTTTAACATTAAGGGATGTTGAATTTTATCCAAGGCCTTTTCTGTATCTCTTGAGATAATCATGTGGTTTTTGTCATTGGTTTTGTTTATGTGATGGATTACATTTATTGAATTGCATACGTTGAACCAGCCTTGCATCCCATGGATGAAGCCAACTTGATCACGGTGGATAAGTTTTTTGATGTGCTACTGGATACGGTTTGCCAGTATTTTATTGAGGATTTTTGCATTGATGTTCATCAGGGATATTGGCCTGAAGTTTTCTTTTTTTGTAGTGTCTCTTCCCAGTTTTGGTATCAGAATGATGTTGGCTTCATAAAATGAGTTGGGATGGAGTCTCTCCTTTTCAATTTTTTGGAATGGTTTCAGAAGGAATGGTACCAGCTCCTCTTTGTACTTCTGGTAGCATTCAGCTGTGAATCCATTTGGTCCTGGGCTTTTTTTGGTTGATAGGCTATTAATTACTGCCTCAATTTCAGAGCTTGTTATATGTCTATTCAGGGATTTGACTTCTTCCCAGTTTAGTCTTGGGAGTGTGTATGTGTTCAGGAATTTATCTATTTATTCTAGATTTTCTAGTTTATTTGTGTTGAGGTGTTTGTAGTATTCTCTGATAGTAGGTTGTATTTCTATGGGGTCAGTAGTGATGTCTCCTTTATAATTTTTTATTGTGTCTATTTGATTCTTCTTTCTTTTCTTCTTTATAAGTCTAGCTAGTGGTCTATCTATTTTGTTATTTTTTTCCCAAAAAAGCAGCTCCTGGGTTCATGGATTTTTTTGGGGGGCTTTTCATGTCTTTATCTCCTTCAATTCTTCTCTGATCTTAGTTATTTCTTGTCTTCTGCTAGCTTTTGGATTAGTTTGCTCTTGCCTCTCCAGCTCTTTTAATTGTGATGTTAGGGTGTCGATTTGAGATCTTTCTAGCTTTCTGATGTGGGCATTTAGTGCTATAAATTTCACTCTTAACATTGCTTTATCTGTGTCCCAGAGATTCTGGTACATTGTCTCTTTGTTCTCATTGGTTACAAAGAACTTCTTGATTTCTGCCTTAATTTCCGTATTTACCCAAGAGTCATTCAGGAGCAGGTTGTTCATTTCTATGTTATTGTGTGGTTTTGAGTGAGTTTCTTAATCCTGAGTTCTAATTTGATTGCACTGTGGTCTGAGAGACTGTTTGCTATGATTTCTCCCATAACCGAAGTTCTGTTGTGTTGCCATTTGATTCCTTTCTCTTCCTCCCTTGTGTGATTGCTTTATAAAAACTGTGAGTTTTATATTTCTATATGTTTTTGTGATGGTGAATATCAACCTTTTGTTTCCATGCTTAAGACACCTTTGAACATTTCCTGTAGGGCTGGTCTAGTAGTAAAAAATTCCCTCAGCATTTGTTTATCTGGGAAATAGTTTATTTCTTCTTCATTGGTGAAACTTATCTTGATAGGATATAAAATTCTTGGCTGACAGTTTTTTTTTCTTCCAGCATTTTGAAAATGCCATCTCATTCTCTTCTGTTCTGTAAGATTTCTGCTGAAAAGGTCTGCTGCCAATGTGATGGGGTTTACTTTATAGATTACTAGAAGCTTTTCTCTTGGCTAATTTTAAAATCTTTCTTTCATGTTGACTTTAGATAGTCCGAGTATAATATGTAGTGCTGAAGTCCTTTTTGCAATGTATCTGTCTGGAATTGCTGGGGCTCCTAGATCTGAATGTCTGACTCTTTTGCTAGACTTGGGAAGTTTTCATTGATTATTCTCTTAAATGGGTTTTCTAAACTTTTTGTTTTATCTTCCCCCTTGGGAATACCAATAATTTTTAAGTTTGGTTGGCTTAGGTAGTCCCAGACATCTCAAAGGCTTTGTTGCTTCTTTTATTTTTTTTTCCTTATTTTTGTCCGACTGGTTGATATAAAAAAAACTGTCTTTAAGTTCTAAGATTCTTTCTTCTGCTTGGTCTAGTCTGTTATTGAGATTTTTGAATGTATTTTGTATTTTCTTCACTGGATTTTTTAGTTCCAAAAATTTTTTTTAAAGATATCTTCTTGGTAAATTTCTCATTATATCCTGAATTGGTTTTCTGGTTTCTTTGTATTGATTTTCAGATTTCTATTGCATCTCACTTAGCTTCTTAATAATCAATATTTTAAATTCTTTATCTGGATTTTTGAGGAATTATTTTTTATTGGAATTTGTTGCTGAAAAGCTGTTGTGATCCTTTGGTGGTATCAGATTTCCCTGCTTTTTCATGTTTTCTGTGTCCTTTCATTGGTATCTGCACATCTAATGTAGCAGTTCCTTGTTCCAGTTTTTTGAAGTTGCTTTTGTAGGGGAGAATTTCTCCTAAAGATGTATGTGTGCTGTTGGTTGAGTAGGATATTTTGGCTTTGATTTTGGGTACCTACAATAGTGTGATTTTTAAAACTTACTTCTTTGGCAGTGCATAGGATGAGTGATATCTGTTATTTCCTTGGTGGCTTAGGATATAGTTATCAGCTTAGGTTGTGGCGAAGTTTCGTTGGAAACTTAGATGCTAACTGAACCAGTCTTTAGGCCCCAGTAGTTACAGCAGTGGAGTGAATGTTCCTGTTTTAAGCTCCAGAGCAGCATAAACTGGCTTTGTTGTTAGTGGGTCTTGAAGGGCTAATCCTTGGGCCTCTATGTGGCTTGCTTAGAAGCTAGTAGTGGGAGTGGTGTTTCATGTGTGTGGGTGAATTCTCAGGCCCCTGGGCATCTGGTACAGTGTGGGTGATGGCAGTAGTGGTGGTGGAGCAACCCACTGGTACTCAAGTAGTCCATGTTGGTGTTCCTACCAGCTGTGATGGGTTGGGTGGGCTAGTTCCTGGTTCCACAGCCACTCATAGTAGGGTGGTGTGTATTGTGCTAAGTGTGTTTAGGAAAGCTTGGCCTTCTCTGTCCTTCCCCTGGCTGGGTGTTGGCTGCAGCCACATCTCCTTGAACTCAGCCTGAAAGTGCGTCACAACCCACAGTTAAACCCTCAAAATTATGCCAGTTCTGGGCTTGTGACCAGAGAGGGTGGGGCCCTCAGCCCTCCCTCAGGTAACCAGCATAGAAAAGAAGCTGTGGGGAGTGTGGTCCACTTAGTCTTAATCTCACAGCAGTGTGTAGCAGGATGGTGAGTATTGTCCTAGGTATGCATGCATAGGATAGCCTTGTTCCCTGTTCATTCTTGGCTAGTTGGCAGCTGCAGTGATTCAGCCTGAATTCAGCCTGAGATTAGGGCACAGCCCAGTGTTAAACTCTCAAAATGGTGCCTTGGGGCTGAGACCAGAAAGGGCAAGCTCCCTTCAAGCAAGCAGCATGGGCAAGAAGCTGTGGGGAGTGCAATCCACTCACGTCTCAGTCTCAACAGCAGCCTGCAGCAGGGCAGTAGGGACCCTTCCAGGGGTGCATGGAAGTGCCTGGTCTCCCCTGTCTCTCCTTGGAGCAATGCAATGGCAGCAGCCATGTCTGTAGATCTCTGGTATCTAGGTCTCAAAATGGCACCAAGGTGAGGCTGTGTGGATGACTGTGAGATTCCATGTGGGTTCCCTTTATGGAGCAACATCTCTGTGCAATTGTTAGGCAGCTCTATATGTCAAACACAAGGGCTTAGTGGGTCAAGGGTTTTCTCCATAGCCAAGATTGTAAAAGCCAAGACCTGGGAGTTTCTCTTTTACTGTTTCCCTGAATCCAGGAGCCTCTCCTGACTCTCAATCAGTCCCCAGTTGGGAAAGCTGTCTCAAACCCTCTCCTTACTTACTTCTGGTGCTTCTTGTCTCTTCTCTGGTGAACCCTAGATGATCTCTTCGAAATGTCAGTATCTTCTGGTTCCTCTCCATGGAAGAGGCACATGCTACCTGTTAATAGTGAGCCATTTGGATATCTCTCTCTACTTCACCTTGCTGAGACTTGTAACAGGGAGAAAAATAATAAGGGCTACCTGAACAAAACATGTAAAACAAATAGCAAAGTAAATCCTCTCTGGGTTAATGTCATGGAAAACTGGGAAAATATTTCAGACTCTCTCCACTACATCTCAAAGCCTGTAGGCATTATTGGGCAGCACTGAAAAAACAGAATGAGAAATTTCATTTAGTAAGAAACCAGTGTGCCCTTCCTAGAGTGCTGGTGGGATGGTCTCCTATGGAGGCCACTGGCAGCTTTCCCTCAGCTTTAAGAACTGTGAGAAGCCAGGTAAATGAACACCTTGAATAGAAAGCAGGCAGGCATCTTGCATATTGTTTTAATTTGCCATTCAACAATGTTCCTGGACAGAATTGTTTGTTCCCTTCTGGATTCAGGGGTGGGTGTTTGATTTCACTGTGTCTGTGTTTCATGACAGATTCTGAGTCCCCAGAACCAGCATCTAAACTGGACTCTGGACTCTGCAGACTTTGGATCTGCTGGCCTCCACAACTGTGTGATCCAATTCCTTAAAATCAATCAATCTTTCTTTCTTTCTTTCTTTCTTTCTTTCTTTCTTTCTTTCTTTCTTTCTTTCTTTTCTTTCTTTCTCTTTCTCTTTTCTTTTCCTTCCTTCCTTCCTTCCTGTCTCTCTCTCTCCCTCCCTTCCTTCCTTCTCTCTCTTCCTTCCCTCTCTCTCTTTCTCTCTTTCCTTTCTTTCTTTCTTTCTTTCTTTCTTTCTTTCTTTTCTTTCTTTTCCTTCCTTCCTTCCTTCCTTCCTTCCTTCCTTCCTTCCTTCCTTCCCGAAGCAGGAGAATTGCTTGAACCCAGGAGGCAGAGGTTGCAGTGAGCTGAGGTTGCGTCACTGTACTCCAGCCTGGCAACAGAGCGAGACTCTGTCTCAAAAAAAAAAAAAAAAAAAAAATTCAGAATTAACTTTCCAGAGACAGGATTGTAGTAGAAAGAGGGCATATGTAAGTGGTAAAAATATTAATGGCTTTTATGATGGTGATAATAATTGTATTACTTAGGCAAAAAAAGTAAGAATTTTGGGATGTACCATGCTTTAATAAGAGTCTTTGAGACAGACCTACGTGAATCTTTCTGAGCAAAGAATTACAATAAAATAAAACAAACATCCCTATTTTCTGAGTGAAAGGAAAAGAGAAAAGGCTGAATTAGCTTCTCATTGCATCCAAGTACCCCTTAAGCAGTTTTTGTCAAGCATCTGCAAGTTGACATAAGGTTGATCCGTTCAATCTGGTTCTAAATTGTTCTGTTAAATGCTAGACAACTTTTGTCACAGAAGCTGCCCCCACCTCCTTCAGGATGATTGTCTATAATTAAGGAGGAAACCAGAAAATAATGATAGGGTTCTCTTTTGCCTTTCTAATGGCTTTCTTATTAAGCATGTCTGAAAAAGCTACTGAGATGTTGATTTCCTACATAACCAAAAGAAGTCAGCCATTATATAATTACTTCTTTTTAAAAACTACAAAGGGAAATGTGTCACAAATGCTTTCAATGGGCTAAAGACACCATGAAGCACAATGAAAAAAAAATTCTCCCCAAGAACAAAAAAGCAGCGAATAAATTAGTCATTAAAGAAATGTTTTTGGGAACTCTTCTGAGGTGCCACTTGCATATCACCCATGGGGTGATCTTTGAGATTTGATTGTGGCAGGAAAAGCAAAACAGGAAGCAGGGAATGTGGAAGAGGGCAGTGGGGCTGTGGGTGGTATAATGCTATTTGTGCCTTTTAATGGTAAAAATAGTCCTCACATTTTCTTTATTGGAGGAGATTAAGTTCCTCATAGACTGAGACTTGATGTGGATCCCTGGTGTCATTGCTTGGAAAGTGGCAAGGTCCATGTTCCCAGTGCCCCTTGACTACCAGCTTAATTCCTACACTGAGCACTCAAGGGACAGTGACAAATACCTGGTAGGAGGGATTCTCTTCTCCCTTTGCTGCCTTCTTTGCTCTCCCTTTTTCTTCCCCCCAGACAGAATAAAGAGAGAGACTGTTAGGATAATTAGCCATCAAAGTCGCTCAGTGAAAGCGGGCCAATATTAGAAGAACATGGTTTGTCTGTCTTATGGAAGTTTATTCTGTAGTGTGGAGAGGCCTATAGAATCCACAGGTTATTTTAGGCCAACGCCACACACTATAAATGGCTGGGGATTCATCTCCAAATTCTGCTGTAATTTCCTCTCTGGTGACCTGGGCTTCTCTTCAAGTCTTCTTCCTCTAGAATCCCACTGAGTGCTTTCAGGTTGGGGCTGACTCCATGCTAAGTAAAGGAGAGGTGATCAAGAACAGCTTTTGTGCTGACCCAATATACACATCACCCTTTTATATAGCAGCTCCATTTTGTTCTTGGAGTTCGTTTTATGCTTTACTTGTAATGAGCTGCTCCTCTTTGAAGGTGGGCTGATGAACAGGTGAAAATAAGCTTGGAATGGTATCAAGAAGTGAGAGTGTGTGGCTAGTGATTGTCTTGAAACATCTTGTTAGCATCTCAGATCACAATGTCATGGAAAGAGCCTGGACTGAGAGACCTGGATTTTAGTCCTAGGACAAGCCATTAAACCCCCTCGAATCTCAATTTCTTCATCCATGAAATGAGAGGGGGGAGGATTAAATTTTTTAATATTTTAAATTTCTTGCAATTAAAAGTAGTTTGCATGAATTACCTGTGTCAATTATATAATAATAGGATATTAGAATCAGAATAACATGTAGAGGTGACTAGAGATCCTAATGTCCTGTGCAATAAAGTTATTTTCTTTGCAATATCCCTAATAGGTGATCATCCAACATTAATTTGAATATTCCTGGTACAAAGAGCACATTGCCTCAGAAGTGAGCCATTTCAATTTTTTAAACAACCCAATTATATGGCAAAATATGCATCCTTGTCATATTTAGTCATTGGTCTAATTCTTGCTGTTCTAGGGGCCCTGTTTGTGATGGTTAATTTTATATATGAACTTGACTAGGCCAGGTACCCAGATATTTGGTCAAACACCACTCTAGATGTTGCTGTGAAGGTATTTTTAGAAGAGATCAACACTTACATCAGTAGATTTTGAGTAATGCAGGTTACCCCCTCATAATGTGGGTGGGCCTCATCCAAACAGTTGAAGGCCTTAGGAAAATACAGACAGATCCCTCAAGGAACAGGGAACTCTGCCTTAAGACAGTCCTCAGACTCTAGCTGTAAAGTTAACTCTTCCCTGGGTCTCCGGCTCACTGGCCTACCCTGAAAACTTTAGACTTTTGGCCTCTATAATTGTGTGATTCAATTCCTGAAAAATAAATCTGTATGTATGTATGTATCTATCTATCTCTCTATGACTATCATCTCCTACTGGCTGTGTTTCTCTGGAAAACCCTGATTAAAGCACCTACTATAATACTACAATACTACCTACTGCAATACAATACTACGATACATCAGGCCTTCAAATATTTGAAGAAAGTATTCATATCAGCCCATGTGAAGTTGGGTCCTGAGAATAGGTGGTTTAATGGAGCTTTTTCTAGGCAAAGAAAAGCAAAACTTACCTCTGGATTCGTGGGTCGTGGGGATACGGGCAACAACAAAATGCCAAGAGATAAATGAGAAAATAAAGAATGCAAAGTGCTGAAGGTGTTAGCAGAAAGCTTTGCACCTACCAGATCCTCCTTTAATGAGAGCTGTTACAATGAATAAAGACATGCCAAGGCCAGGACAGAAAAACAGTCATCCCCACCTGTGTCCTCTAACATTTGTAGAGTTTGTTGGGCTATCACAATATTTGCTTTCACGCTTGGGAGATAATTGGCACTTAGCTGTTACAGCAGCAGCAGTAAGGGGAAAAAACACACACACATGGGGAAGGGGGTAGGTCTGGTTTTCATCTGCTGGATCCGGCACATGCCTATGTGAATGAAAAATAACAGCTATGGATGGCTCAGTGCCTGGACATCTGTCGTCACCCTGTCTGTTAGCTGCGCTTTCTTCCTTAACCATGAATGAGGTGACTGTGGAGGGAATGGAAAATCTTTGCAATGTGGGAGCCAAGGACAGTGTTCCTGAGGCAGCGCTGAAATTTGCTGCAGTCTGATTCTTTGCGTGGGAGCTTACTGTTGAATGCTTGTACTAGGAAGGAGAGCTGTGGCTGCTTTTCCTCGGGCTCCCGTGATGGGCTTCTCTGGCCCCAGTTGAATCTGCGGTACCAACACTCTGAGAATCTTACAGAAACAGAATGGAAATAAACATCTTACGGGCCCACCAACCAAGCATAACTGTTTTTAGTTTTTTTTTTTTTCAGTTTTCACCCACCTGCCAACATCCTTCAGCGTAATTATAATCAGTGTGTGAATAGAATTTTTGTATAATATATATTGTTTTCACTTAAAATTTTATGATAAACATGTTCTTACATTGTTTCTCTTCATCAGCACTATTTTATAGTTGTGGTATTATTTCAGAGCGGATGTACCGTGGTTAAGTTCACCCTCCCTCATTGTTAAACATTTCCAATACTTGTTATAAAAAACCCAACAATGAATAACTTTTTGGGTATAGCTTCTTTCCTCTTTTGAATAACTTCCTTCAGCATTTCCAGAGAATGAGTCAAGGGATGTGAGTATTTTTATGTCTTGATATAGATCACTGTATTGTTTCCCAAAAGGGTTTGTATTGGTATAAATTACCAAAAACAAGGTGCAAATAAGTCACTCTGCCAGAATGTTCCCAGATTGGGTATTAATTATAGTGAATATAAAATGATATGATAGTGTAGTTTTATTTTCATTTTTTAAAAAATTAACAAAGGTAATCTTTTTTTGTGTATTATTTCCCAATTACATTTCTTCTTGTGTGTATTGTTTGTGCCTGCTATGGTCTATTGGGGTACTGATTTTTACAAATTAATTTGAATGAGCTTTTCCCATGTTAGAATCAATAGAAATATTTTTCAAATCTATTATTTTAATTTTTAGTTTTATTATTTCTTTTTGTGTAAAGGGTGAATTTTTTATCTTAATGGGCTTTCCAATTGTTTTCATTGTCTTACTAAGAAAAACCCTTTAATCAACCCTGTGTTATCTTGTTTTTTGTTTTCATCTGTGACTTGAACTTGGTAGAATATTGCCTAATTTCTGAGAACATTTTGATATTCAAGTTTAGTTCTGGTTCAAAATGGTTCTGGTTCCTCCAAACACAGTCAACCAACAACAAAAAATTCAAAAATAAGCTTTGGCTCATTTTATTATTCAGAATATGCAATTAATAGTTCCATTTCTGCATGGAAGTATGGTTCATTCCTATTTTTTTGTTAAAGTCCTTGAATAGCTTTAGTATCTTTCATATGTGCTCCATATGTATTCTCTACTGGGGGAAAAAGCCTTTGAAGGCAGGGTTTATGTACTCAATTTACTTGGTATGATGCCCTCTCCTCAGTCGGAGTAATTTTTAGCTTGTATGTCTTCCTGGCTGTGTTGCCTGGGATGCCCTTTACCCTGGTTACCATCTGGATCAAGGCCTGTCATGAGCAACCATTGGTGTAAGGCTTATATTCTGACCAGTTGGTTTGTGGCTTGCCTGCCTCCCTCCCACATAGCAGCTGTGAGGTTGGACAGGAACTCTGTCGTCATTTGGTGGGCTTGCATATGGCTCTCCTCTGCTCTCTCTTCTGGGTTAAGGCCAAGACCCTGCCATTCATAGGAGAGGCTGTGGTTAATTTGCAAGTGGGATCCAGAACGGGAGGCTGAGAAACTGTCCTATGGTGAACTGGCTCACCATAGCTCTTTAATAAGTGGTGTTTGATCATTTATTGACAATCTGGAGATTCTTTTATGGCTTAGCCTGGAGGCTGCCTGAGAATGGAAGCCATCCTCATGGGGTTAACAGGAATTCTGGACAGACACAGAATTATCATTAAGCATTAATTAGTCTGCACTTTGACCCACTTCCTTGTAACCAAAAGTCACTAGATACTGACTGTTTGCATCCCCATTGTTCCTATAGATAGGATCACTGATGTTAGCATCATAAGACTTTGGTTTAAGAATTGATTAAGATGTTTTTCAGTTCTTGAATTCCAGGGAGACAACTGATGTCAATCAATTTGAAGACCCCCACAGGGGAACGAATGGAATCAGCATGAGAATACAGTTTCTTCTTTTCTCTCTCTTGACTTCACCATGCACTCTTTGACCAATCAATGATCTCCAAGCTTCAGCCCATTCCAGACCCCTCACAAACCCTAGCCCAAAACTCCTCAGGGAGATGAATTTGAGGTTCCCTGCCATATCCTCATTTGGTGGTCCTGTGAGTAAACCTTTTCCTCTGCTGTCCCAGTGTCTCAACATATTGACTTGCTGCAGACATTGGGCAACAGACCTCTTATCGTAACAGAACCCAACAGTACAAGGATAGAGCAAGGCAGAAGGAGCTGTAGCTCAGACTGAGAACAGGTTCCCCAGATAGTTCAGCAGGTCAGGTTAAAGTGTCCAGAGACTGTAGCCAGCAAGGGCCCAGCCCAGGCTGGAGGTTGTACCCAACACCTGGTGGGTGAAGACAAAGTCTCTGGGTTCTTTGGTGTAAAATTACATCTTTGACAGACAAGTTACTGACTTATGGTTCTTGGCTCTGGGAAATGAGGACAAAGAACATCTAGATGAAGGATGATTCAAGGTACTGTAATCGTCTGACAGGGTTGATTTTCTCGTGGAGTATCTTAATGGTGTTCTCTGTATTTCCTGAATTTCCATGTTGGCCTGTCTTGCTAGGTTGGGGAAGTTCTCCTGGATAATATCCTGAAGTGTGTTTTCCATCTTATTTCCACTTTTCCCGTCGCCTTCTACTCCAATCAATCGTAGGTTCGGTCTTTTTATGAAGTCCTGTATTTCTTGGAGGCTTTGTTTATTCCTTTTCATTCTTTTTTCTCTATTCTTGTCTGCATGTCTTATTTCAGTAAGGTGGTCTTCAGACTCTGATATCCTTCTGCTTGGTCGATTTGGCTGTTGATACTTGTGTATGCAAGTTCTTGTGCTGTGTTTTTCAGCTCCATCAGGTCATTTATGTTCCTCTCTAAACTGGCTATTGTAGTTAGCAATTCCTCTGATCTTTTATCAAGGTTCGTAGCTTCTTTGCATTGGGTTAGAACATGCTCCTTTAGCTCATCGTAGTTTTTTTATTACCCATCTTCTGAAGCCTACCTCTGTCAGTTCATCCATCTGATCCTCTGTCCAGTCCTGCACCCTTGATGGAGAGACGTTGTGATCATTTGGAGGAGAAGAGGCACTCTAGCCTTTTGGGTTTTCAGCATTTTTTCATTGATTCTTTCTCATCTTCGTGAGTTGGTCTAGTTTCGGTCTTTGAGGCTGCTGACCTTTGGATGGGGTTTTTGTGGGGGCTTTGTTGTTGTTGTTGATGCTGTTGTTGTCACTTTCTGATTGTTTTTCTTTCAATAGTCAGGTCCCTCTTCTGTAGGGATGCTGCAGTTTGCTGGGGCTTTACTTCAGGCCCTATTCATTTGTTTTGCTCTCATGCCTTGAGATGTCATTTAAGGAGTCACCTCCCTTGGCTGTGGGGAGGGGCTTCCCCTTCCCTGCGTGGCTCTCAGGTGGGCCACCACACCACACTGTTCTTCCTTCTGGGTCATGCCAGCCTTCTAGTCAATTTTGATGACAGAACCTGGATAACTTGGTTGCTGGTGAATGATTTACACACTTATTGTGGTTTTTTTGATGGGAACCTCCAATCACTGCTGCTTCTTGTTGGCCATCTTGGTCTCGCCCCCTACAGTATTTGTTTTATAGTAGCAGGAACAGAATGAGATGGGGTCTTGCCCTGCTTCTCTGCCATGGAGTCTGTCTTGCTCATCTGCTCAGTAGAACTTTTTTTTTTTTTTTTTTTTTTTTTTTAGCAGAGACTGTGACTCACTCCTGGGGAAACATTTCAGCTCTGGGCTTCCTAGAGGAGGCTTCAAGACCTGCTCTTTTTCCTAGACTGGATTTTATGTACCTTCTATTACTCACACAATATTCTGCATATTTTTTGCTTTCTTTCTTTCTTTTTTTTTTTGTTTTTAGACAGAGTCCTGCTATGTCACTCATGCTGGGCTGCAGGGACACAGTCTTGGCTCACTGCAACCTTTGCCTCCTAGGCTCAAGCCATCCTCCCACCTCAACCTCTTGAGTAGCTGGGACCACAGATGTGTGCCACCATGCCTGGCTAATGTTTTTGTATTTTTGGTAGAGATGAGGTTTCACCATGTTGTCCAGGTTGGTCTCGAACTCCTGAGCACAAATGATCCACCTGCCTCGGCCTCCCAAAGTGCTGGGATTACAGGTGTGAGCCACTATGCCCAGCCCTTTGCAGATTTCTAACATCATTCTTAACACAGTTCTTATCATCATCATGATCATCATCATGATCTAGTTTTCAGAGCAATGTTTATATACTATTTCTAATATACAAGAAAAGCAGAAAAATAATATATCATATACCAATGTACTTGCCATTTAGATTTTCCAAATGTTAATATTCTTTTTATTAGGATTTATAAAGGAATAAAACATTACAAATACAGCTGAAGTCCCGCCTTTCCATCACATTCTCCTCCCTCTGTCTTTGGGCAGAAGTAAGCTAATAATAATTCAGGATGTTAATCTCTGGAGTGTGTGTTCTTGGAGTGCAGCACTATATCTTATTCATCTGGAATTTTTAGCTAATAGCAGTGCCTGACCCTAGAAGAGATAAATAAATATTCAGACAATTAAAGAATAAATGAATGAAAGGGATTGTTTTTATAATAATAATAAAAATTGTTATCCTTTGCCATATCTAATAGGGGCTCTGTAAATGTTTGATGAGTTTGGGAATTAATAAAAAAGTTTTGGTCTCTTACTGAGAATAATTTGCCCTTAGCTCTTAAAAAAAACTCATGTTTTGGCATCTTTAGACTTTGTGTACAATGTAATTTTTAGGCTTCATATGCAAAATATGCAATATAGAAACATGATCTACCTTAAGAAACTTACAAGGCATGTAGAATTAATTTCAGACGCAAGAAAGAAAAGATGTGTGATTGCATGAGATGTATTAAGAAAGAAGTCAACTAAATTAATGTCACTAGAAACTCTTCACATTTGATTTGAGTGGAAAATATTCTAGATCACCAGTTCACAGAAGCTGTTGTCAGGAAATGCCAGCCCCAATAACCTGATGCACATGGAGGTAACACACACACACACACACACACACACACACACACCCTCTGTTCATTTGTGTCTCTTCTTCACTGTGCAGGTCCATGAAATCTCCTGGGGACTGTGAAGAACTGGGATGGCTAGTGTGAAAAACAGCAGTCCCCAACAATTTTGGTACCAGGGACTGGTTTCATGGAAGACAATTTTTCCATGGACCTAGGCACGGGGTGGGGGTGTGGGGATGGATTGGGGATGATTCAAGTGCATTACATTTATTGTGCACTTTATTTCTATTATTGCATTGTAATATATGATGAAATAATTATACAACTCATCATAATGTAGAATCAGTGGAAGCCCTGAGCTTGTTTTCCTGCAACTAGATGGTCCCATCTGAGGGTGATGAGAGATAGTGATAGATTATCAGGCATTAGATTCTCATAAGGAGTGCACAATCTAGATCCCTCATATACACAGTTCACAATAGGGTTTGTGCTCCTATGAGAATTTAATGCAACCATTGATCTGACAGGAGGTAGAGCTCAGGTGATAAAGCAAGTGATGGGAGCAGCTGTAAATACAGATGAAGTTTTGCCCCCTTTCCTGCCATTCACCTCCTGCTGTGCTGCCTAGTTCCTAACAGGCCACAGACTGGTACTGGTTTGTGGCCTGGGGGTTGAAGACCCCTGGTGTAGAAGAACTAGAATTTTAGCTCTTGTTATAAGAAGCTTCTCATGGTAAGTTAATACAACCAACCACCCAGCAGGCACATTTTTTTTTTTTCCTGTGGGACACTAGCAATCTCTTCCATGTTTCCATGTCTTCTTAACCACCTGTTTCCTTGATGGAAGGATATTGATGTTTCCACACAGATTTGGAGTAAAAAGCTTGGTTTTATTCATTTTCCCCTCTGAATTAGGGAAGCTTTTCAAAATGAACATACTGAACAGCAAATTATCATCCCATTAAGCGCTTAAAATTATAGGCAGCTGAGCCAAACCTGCTACCAGCCCCCGCCACCCCTTCCCTGGATACAGTCTAACAAGCCAGCTACAAATTCCAGATGATCAATTTGCTTAGCTGTGATGGTAATTTAGAAACCCAGTGTTTTGCTTCAAAGTCATTGAGAGGCAATCTCGAATGATAGGCTGTGCTTCATGCACTCTTTGGCAAGAAATTTACTTGGGCTCTCGTGTGCTTCTTGGTTGGGTGTCCAGCAGTTCTGGGCATCAGAAAGGAGCCCTGCACCATTGGTTACTGCTGCACCATGGAATGACTTTCTGGTTCTCCTGCTGCTTGCACCACCACCACATTTTCCCTAGATATAGTTTCTCCATATGAACTGCAATTGTTTTCCAGTACTTTTTTGCACAAGTCAAGTGGCCATGACAAGTAGGGTGCGTGCTCATATCTGTTAACTCCTTAATTTAATTAATCCATTCAATGCTTGCTGAGCACCTTGTATGTTTTGGGCATTGTGCTGAGTGCTGAGGATTAAAAGTTGGGTCAGAAACAGTCACTGCCCGCAAGGAGCCCACAGTCTAGCAAGAAAGAGAGACATATAATGAAAGGATGGCAATGCACTGGCCTATCCTGGAAACAGAGACAAGGTGCCACCATGAGATCTGTATTGATCAAGTATGTTCTAAAGAACATAAGGCACTTTTCCAAGAGTCATATTTCTTCTATCCTCCCCAGTTGGTAGGGCTGTGTAATTGTTGTCTGCAAAGGTTAAATGAAAGCCCATTGATATAGTTTCGCTGTGTCCCCACCAAATCTCATCTTGAATTGTAGTTCCCACAATTCCCACATGCCATGGGAGGGACCTAGTGGGAGGTAATTGAATCATGGGAGCAGGTCTTTCCCATGCTGTTCTCATGATGGTGAATAAGTCTCATGAGATCTGATGGTTTTATAAAGAGGAGTTCCCCTGCACAAGCTGTCTCTTGCCTGCTGCCATGTAAGACATGCCTTTTGCCTTCCACCATGATTGTGAGACCTTCCCAGCCACGTGGAACTATGATTCCATTAAACCTTTTATTCTTTATAAATTACCCAGTCTCAGGTATGTCTTTATCAGCAGCGTGAGAATGGACTAATGCAGCCATACATGATAGAATGAGTCTCCAGAAATTCCAATTTCCCAGTATTCTCTGTATGCTCCCCTACATAGTAGACTCCAAATGAATTGGATTCACTCACCATCCCCCAAAGACACATTGCCCTGCCTTTCTTCTGTTCATGCTCTTGTCTCTGCCTGGAATGCCTCCTTCCTGTTGCTGTGTTTAGAAATCTTGGCAGTACTTCAAGGCCAGGCCCACTTTGCTCCAAGTTCCTGGAGTACTTGGTGCTATTTAGAGTAAGGAGCATGGAGCACGTGGCCGTGCCTGAGTGCTTTAGGTTCAGCTGAGTCCCCATTGTGGACTGTGAACATCACAGGGGCTCACAGTCCCTTGGAGAACATAAAGTGCCCCCATACAATTTTCAGTAACCACTTGTTCACTGAATAGGAACGTTTCAATATCAAGGATAGAAAACTCAGCTTTGATTTTCCTGGCTGAGCTGTTACCAGGAAATTCCCTAGACTCACAGTTTGAATCTCATCACCCCTAAAGTGAGGAGTATTTACAAGCCTAATGACAGAGTTTCATTATCTGGAGACAAGACCTGGAGGGAGATAAAAAAGCTTTGTTTCTATGTTCTGTTTTCTTAGGGTAGAAACATTCCAAATAATTTTATGCCAGGCCAGAAAAGAAAGCTTTGTATTAAATATGGAGGACCTGCCTCCAAACAGAGGTGTTGACTCTGATCTAAAGTCACAGACATTGCTGTGGAAATTTTCTTGTTACCAGCTTTGTGCAGCCGTGGTTGGAGGGTCATTCTATCAGCCCAAGGGGGTTCCAGTCCCGCAGCTTGTCAGGAGATGCTGGTGAGTGGAAACAGAATCCTTCATCCTACAAATCACAGATGTGATCTTGACGGTCACGTTGGTTGGAGTCTTGAGATGCAGGTCCTCAATACCTATTAACCTCACCAGGATATGGTAACCTTTGTCTTCTTTGTCATTTTCATAGTTAACGTGGTAACAATGTTTGATAAATGACAATGAGGAGTTAATTCCATTGTGGCATTGAAAGGGAATACACATGGTTTTTAGCTTGAGAGTCCTACAACTTAACAGAAAAAGACAAGAAAAGCGCACATTCCAAAGGCATGAAGACAAAGAACAGACACCCCTAATTCCATATGGTTTGGATGCTCTGCATTTTGCTCCTGGCTATGCCAGGTAGTCACTCAGGTTGGTGGGGTCTCGGTGCCTGGGACACCCACCAATAACCATTTCTGTCTGGTCCTATGATGGTGTTAGATTCTGCAGATAGTCCTGGTTCTGAGAATACCAAAGGGATCAAAACACAGTAAGTAGTCCAAGCCAGTATTGTTGATTCCAAGAAATCACTTGGTTAATTGTATTGGCATTTATAGGACATATCGAAGAGCTGGAAGTAATGTAAGTGACGTGGATATCTGGGTGATGGCAAGTATGATGGGTGGGGATATTGACTATGTTAGGTTGGATGATCTCATAGCCTGATTTTAGGATGATGGTCCTGGTTCATGTGGAAGATATATGAAAGGTTAGAGCAAAAGTCTACTGAAGGCCAGGGGCAGTAGCTCATGCCTGTAATCCCAGCACTTTGGGAGGCCGAGGTGGGTGGACCACCTGAGGTCAGGATTTCGAGACCAGCCTGGCCAACATGGTGAAACCCATCTCTACTAAAAATACAAAAATTGGCCAGGCATGGTGGTTGGCGCCTGTAATCCCAGCTACTCAGGAGGCTGAGGCAGGAGAATCGCTTGAACTCGGGAGGCAGAGGTTGCAGTGAGCAGAGATCATGCCATTGCACTCCACCCTGGGCAATAGAGCAAAACTCCATCTCAAAAAAAAAAAAGTCCTCTGATGTAAGGCTCAAAGCATGAGGTCCAGGATTCTAGGCAAGGAGGTTAGGAGTCAGCTTCTGGGTCGATGACTAGAGAGATTCTTCTCAGGTTTCACTGAGGCAGTGAACTTCAGCAGGGTTTTGGAAGAGAAAGGAGCACTTCTTTATTGAGAGGATGAATGTATGTGAAACAAGGGAAGATGGTGAATGATTTCTATCTGCTAACTGAGCAGACTGGTCCAGGACGCTACTCTGTCCTTCTGGGGAAAATCTGAAACATAACCCTTGGTGTCTTACAAACCCTGGAGAAGTCAATGTGTAGGGTGGCACTGTCAACCTAAGAAATGGGCAGTTGCCTCTCATTTTAAAACCACCATCAGGATTATTTATTTGGCTTCCTTGGCAGTCAGAGAGAGTTGGCAGCTAACTCCCTTGGCTTGGCAGAGTCATGAGGCAGTCTTGAAAATCTGTTGCATTTTAAAAATTGTATTGGAAATTCTGAGATATTTTAATCAGTTTAGAATCAATCCACCTCAGAAAAAGAGGATGCAAGTTTGAAAACCATGCCAGTGTAGCTTTTTAATAGCTAATTATGCTATAGGCAGGGAAATGGTCAGGCAGTGACTCTTAGAATGAATAATGACATTAGATGAAATACAAAACAAATCCATACAGGTTTTATTGGATTGGAAGTAAGAGACAGAGAGAGGCTGAAAATTTACCCAAATCTGATTAGGGAAATAAAACCTCAGACAGAAAAATGATGGATGGTGTGAGCTGTTTAATTTGGGTCCCTTAGAGAGGTAATGTCCTCAGAGAATACACCACAGAGTTTCAGAGCTGAAGGGAGTTCAGGCATTTAATCCAGATGCTCATTTTTACAGAAGAGAAAACTGAGGCTTAAAGGAACAAACAACGTGACCAAGGTCTTACCAGCTGATAAGGGACAGAGTTTAATTTTTTTTTTCTTTTTTTTTTTTGAGACAGGGTTACACTCTGTCACCCAGGCTGGAGTGCAGTGGTGCCATCTCGGCTCACTACAACCTCTGCCTCCTGGTTTCAAGTGATTCTCATGCCTCAGCCTCCCGAGCAGCTGGGATTACAGGTGCCTGCCACCAAACCCGGCTAATTTTTGTATTTTTAGTGGAGACAGCGTTTCACCGTGTTGGTCAGGCTGGTCTTGAATTCCTGACCTCAAATGATCCACCCACTTCAGCCTCCCAAAGTGCTGGGATTATGGGTGTGAGCCACCATGCTTGGCCAGAGTTTAAATTTGAATCCAGATCTTTTTTTTTTTGAGACAGGCTCTCACTCTGAGGCTCAGGCTAGAGTACAGTGGCATGATCATTGCTTACTGCAGCCTCGACCTCTTAGGCTCAAGTGATCCTCCCCCCTCAGCCTCCTGAATAGTTGGGAGAATAAGCATGCACCACCATGCCTGGATAATGTTTTTTATCTTTTATTTTTTTTTAGAGAGAGGGTCTCACTATGTTGCCCAGGCTGATCTTGAACTCCTGGGCTCAAGTGATCCTCCCACCTTGGTCTCCCAAAGTGCTAGGATTACAGGTGTGAGCCGCTGCTCCCGGCTGAATCTAGATCTTCTGACTATTGAAAAGTTTGAGGCCATTTGATGAATCACAGTGCTCAGCCCATTGACAGACCTACCGGTGAAACATGCTCAATAAATATTTATCAGGGTCCATGAGTCAGTTTTCTTTGTCATCCAAGCCCCTGTGTCACCTGTCAGGCACTCGGGGATCCCAGTAGCTGAGTAGCTAATACCATGCAATGTACCATCTTGTGTCTTTTAGTCTTTTCAGTGGACAGCAGGACACTGGTCTGGATCCTGGTTCCCTTGGTTCTCAGATGAGGCTCTCAATGTCTAGGCTGACTGATTTGACTCTGTTCCACGTGCGTCTCCCTTGCAGACCCCTTAGCACACCCGAAATGCTGTCAGCTCAGCTCCCCCGATCAGCGTCATCACTTTCCCACAGCCACAAGCCAGAGAGCCTGCAGAAATGTTTGTCTTCCTGTGCCCTTTATTTCAAACATGGAATCAGTCCTAAATTCAGGCTCGTCTTAAACTGTGCATTCAGCGTTGTCTTTACTATTTTTGAGGCCACGGTCATAGACCAGGAATTCATTGTTTTTCCAGCTACCTCTTTTGCACTCTTTTTTCTCTGCTATGGATCTGACCAGAGCATATTTTTTCATTAGGTCTGAATGTGAGTTTCCATTCCCTTTTGGATCAAGTCTAAGATTTCATTGTGCACCTTTTCTTATCTTTTCATCTTTTATATTGTATTTCAATATCTTTCCACCTCAAAGAATAATAAGTCTATGGAGGCATCTTGGAAACCCAGGGAGTAAAATGTGGTGTGTTTATGTACAAACTGGTCCTACCACAGTGACTGGAAGATTTCTTGTCTAGTTCAAGAGACAATCATGTATCTTTCCTGACATTTCTCAAAAGGGACCTTTAGAAAATGACAAGCAGTTAAGCTTCCATTTATGGTACTTTATCATCTTTGTTTTGATAAAAATGACTTATTTTAAAAAGGTTCAAAGTAGCATTCTATTTTCCATGCAGTCTGTTTTTGTGGTTGAAGATGGTTTTAGATTTTTGAAAGCTTTTAAGTCCTCATAAAGGTATGTTGGAATGTAACATGGCCATAGTTTTCCCAAGATGCCACTCCTTTAATCATAATGATCAAACAAGAATTCTGAGGTCTTGGCTTCTGGTTGAAGATCAAGGAATGGATGAAGATCTGTTAGAAGTTGGGCATGTAGAAGGTGGGCAGTGACTGGAGGTGAGGAAACCCACAATACTGTGTATGACATGCTCAGGGGAGATCTGGGATGCCACAAAGCCCTGACCTGAATTTTGCTTTCCCTTCTCAAATCTCTCAAATGCTTTCTCATTATTTAATTCGGACAATATTGATTAAGGATTAGCTGAATTTCAGGTGCTATATTAGGTGCTAGGGATTCAAACTTGAATAACATCCTATTTATATTGCAAGCACAAATCAATTCCAGATGGATTTCAACTTTAATTATAAAAGGTAAATGAATAAAACTTTTAGAATATAGGTGACCATTTTATGAACTTGGAATAGGCAAATATTTTTTATTTTAAAAAAGCAGGACCTGGCTGGGCATGGTGGCTCACCCTTGTAATCCCAGATTTTTGGGAAGCTGAGGTGGACAGATCACTTGAAGACAGGAGTTTGAGACCAGCCTGGCCAACTGAGCGAAACCTGTCTCTAATAAAAACACAAAAAATTAGCCAGGTGTGATGTCACGCACCTGTAATCCCAGCTACTTGGGAGGCTGAGGCAGGAGAAATGCGTGAACCCAGGAGGCAGAGGTTGCGGTGAGCTGAGATTGCCCACTGCACTCCAGCCTGGATGACAGAGAGACTCTGACTCAAAAAAAAAAAAAAAAAAAGAATTAAAATTTTTTTAAAAGAGCAGGATCTAAAAAGGAATGGATAAGGGAAAAAAATTGACTACATTAATTTTAAGTTTTTTGTTTATCAAAAGATATCATAGAGAGTGAAGATACAGGTGAAGAAAACAGGAAAAGATTTGCCATACGTATGAATCCTTTCCACAAAGCACTCATGTTCAGAACATATAAAGAACTCTTACAATCAATAAGAAAAAGAAACACAATAGAAAAATGGGCAAAATACTTGACTAGGCACTTCTCAAAAGCACTTATCTAAGTGGCCAATAAATGTGAAAATTTGCTCAACTTCGTACTCAGGGAAATGCCAATTAAAACCACAGTGAAATGCTAGTACCTATACACCAGAAGTGCTAAAAGGAAACAGACCAAAAATACCAAAGGTTGGTGAGGATGCAGAGCAACTAGTTCTCTCATGCAGTGTTTGTGGGATTATACATTTGTAATTTGGAAACCACTTTGGAAAACTGTTTGGCCTTATATACTAAAGTGGAAAAAATGCTGAATTCTGACCAATAAATGTCAGTCCTAGGCAGATATACATGCCCAAGTAAAAGTGTACATATGATCCATTGCAGTGGGTTGAATGGAGAGTAACTAGGGAGAAAAGAAATAGAGACACAAGGTATGCATTATTCTTTTGAGACATTTGGCTGTCCAGGGTGGGAGAGATGGGGATGCAAGAGGGAAACTCTAGGTTGAAGGAGGGCTTTTGTAAGAGAGATATGCTCAAAAGATAAAGGTTCAAAATATAGGAGAGGCCAGGTGTGGTGGCTCACACCTGTAATCCCAGCACTTTGGGAGGCTGAGGCTGGCAGATCACTTGAGCTCAGGAGTTCAAGACCAGCCTGGGTAACATGGTGAAACCCTGTCTCTACTAAAAATACAAAAATTAGCTGGTCGTGATGGTGCACACTTGTAATCCCAGATACTCAGGAGGCTGAGGTAGGAGGAAGCCCTGAGCCTGGGAGGTTGCAATGAGCCAAGATTGCGTCATTGTACTCCAGCCTGAGTGATGGGAGTGAAACCCTGTCTCAAAAAAAAAAAAAAAAGAGGGACTAGAATTGACTTATGGGATAAATTCCCAGATGAGAAGAGGTTCTAAGTTAAAAAACAAAGGTGTTTGAGTGAATTGATGGAAGAACATGTCACCCGGCAGATTAGGAAGAAAGGAGAATTAATATAGGTATGCAAACGTTCTATGTGTAGAGGGAATTTTCTGTGGATAGCATCTATTTTGGTGAAGTAAGATGTCAGCTGATTTGCAAAGTGAAATAGACAAATATTATGTTAGGGACTGAAAAAAGTTGTGATGTTTTGGAATAGCCATTATGTGAGAATGGGAGAGATAAGTGATCTAGGAAGGTAAGATATTTGAGTGTCCTACAGGATACAGTTGCGGTGGGAGAGCCTGTGTTTGCAGTGGCACCAACTTAGACTCTGACATGCTTTCCTTTAGGAAACATGCCAAGAACATGCTGAAGCACTGCACTGCCAACTGTGGGGGATCCACAGAAGGTGGAAAGTTGTGTCGGTCCAAGGTTAAGGGTTTGTAGTGAGGGTGCTACAGAAGGTCGGGAGGAGTTCATGTGAGTTGAATATTTTGGGAAAAGAAAGAGATGCTTTTGGTAATTGGGTTGGATAAGAAAGGATCCAGCGAACAGGCAACCTACAGAGTGGGAGAAAAGTTTTGCAATTTATCCATTTGACAAAGGTCTAATATCGAGGTCTATAAGGAACTTAAAACAAATTTACAAGAAAAAAAAACCATTAAAAAGTGGGCAAAGGGACATGAACAGACACTTCTCAAAAGAAGACATTTGTGCAGCAAACAAACATACAAAAAAAAAAAAAAGCTCAACATCACTGATCATTAGAGAAATGCAAATCAAAACCACAGTGAGATACCATCTCATACCAGTCAGAAAGGTGATTATTGAAAAGTAAAGAAAAAACAGATGCTGGTGAAGTTGCAGAGAAATAGGAATGTTTTACACTGTTGGTGGGAATGTAAATTAGTTCAATCATTGTGGAAGATGGTGGGGCAATTCCTCAAAGACCTAGAACCAGAAATACCATTTGACCTAGCAATCCCATTACTGGGTATATACCCAAAGGAATATAAATCATTTTATTACAAAGATACATGTATATGTATGTTCATTTCAGTGCTATTCACAATAGCAAAGACATGAAATCAACCCAAATGCCCATCAGTGATAGACTGGATAAAGAAAATGAAGTAAAATTCCACATTGGAAAAAAAAAATTCCACATACACCATGGAATACTATGCAGCCATAAAAAGGAACACAATCATGTCCTTTACAGTAACATGGATGGAGCTGGAAGCTATTATCCTCAGCAAACTAACACAGGAACAGAAAGCCAAACACCACATGTTCTCACTTATAAGTGGGAACTGAACAATGAGAACACATGGGCACAGGGAGGGGAACAACACACACTAGGGCCTGTTGGGGGATTGGGGACCTAATGTGGGGAGATCATTAGGAAGGATAGCTAATGCATGCTGGGCCTAGTACCTAGGTGATGGGTTGATAGGTGCAGCAAACCACCATGGCACATGTTTACCTATGTAACAAACCTGCACATCCTGCACATGTACCCTGGAACTTAAAATGAAAATAAAAATAAATAATAAAAAAAAGATTCATAGTAATGCAAAAGACGATGAATAAATGGCAAAGAGACTAGCTGAAAAACTGAAGGTTTGATGGGATGTCATGACAAGAAAGTAGACTGGACCTGAGGGAATGAGCTGGTCAGAAGGAATAGGGGCTTTGGTCAGAAGTGGGCATTTTGGCCTTTGCTTTCACATGATGATAAGGTCCAGGGTATGGCTGTGAGAATGGGTGAGAGTGGTGATTCTCCCTGAGCTCAAGAGGATAAGGAGCTTTGCAGCCACTGTTGGCCAGGTCATCTTTTGGACACGGAGGCTGGCAGGATGATGACGGGAGCAGGACAGGAGAGAAAGACCAGGAGAAAGAGACTGAACTTCTCAGTTGAGTTAGGGGCAGTGACCAGGTGCTCGGTTACAAGAGTGCAAGGAAAATCAAAGGTGACAGGACTGGGATGCGGGAGTTTCAGAGGAAGGAGTGTTTTCACCTGCAGGTACCAGGGGCGAGGGCTTGAAGAGCTGTAGGCAAGAGGAGTGATGTACGGCCTAATGCCAGATCATGTGGAATGAAGGGGTTCAGAAGAAAGGAGAGTTTCTGAACTTAAGAGGGTCCTTGTGCCCAGGATTTCTCCAAGGCTAGTCCATAATCATGCTGACATTCAGCACAAGAAGAAGGCATGTGACTTCTGAGAACAGGTGACTGCTCTGCAGTTCACACAGCAGTAGGCAAGAAAAAAAGTATTCCAGAGAAGAATCACACTTGGGGTAAGATCCTGGAACATCACCACTTTTTTCAATCCCCAACCTAATCTTTGTCCATTTCACTTTGCAAATCAACTCACATCTTACTTCACCAAAATAGATGCTATTTTCCACATATAGAATGTATGCATATCTGCATTAATTCTCATTTCTTCCTAAATCTGCCAGGGTGACATGTTCTTCCATCGATTCAGTCAAACATCTCTGTTTTTTTGTTTTGTTTTTTGTTTGTTTGTTTGTTTTTGATGGAATCTCACTGTGTCGCACAGGCTGGAGTGCAATGGTGTAACCCTGGCTCACTGCAACCTCCGCCTCCCAGGTTCAAGTGATTATCCTGCCTCAGCCTCCCGAGTAGCTGGGATTACAGGTGCCCGCCACCACGCCTGGCTGATTTTTATATTTTTAGTAGAGACGGAGTTACACCGTCTTGGCCAGGCTGGCCTTGAACTCCTGACCTCAAGCGATCTTCCTGCCTTGTCCTCCCAAAGTGGTGGGATTACAGGCATGAGCCACTGTGCCCGGCCCGTCTCTGTTTTTTAGCTTAGAATTTCTTCTCATCTTGTGCCTTAGCTGCTGTGCTCTACTGCAGCGCTTAGCACCGACCATTCTTCCAAAGGGCTTCTTCTCCTTCTTATTCTAATGAAATGTACTGTATATACAGTACAGTAATGTAATGTATGTACCGGGTGCACACCCACGTGTGTGTGTGCATCTGTGTATATGTATATACATATGTGCGTATACATGTATGTATTTTCACACATGTATTGGTATTATATATGTATGTATATATACACATATATATGATCTCATTGAGTTTCTTAACATTACATAAGTCAACCAAGTATTGTACCCACTTTAGAGGTATGGAAGATGAGGCTTAACTAGGTATCTTGTATGAGAGTGGAGTGGGTGATGGGGCCATGGTTTGCACCTGGGCCTTCTGGTTCATCCAGGCTAAGTCACTAAAAAACATTAAATGCATGTATGTTGCTTCAGTGGGTTATATTTTATGTGAAACAGAGCCTTGATTGTTATGACCATGCACTGCAATATATGTTAAAGTAGTCCTAAAATGAAAAGAACAAACCAACACAAAACCAAATCCATTGGCCCATGTCCTTTTCTCTTTCTGGTATCTCTGGATATCTGCACTTGACTGGGAGGAAGCGAGAGAAATCAGTTTTCCCTCTGATCAGCAATAATTTATTGACCTGAATATGCAGTGAACTGGTGTGAACACTTAATCCATACTATGCATCATTACACATTAATAGGACCACTTTGCCACTTTCTGACATGCAAAAGTGGCTCGATTTGAATGAATTACAGTGATTTTAAAAGCAAAGGTTCTGCAGGGTGGCCTCTTTTGAACGTATCCTACATAAATGGCTTCGGTTTTAAGGGAAATAAAATCCACTTTGAGAACCTGGAGTAGTATGGTCGTTCAGTTCTGAATATATTGTGAAATGGTTTACAAGCTGATGGAGCAGGGATACCTGGAGCTGTGTTCACTTACATTCCAATTCAATCCCTTTCCTGAATCTGCTGGAGATTTTATTACCACTTAGAAACCCTGACATTCTGCAAATTGCATGGTGAACCCTTAATGATTTCTCAAACAAGAGTGAGGTAATCTTCACAGTAATTTTAAATATTTCAGAGGTCAAGGGGGGCATTTATGGTTTCCTTTATCATGGAGCAAAATGACTTTTTCAGTCAATCATTTAAGCCACGAGTTATGTACACTATGCATATTATCACATAGGAATCTGCTCTTTGTGCTCCTTTTTGTAGGTGCGTTGGGTATTTGTCAGGAAGACAGGAAAGTCAGACCAGATGGCATGGGTTATTATTGGAAACAGATCTACTGATTCATGTGTGCCTTTCTTCTTTTTTCCTTCCTCCACTCTGTCTTTGGTTCTATCTGCGAAAACAGTAATTGGCTATCTGGAAAAAAAAAAAAAGGAGGAAATTGATTCTCTTGGAATGGCTGACTGAGTAAATGAAAAGGTGCTTCTCCTCTGTGAGATGACCAGATGTGCGCTTTGTTCTAGGTTCATATTGAACATATTAGCTTTTGTGCATATTGTGATGGGGTGCTGATACCGAGAAGGGAAATTTGAATGCACTTTGGTGACTTAGAATTTCCATGTAAGTGTCTCCAAGGGGGAGGCTTAGAGAGATTAGGTGTCTTCTTTTTTCCCTTTTTCCTTTTTTTGGAAAACCTCTTTATGAATAGAAAGTGTTCATTAGGTCATTTTGTAAAATTTTGGAAAGCACAAGTAAGGTACATGTTTGTACCTTACTCATCCAGTGCCTCCATGTGATAAGATGCTTTTGGATAATAATGATATTGATAAAACAATCATTTGTAGCACCTTTTGAGCACTAATATGATTGTGAGAGGAGCTTGGATTTTTCAGATTATTGTCAAGACAAGAAAGTGGCGTTGCTCCATGAGGCAGAATTCCATTGTCCACCTACGCCAGATGGTGGCTGAATTTGTAGCTTTAGGAGTTGCTCTCAGAATCCCATCTCCACACACTTCCAACATCTTTATTTACAATAGTCATAAGGGGAGGGTCAGAGCAAGGCCAGCAAAGCTGGGGACCTGAGCTTGCCTGCAGGTACAAAAGCTACTACCTTAGGGTACTTCTTGCCAAGGTTTTTTGGCCAGAGCCAGGAAGGAGGAGTGTGGTGGGATGGCTTCTTAACACCATCTAAACATTTCCTAAATACTTTCTCTGCCAGGAAACATTCAAGAAATCAAACCCCCATTTCCCTGGGGTCTGAATATAATTTGAATAAGAGGGGAGAGGGAATTGAGGTAGCGTAGTTGGGGGAGGACAATATTGTAGAAAAATACCTCTGCAATTGTTTTATCTCTGTCTATCTTAACAGAAAGCTGACCTGTGAGGGCTTCTTTAGGGTCCTCTCTGATTTGTATCCCATCTCACCTCCCCAGCCCCAGGTTCTTTTTGAACTTTGAACCATCTATGTGTATACAAGCTACTGTGTCATCTTGAGTCAGTGGTGGCAAACCAAGCTTTCCTGCCTTCAATCAGAAGACACTTCCTATTTGAACAACTCTGCAGGATCTCACGCTGTTTTCCTCCCTGGGTGGTACCATTTGCTATAATGGGGGCAGGCACACAATGGATCTTGGCCACTCTCAGTAGAATCGGGCAACTCCCCGTATTAGAATGAGGTTTTATCTCCCTGGAGAATCTGCCTATGTTGGGGCAGCCATATGTGTGTTTTTGAATCGAGGAGGCCTGAGCCACTCATTCACATTTGTTTAATCCAAATGCAGGCCTCTCTGAGTAGGCGGTGGCTGCGGGGGAGATATTTGCATTTCTGACCTGCTGCATGCCTTTGCTGAATGAAATTCATATAATTACTACACACCATGACTTCCTCTAGAGTTGTATCCGTTCTGGTTGGCTTTTTTTCTTCCTCCACTTCATCATCATCCAATTAATTAACAGTTGCCATGGTGACTGTTGCCATGGCAGCATACAATTCTCCCAAAGGGCTTCTCATTCATATTCTAATGAAATACATACACATGGCTGGGTGGCTGGAAAAAGTGGTCAGGAGAATTCAAGAAGAATGGAAGACGAAATAAAAGACGGTTGCTTTGTTCTTTTGCCCTGCCCTATCTAGCTTTGTCTTTAGCCTACTTTATCTTAGGAAGAGGATGCTTTTCTTTATTGTTTTTCTTATAGAAATGCCTGGCTGTTCTCAGGGTGTGTCATATTTTTAGTAAAGTAGTCTTTTTCTGCCTTAGGGCCGTGCTCTTCTCTCATTTTTTTTTCTTCCTTTATAAGGTGAGGGACACATTGATTTTCCTCTGCTGTTCAGTCTGACAGGCTTGCTGGTGAGATTTCTAATGGATTCTCTGTAGGCCAAGTAAAGGAACCAAAGCTTTGTCATTTACAACAATTGGCAGCTTCCACCTCTCAAAGGAAGATCATATCTGTCACCTGTCCACATGTGACTTCCCAGGAAGCAATGGTTCTAATAAGATTCTTAACTACCCTTACAAATCTCTTCATGGATTGTGTTATAGAGCCGAACCAGGTGTCCGCTCACCCGGTGCAGCAAGGCCAAACACTGACATCGGGATTGCAGCAAGAAAAAGTGAAGCATTTAGTTGCCAGTTGCCAAGCAAGGAGGACCAGGCAGCTAATGCCTAAGTCCTGACCTCGCTGATAGCTTGCAGATAAGGGATTTTAAAGGCAGGGCTAAATTTCAGAAAAGCAGAAGTTACAGGCAAAGTCATAAATCAATACACGGAGGTTATATATTGGTTTTGGCCTAAAAGGGCCGGTTATCTTGAGCAGGAGAGCTTATAGATCATAGATAGATTTCAAAGATTCTGATTTGGTTAAGGAAGAGAAGATTTGTTTAAAAATTTGGGGTCAACAGAAAAGAATGTTAGCTCTGGCTCCTGGGTGTGACTTTCTCCAGGCCCCTCAGGAAGAGATTTTGAACCAAGAACTGTGGTCAAAGTTTACTTTTTAGTTCCCCATTATCTGAGGTCTACTTGCCAGCAGATCTCCTTGCTGGGGGTCTGGGTTTCCGAAAAACAATTCGGGGATATATATTAAGATGTTATCTTTAGTTTCCATAGAGAATCAAACCTCCCGTGATTCTAGCTTCCTTGGGTATTGTTTTAAGCTACTGTTACCTTCTTGCTTATCCAGTTGCTTATTTAGTTCTCAAGGCCAGCTAGGTGCCTGGAATTTCCCTTGAAGGAACTCAAGATTTTCTTTTATTTTCATGCTTGGAGGCCCAGCAGGCCCCTAAGAAGGGGTACTGGTTTTGTCTCAATTACTTATGCATGTGAGACAGCCAAGTGGAAAGGGGTCCCCAGGGAAACTCCAGCCAGCCCGCGCACTGCGTTGCAGTCGCAGAAGTCTGCGCCATTTGCAGTGGGGAGGAGCTTGGCCCTTCCTCTTCCTGGGTGGAACCTGGAATTTAATCTGTGAGGCAGGAAGCACACTATCAGGACTCTGGCTTTGTGGAGAGTCCCTGTTTTCCCTTTTTTTTTTTTTCTCCTTTTTGTCCAATAAGTACCATTTTTATCATCCTTCAAAGTATCTGTGAGCCTAATATTTCATGGCCATGCGACAAGGACCTCATCCTTAGCTGAACTAAGGGAAAAGTCCTACGACACTTGTTTAATGTCTTGCCATACTCATTCGCTTTCTCAGTTCCTCCAGAAAGAATGAAAAATTTCCAGGACTCTTCTTCCATCCACATATCCCTGGCATGTTGACCTGACTAAGGTGACCTTAGCCCAGGACCGCTGTTAGATTGGAATGCCTTCATTTTGGCCTGCCTCCCCGCTCCGACTCTCTGCTGCAGTTCCGTTCTGGTCTGCTTCCCTCTGCTTCTCTTCCTGCCTCCAGGCCCTACCCCTGTGCAGGCATCTTCCACAAAGCTGACAGAAGTTGACAATTCAACATGAGATTTGGGTGGGGACAAACATCCAAACTATATCAGCTTCTTTCCAAAAGAAATGCAATTGTCTTAAATGCCCTCCTTAGATAGCTCATCAAGTAACCAGGAAAGATCAACCACCAGAAAAGAGAAGAGACTGGGAGTTGTCCTGTCCACGGACAGAATTTTTATCTATTCTTCTGAGGGCGACTCCAGGAGATTGTTTGGGGGACTTTATTTGCATCATAACACAACTTTTGTTCCTGTGTAGCTCTGCCCTTCCTCTGCTGGCTGCCTCTTGCCTCTTGGACCTATGCACCTCTCCCCTGTGAAGAGAGTTGTAAGCATCAACCATCTGGCCCCTCTCTGAGTTCATGTTTTCTATGACTCTCTATTTTTTCTCCTATTAATCTGCGTTTTGTCATTTGATTTTCAGTGAACCTTCAGAGGGCAAAAGGAAAGTTTTCTCCCTCAGCCCCTATGTAGATAATCCAGGGGCTCCGTTTTGGGAAATACTGGCCCAAAAGGAAGCCCAAATTCTTAGCATGGAATGCAAAGTCCATTGCAATCTGATTCCAATCTGTTTTTGCCTTTTTAACTTCTAGTAATGATTCCTCCTCAGATTTTTCACCTCAGTGCCTGCCTTGTGTTCTAATTCTACCAAATTTTTCATTATTCCTCTCACCATACTGCACACAACTCAAACTCCAAGCCTTTGCTCAAACTCTTCTTTTGTCTGAATGACCCCACTCTCTCTGATCCTGGTCAGACTTCTCAGTTCAATGCCACCTCCTTCCTGAAGCCTCCCAATCTTTCTCAGGTAGGACCATTCCTTCCCTGTGTCCCATAGCACTTTTAAGGCCGATGCTTGTCCTTACCACATTTTATTTTAATTCTCTCTTTTAGGATCTGTATTCCTTGCCCTTTGAAGATTCAGGGCTGGGGAAAGAAAAGTAGCAATTATTTAGCACCTACTAAGTATTGTTTATGGTGACAGTGAACTATTCTCCTCATCATAAACTTCTTTTTTATTAACAGCAACAACACTGACAACAAAATAACTGAAATGAGTCCTTCATTCCAGGTAGTGTGCCAAGAAATTTACATGCATATTCTCAATATTCATAGCAATCTTATAAAACTGCCATTATAATATACCTTTCCTTACAGAAAATGAAGGAGCTTAATGTACTTAAAGTTGATACTTAGTAAATGGTGCAGTTGGAATTTATCCAAAATTGTCTGACTCTAGAGCCTTCTTGGGTGATCCTGCCTCTCATTGTTACTGAATTTTAAGGTGGAGAAACTTGCTTGAGGGTACCCAGCAACAGACAGCCAGGGCTGCTGGATTCCCAGGCCTGGGGAAAGATACTCTTCAAACTTAGAACCTGCAGCTCCTCCTGTAATTCCTGACATATGGTTCATTGAATTGAAGTAGACCTGTTGAGTATTAACATGACTCTCATTTTGATTCAGAGAAGTGACTTATCCAAGGTAATGTAGTTAGAAAAGGTCTTGGCTGAGACTCCAACAGAGATGTTTTTACGATCAAGTAAAATTCTCACCTTGTCAAAGATGCCTCCTCAATGCTATGGACAATTGGATATGTATTTGAGATTCTGGCCACCATTTACAGCATTGTTTCAAGGGAAAAAATATATCCTGAGGTAGTTTTCAAGACTGTTAGAGTCAACTCTTAGAACTTGGGCTAAGTCAGAGACTGTGAAATAGGCATGCCATAGCTCTGTTCTCACCAGCAGTAGCATTTGTATCCAGATCCACGTAGGTATCTGCAAAATATTTATGGTCTTAGAATGGAGTTTCAGTTACATGTTTGGTACTTTGTCCAAAAGACAATATTTGGAAGTGGATTCTATAGCACCAGGCAGCTGATGAAGGAAGGAGATGTTTTCTCACCTAATTTTCACAGATGGTTTCTGGAACCTCACCTTCAAACCCCTTGACAAACACAGTTCTGCCTGCACTCTCAGAGGATCTGAAAAAAAAATCATGCAATTAACCCCATATGTTCAGCTTTGGAGAGCACCTGGGTAACAGCTCCTAGCCAGAGCTTAGTATGCCAGGCACTCTCTGATGAGGGGTCTGACCATTTTCTTTTCCTAGGAATTGAATAAGTCAGTGATCCATCTGTCTATCAAGTGTCTGAAGTCAGCAGAACCCCTGATAGTTAGTGCCCAAGCCTTCTTTTTACCCTCTGTCCCATTGCAAAGCAACTAACCCCATCCTGGGATAGCTGTGAGCTGTGGCTGCAGCTTTGCTGTGCCTGGTCTTCTGCGGGATGAATGGCTGGTGGCTCTGTCCCAGGGTGAAGCTTGTGCTGGGGGCGGGTCACAGGGTGCTGAGGAGAGAGAAACCCCCTGTGCGTATAGTGGAGTTCCATTGATTTCACCTCATTCATCACTCCAGTGAGCCTGCCACTGGCTGCAACGTGAAAGTGTACCCTGCTCAGGTGTGAGGGGACAGTGTTGTGAAAAATTCATCTCTCGGGTTATGCATTGGACCCCTGCTTGCTGATGCACTCCTGCACTCCTCACCCCACACGTTTATCGGCAGGAATATCAAGGTATCAGGTTTTAAAGAGGTGGAAGTCAGAGAGCAAAATTATTAACCTCCATGTCAATTCTAATTAATGCAGCAAGCCACCTGGATACTTAGGGACTGGAAATGAAATCAGTTTGAGTTTTCAAATTTAATTTACATACAGCTGGTATGATAAATCAGTAACACATTGCTAGGTAATTCACTTCTCTGTAGTTCAGGGGAAGGATTTCTGTCCTCATTGCTATCTGGGTATTTTACAAATCCTGACATTAATCCAGAGCTTTGGCCTTCCAAGGAAGGGCATGCTGGTTATAACAGCTTCGAAAAATTTAACTTCTGCTGCAGCTTGGCCACAAAGAGAAAATGTCATTTCTATATTTTTTTAATTGCCACTTTAGTTTAATTTATGATTTCCCATCCCCATCCCCACTCCCACCCCTACCACCAGTGAAAATAAAAAGCTAAATTTCTAGTTTGGTTTGAGTGAATGTCTGACCTGATCATTTAGACAGGGTCTTCGAGGGATGCTCAGTCTTTTTAGGAAAAAATGGTTTCACTCTTAGATTACCTCCACTCTGTGACTGCTTCTTTTCCTAAAATGGCATCTAGAGTATGGAGACAACTGGTTTGGAAGGGAGTGAGGGCTGTGGCTCCTGGACTTCATGTGGAGGGGAGGAGTGTCCTCTCGTGTGGGGACTGTGGCTTCAGGTCCATGTCTCTTTGTACTGGTTCCTGCCCCAAGACCATGGCTGGTGTCACTTGGGCCTGGTCAGGGGCTTCTCCTCTGGCTGACCTCCAGACCCTATGGCCACTGCCCATCCCAGCAGGCCCCTGGCTCTCACCATCAGTGCCCAGCAGTCAGAAGGTGGCTTTGGCAAAGTGAAACCTCAGAGCCTCCCTCTGTCCCTCCTGCTGCCTTGCCAACTCGATGCGGCCTGGCTCTAGGCTGGTGTAAGGCAGTCAGAGAGAGTTCTTTTTGCAGAAGTCCATGCAGGGAGCAGAGGCTGTGCCTCCTCCTACTCTCTTAGGTTCACTTATTCCATGCCAAACACAGACAGGGGACATGGGGACATGCCTCGAAGAGCCTTGCTCTCCTCTCTTCAGCTTTTCCACCATCCTTCAGGCTGGAAAAGGATGGGTCTTTCTTTTACCCTCCTGTGTAATAGTGTCCTTCTTCTACAGGAGTGGCAAACATTCTGGCCTTCCTGCCCTGGTGGAGAGTGCATATATTCTAAGTGGCAGTGGTATTTTTATGCATTAGTGTCATCTAGCCTTGGTCCTTAATGATTTAAAGCAGGGTGGGTGTGTCTTGAGGGAGTGAAGGTAGAAGTGGGAAAAACTGTTTTCAGGTCAATACCCTGGCTTCAGGGTGAATGCTTTGCTGTTTAAGCCAGTTTCTGAACGCAGTAAATTGAAAATTACTCTTGCTGTTCTTTCTGCATTCTTTTGGTAAAAATCCTCCTTTTCTAACAGATGGGAGTTTCTGGGTGCCTTTGGCAATGTGGGGTGATGGCGACATACTCAGAAATCCAGAAGAAAAACACATGAACAATTCTCAATACAATTTTACTTTCATTAAATCAATAATATGTGAGGCTTTGCCACACGTTCTCTGTCCAGACACACCTGGCTGTAGTTCACAGGATGTGATCCCTTAGTCAACAACTTATTTATTTATTTTTTTTAAGATGGAGTTTCACTCTTGTTGCCCAGGCTGGAGTGCAATGGCGCGATCTCGGCTTGCTGCAACCTCTGCCTCCTGGGTTCAAGCGATTCTCCTGCCTCAAGTAGCTGGGATTACAGGCATGCGCCACCACACCCGGCTAATTTTTGCATTTTTAGTAGAGATGGGGTTTCACCATGTTGGCCAGGCTGGATGGTCTAGAACTCCTGACCTCGAGTGATCCACCTACCTCGGCCTCCCAAAGTGCTGTGATTACAGGCATGAGCCACTGGGCCTGGCCTAGTCAACTTTTAAGAAGTGACAGTAGCAACTTGCGCGTGTGCATGCGTATTTGTGTGTGTGTGTGTGTCTGAGGGAGAGGGAGAAAGAGAGGGAATGCAGTGTGTTAGATTATGGGCTGAGTAGTGTGGAGAAGGATATCAAAGGTGTGAAAAATTTGGGATTAAACCTGTAGCTAGAACCCAAAAATTAGAATGTTTGAAGGCCACAAATAAGTGAGTGCAACTAATATAGCCCCAACTTACTACAGGATTTCTGAGGGACCACAGAACAAAGAAGTGATTATAATTAGACATTTTTAACCAGAAAAGACTTCCTAAAAGAGGTGATTTTGGGATTAGACTTGCAGGCAAGGTTATTTGTACCTATACAAATCAAAAGGAACAGGAGCAGATGGATTAGCTGACAGGAGCTGAGGCTGGCTGTGAAGGAAATAGGGTTGGCGAGATAGGAGGGGACCACTGTGAGTAACGGGCATGGTTTTGTGGGACTAGTTTTTGCTTAGAAATCAAGAGATGCTCTAAGCTGTTACTGGTGAGCTATGTGACCTGGTAAGCCCCCTGGCCTCAGTTCCTCATTGGTTAGAAGAGGGATGAGGAGGTCTCTCAGGCCCCTTCCAGTTGCAGCCGGCTCTGATTCAATGGCAAGAGGAATCCTGGTCGAGGTTTTGAGAGTGGAGGGGTGTGGTGAAAATGACGTGGACATGGGATTCTTCCAGCCGTGGTATAGTATAAATTGGAGCCCAGGAGAGCAGAGGCACAGGCATGAAATGATGTAGGGATAATGTCCTGGGGGTGAATAGTGGCCTCCAAAATGATATGTATAAGTTCTAATCCTTGGAACCGATGAATGGTACTTTAAATGGCAAAAGGGGACTTTGCAGATATGATTAAGTTAAGGGTTCTGAGATGAAGAGATTATCCTCGATTATCTGGGTTGGCCCTAAATGCCATCACAAGTATCCCTCTAAAAGAGAGACAGAAGGAGTTTTGAGACAGACAAGGGGGAGACAGTGTGGTCACAGAGATTGGAGTGAGGTGGCCACAAGCTAAGGGATGCTTGGAGCCCCCAGAAGCTGGAAGAGGCAAGGAAGGAGGCTAGCGCCTCCCGAGGGAGTGTGACCCTGCTGATACCTTGATTTTGAACTTTCCATCCCCAGAACTGTGAGGAAATAAATTTCTGTTGTCTGAAGTGCCCGGTTTGTGGTAATTTGTTACAGCAGTCACAAGAAATTAATACAAGAAATTTGTAGCTGAAATAGGGAAAGAAAGTGAAGGTTTGTGAGATACTGGGCTTTCTCTCAGTTACCTTCTCAGGGAGCAACTGTGGGAGAGAAGGAAAGCAATTAGAAATGGCTCTAACATGAGCCATGAGACTGTGGTGTTCCTAAGAATGCATATTTTTGACAGGGATTGCTTTGTAGACATATTCTCCTTTCATCACCTATGTGGCACATCTTTTTGTCTCCAATTTTAAAAGTAAATAATGTGTCTCAAAGTCACACACACATATGGAGGAAAACAGTCATAGAATTAAAAAGCTTAGGATGAAAAACTTCAGTTCCCTCCCTTCCCCTTCCAGCCTCCAGTTTCACTTCAGAGACAGTTGCTTTCATCTCTGGGGCTTGTTTTTCTTGGCATTCACCTTCATCTATGATGATTTCTTGATTTATCAATCTTAGACCATGTCTATTAATTTCCTCTTCTGACCATTATAGATTTCCTTCTCTTCTGACCTCTCCTCTGTTGGCTTCCCCTCCCTCCAGCCTTCAGTATAGTTTAGGTGATGGAATGTTAACTTCGATGTTTGGATCAAGTCACCATGATGTAGTAGCCTTTCAAAGGAAGTGACTGAACACTGGATAGTTGATTCTGAAGCCCATAAAAAGACAGAATAAAAAGGACAGAAAGTTGAGAGTGTGAAGATGATATGGTTTGTCTCTGTGTCCCCACCCAAATCTCATGTTGAATTGTGATCTTCAGTGTTGGAGGAGGGGCCTGGTGAGAGGTGATTTGATCATGGAGGTGAATTTCCCCCTTGCTGTTCTCATGGTAGTTGAGTTCTCATGAGATCTGGTTGTTTAAAGTATGTAGCACCTCCCCCTTCACTCTTTCTTTCCTGTCACCATGTGAATATGTGCCTGCTTCCCCTTTGCCTTCTGCCATAATTGTAAGTTTCCTAAGGCCTTCCCAGCCATGCTTCTGGGCAGCCTGCAGAATTGTGAGTTGATTAAACCTCTTTTCTTCATAAATTACCCAGTCTCACGTAGTTCTTTATAGCTGTGTGAGAATGGACTAATACAGAGAACATCTTGTGAGGAGATTTTCTTCAGGGAAAGCTGTGCTGAGTCCCTGTCAGGGCTGTCTACCCATCACTTCAAGCCTGTGAGGGTTTCTGCCAGGATTACAAGGAAGGCATACCCTTCAATGAGGACCTGTTGTGACTTCCCCAGGATATCGGAAGGGTGAGAAACAGGCTCACTGCTTTGGTGGTAGAGGCAGGAGGACTGCTTCTGTTTGGGAGGGGCCTGCCCCCTTGGAGTCTGCCAGGAACAAAGACAAACAGTGTCATCTCGCCGGTCATGGGAGCAGCTGTCTGAAGGGCCCAGTAGGGAGGTCTCCGAAGAACAGATGAAAACACCATTGAGAAAGAGGAGGAACCTTCAGAAAACCATCCCATCAAGTGTGAACTTTCTGCATTTTTTTTCCCCTGTCCTTTTTCCCATTTGCAAAGAGGAGGAGGTGAGTGAAAGGTGTGGCTGAACACACCTCCCACCTGAGTGTAAAGTGGCCATCGTCAACTGGCCCTACCTGAGGAAAGAGAGAATATTCAGCTCTAAATTAGTTTTGGAGACTTGATTGTTATTAATACATAGGAGTGGGCATTCTAATGATTAAATCGAGGCTCTGTCTCCTGAAATAATGACTCTAGGACTAAAGTGGGAAAATCTTGGGACCTACCAGCGTTTTAATCTAGCCAAAAGGTGAACATTTCCTCATTGAATACATTTTTCAAACTTAAAAAAAATCAAAACTTTTATTTCAAGATAATCATAGATTTCCATGCAATTGTAAGAAATCATATAGGGAGACCCTGTGTGTTTCCCCAAGAGTAATATCTTGCAAAATGATGGCATGTTATCACAACCAGGATGTCGACATCAATACAGTCAAGATGCAGAACACTCCATTAACACAAGGGTCCCTCCTGCTGACCTTTTTAACCACAGCCCCCTCCCTCCTTAACCATTGGCAACCACTAATCTCCTCTCCATTTCTATAATGTTGCCTTCTTAATAATTCTATATAAATGGAAGTATATGTATGGTATATAATTTTGGAGGATTAACCTTTTTCTTTCTACTCAGCCTAATTCTGGAGATTCATCCAAGTTGTTGTGTGTATTAATAGTTTTTTGTATGTTTGTTTGTTTGTTTGTTTGTTTGAGACAGAGTCTCCTTTTGTCACCCAGTGGCGTGCAGTGACATGATCATGGCTGACTGCAGCCTTGATCTCCTGGGCTCAAGCAATCCTCCAGCCTCAGCCTCCAGGTAGTTGGACTTACAGGCACATACCACCATGCCTGCTAAATTTTGTTTTTTGTAGTAGTCGGGGTTTCTTATGTTGCCCAGGCTGGTCTTGAACTCCTGGGCTCAAGCAATCCTCCTGCCTTGGCTTGCCAAAGTGCTGGGATTACAGGCATGAGCCACAGTAGCTGGTCCATTTTCTTTTTTATTATTCAGTAGTATTCCATGGTATGGATAAGCCAGTTTGTTTAACCATTCACCCATTTAAGGACTGGGCTATTTCCTTTTTTTTTTTTTTTTTTTTTTTTTTTTTTTTTTTGCTATTATGAGTAAAGCAGCTGTGAATGTTTGTGTTCATGTTTTTGTGTGAGCTCATCTACATTTCTCTGGGAATAAATGCCCAGGGGGCGTGTAATGGCTAAGAGGTATAATAGTTGTAAGTTTATTTTTTTAAGATGCTGCCAAGCTTTCCCCAGAGTGGCTGTACCATTTTACACTTGCATCAACAATATACCAGTGATCCAGTTTCTCTATGAATGTATTTTAAAGCCATCATCAGAGATAAAAATAAAGTTACAGATGACATCCCCTAGGTGGTACCACTCTGGCCTCTGTAAATAGCAAGTTTGATCTGCCTGACCCATTCAAAAGTGGCAGGGTCTGCAGAGCTGGGAGCGGGCCTGGCTTGGTCTCTGGGCAGTGGTGCAGTACCGGGAACTGTCCAGAGAGGCACCCTAAGGCTTGACAACCGCTTACTGAGAGGCCTTTTAGTTAGCCCTGTTCAGGGCTCTTCCACATTCATTGGTCAGGGCTATGGCAGCGTCCTTGGATTGGAGCTACTTTTCCCGTTACGGAAACAACAATCTTTTTCATCAGAGCGCAGTAGTTACTATTAAAAGCTGCAGTCGCATGGCAGGCTGGAAGTGGCGATTTAGAGAAACTTTTGTCTTCCCACTTCCCAGAGTGGTGCCAGATGGAGGGGTTTTGCTGGGACTGGAGAGGGAAGAGTGGGGCTAGGATCAAAGCCAGAAAGGGGAATGCTTCCTAAAGAAAGCCGCATGCAGAGGCCAGTGTAACTCCTCAGTTGCAGAGGGGGCTGTGGTGCCTTCTCTCAGAGCTCAGAGGCTACTAAAAGCTCAGCTCTGAGTCTGAAAGGCTTATATGATCCGGCTCTGGAGCTAAATGCCTCCAGAAATCCCAGCTCGATCACTTACTGCCTGTGTAGCGACAGTCAAGTTATTTTAACCTCTTTAAGTCTCAGACGTCTGATCCATAATATAAGGATATGAATAGCACCTCTTGGGTTTATTATGAGGACTATATGGGACAATATTTATATAAAGTCCATAGCACAGTCATTTCAACTTGACTGCACATTAGAATTACTCAGAGATCTTTAAGGAACACTGATGACTGGGTCCCATTGCCAGATTCTGGGATCATTACAACTGTCCTGGCGTGTGAGTTCTAAAAACTCCTTAAGTGGGCCAGGCGCGGTGGTTCACGCCTGTAATCCCAGCACTTTGGGAAGCTGAGGCGGGTGGATTACCTGAGGTTGGGAGTTTGAGACCAGCCTGACCAACATGGAGAAACCCCATCTCTACTAAAAATACAAAAATTAGCTGGGCGTGGTGGAGCATGCCTGTAATCCTAGCTACGCGGGAGGCTGAGACAGGAAAGTTGCTTGAACTCGGGAGGCAGAGGTTGTGGTGAGCCGAGATCATGCCATTGCACTTTAGCCTGGGCAACAAGAGCAAAACTCCGTCTAAATAAATAAATAAATAAAAACTCCTTAAGTGATGTGCTATGTTTAATTGCCCCCACTGTGATCTCCCCCACCAAGTTCATGTCCTTTCTGGAACTTCAGAATGTGGTTTTATTTGGAAATAGATTCATTGTGGGTGTAGTTAGTTAAGATGAGGTCATATTGGAATAGGGTGGGCCTTTAATCCAATAGGACTGGTGTCCCTATTAGGAGAGGAGAAGAGACACAAAACAGACAGGTACAGAGACAAAACAATGTGAAGAGACACAAGGAGAATGCTGTGCAACAGAGGAGGCAAAGATTGGAACGATGCATCTATAAGCCAAGGAATGCCAGAAATTACCAACAACTCCCAGGAGCTAGGAGAGAGGCAGGGAATGAGCTTTCCTGCAGAACCTTTCAGAAGGACACCTTGATTTTGGACTTCAGGCCTCCAGAGCTGTGAGAAAATACATTTCTCTTGTTTTTAGCCACCCAGTTCCTGGTATTTTGTGACAGCAGCCCTAGAAAGCTAATGTGGATTGTCATAATATACAGCCAACGTTGTCAGTCACAGCCATAGATGGTAGAATGTGGCAGAACATGGCTCAGAGAGCATCAGCTATTTTCATTATCTCAAAGCAGATAGCTTTAGCCATATTTAAGTGTCTACTGAGTCTCAGAAAAGCATATTGGATAGTAGTTGGTGCTGTTTGAGAGGAAAGAGTCCTAAGGAGCCCTGTTCTCTCAGGATGGGCCACCCTAGTCAATCACGGGGAAACAGTAGGTGTGATCACTGTCACGGGAATCCAGCCCATTCATAATAGTCTGAGAAAGCAGGTGCTCCATGTCAGTCTGGGTCTCAGAAGTTTGGGACACGCTGCATTCCATATTCCCTCTGTATTAGTCCGTTCTCATGCTGCTATGAAGAAATATCCAAGACTAGGTAATTTATAAGGAAAGAGGTTTAATTGACTCACAGTTCTGCATGGCTAGGAAGGCCTCAGGAAACTTACAATCATGGTGGAAGGCGCCTCTTCACAAGGTGGCAGGGAAGACAATGACTGCCGAGCAAAGAGGAAGCCCCTTATAAAACCATCAGATCTCATGAGAACTCACTCACTATCATGAGAACAGCATTGGGAAAACTGCCACCATGATTCAATTATCTCTACCTGGTCCCACCCTTGATACATGGGGATTATTACAATTCAAGGTGAGATTTGGGTGGGGTCACAGAGCCAAACCATATCACCCTTCTTTGAAGAAAACAGCATACGTTAGCATGTTCAAGGTTCTCCTGGAGTAAAGAAACCCCTTTGATTTTACTTATACCAGAATTTCCCAAGCCAGTCTGACTATGTCAAGCTCAACTTTTTCCATAACATGTATTATCCCAGCAGAACCAGTGCTCTGGAACCTGAATTAGGAAATCCTGACTAAAGTCACACCACCACAGGTGGGTACACACCTATCCAGAGGGAAAACTTAAAGGAAAAGGCTGGGCACGGTGGGTCACACCTGTAATCCCAGCACTTTGGGAGGCTGAGGCGGGTGGATCACTTGAGGTCAAGAGTTCAAGACCAGCCTGGCCAACATGGCGAAATCCTGTCTCTACTAAAGAATACAAAAATTAGCCGGGCGTGGTAGCATGCACCTGTAATCCCAGCTACTCAGGAGGCTGGGGCAGGAGAATTGCTTGAACCCAGGAGGCAGAGGTTGCAGTGAACTGAGATCATGCCACTGCCCTCCAGCCTGGGCAACAGAGATAGATGCTATCTAAATAACAACAACAACAACAACAATGAAAGACCAAAAAACCAAAAAACAAAACCTTAAAGGAAAGTGATTCCCTTGTTTTGTCATCAGGAGGAGCTCAGCATGGGCAGCACTGAGAGATTTGGAAACTCCAAGATGTTTTCCAGTTCAAGAGCACAGGAGCAGGTTGCACATGGAAGTTGGCTATGTACACTGCATAGATTCTCTAGAATAAAAAAAAATCTTCCTGGACATGAAAGTGTTCTGGGTCAAGTTTTAGAGCAGGGATGCCAGTGTCCATTGAGTTTGTCACCCTTGAATGCACTGGACAAATGCAAGCTTGGTGGTGAAGGGTGGTTTTTAAAGAGCAGCATTGTTTGGTCTTCAGAAGTTTGAGGGAAGATGTAACAGCTGTTGGAGGGTGTAGGGGGTCATAACAGCTGTTCTTCCTCTTCATGGAGAGTGGAATGAGAGAAAATGAAGCAGAGAAGTCTTCTGAGCTGTGAGAGAGCATTTCCCAATAATTCACAAAACTTTAGAGTGATAGAGTCAGAACTCAAAGCCAAGTCTCAGATTCTGAATCCTGTGTTTTTTTCACACCAAGGAATGCTGCGTAGAGGGTGAATCTGAGTTTATAGACTCAGTTATGCAAAGAATGAAACTGTCTTTCTCTATAACGTAACAACTGTTTCAGACCTCCATTGTGACAGAGTGGCAGAAATGTAATTTTAGTCAATTACTTTTGGGGTTGCTATTACCTTTGGGATGGTACCCAGTTCCAGGGGCTTACATGGGGACCATATGAGAGGGGGTGGGCAGCGCTGTGGTCCCTGATGTCTTGCCTCTGCAGGTGTCCTCTGGAGTATCCACTTCTTGTCTGGTTCTTGGTCATCTGTTCATGAAGACTGTCTCTGTCTCTGTCACCACAGCTACTTTGGTTCTGGTGGCTCTACTTGTGAGCCAGGTTAAAGCATGGAGGTCTCTGACAGGCTGTCTGTGCTCTTGTTGGTCTAGGTAACCTATATAGTCATTTTCTCTCTGGCATCTGGCTGCCCCCCTGAGACTCAGCTCGAGTCAGGGTACAGGGCTTTGCTTTCTTTTTCCTCTGAGGCATCAGCTTTTTGAAAAACAAACGAGGAAGATCACTTTACTTCCTTGTGTTCCATTCAATCATATCATCTCCTCTTCAAATGAAACAGAAGAACCAGGGGAGGATGATGATGAGAAAAAACCACAAGACCCTCAGAACTTCTGAACTACTGAAAAGAAAAAAAAACCCGTCACCTAATGTAATACTTCAGTAGTAGTAGTATTCCAGAAACTTCTCCCATTGCAGTGGGCCCTGGAGGAAGGGTGTAGTCTTTTCTTCCCCTGACTCATGTAGATGGATAAGTTCTGGGGCTCTGGGGCTCTACAGTATGTATGTACTGGGGCTGGCCTGTTGCCTAATATCTTGACCTCCAGCTCTTAGTGTGACAGAACCAGCCCAAGCTAGGAAGATCAATGTTCCGGGTTTGCCTGAGTCTAAGAGGTTTCACAGGACGTGTGACTTTCATTGCTAAAATTGGTACAGCCCAAGGCAAACTGGATGGATTGGTCAGTTGGTGAAGATCCTTTGATTGTTTTCCTCTGGGGCTAACTTTCTGAGCCTCTGTGTAGACTCACCCCCAGACTTCTCCAGTCCTGCATGTGTCTTCTCTTCACTGGGTTAAAGGAGTAGAGACTCATGCATGAATCAAGAGCCTGCTAACAGTCAGGCATTTTATTTTCCAGATGAATCTCCAAGGATTATTCACCTTGGAGGGTGAGTATCATGGTTCTCGAGCCTGTCTGCTGAGAGCCTTGGAGGTCCCCGCTTTATCATGGCTCCATCTGACCAGCTTGCTATCAGCACCTCATTTGCTTTTTCTCAGATAATTATGAATTTCTGCATCTTATACTCATGCTAGTGGATGCCTTTTCAATTAACCACTGACGATGGGAAAGAGACAGATTTCTGTATCCATGAATTAACTGTCAGTACTGACAGGTAGCGGGGAACTTGTGAAGAGTACAGTGTGAGTGTGTGTGCGCGCTCACAAGCAAGTGCACAATTGGATAGGTGGGCGGTGAGTGTAGGAAAGAGAGAAAGGAAGGTGGGAGTGCAGCAGAGAAGACCATCTGTTCTTTGCAGCCAATTTTAACTCTTTCCCCCCTTCTCCTAGTGTTTCGCTACTTCCCTAGTTACCATTATCTGAAGACAAACTTTCAGCGCTAGATATTTTTGATTTACTGAGCTATCAGAAGTGAAAGGTGACTTCTGTTCCCAGTCCTTCACCCTTCAAGATACCCAAACAACAGCTGGAACAGTAGAAGCCCCATCATTGAAGGAAATCTGGATTCTGTTTCATCTTTACACTAACTTCCTATTCTCCATTCCCATTGATTTTCTCCCTAGCTTTGAGAAAATCAGTTAACTTCTCTGGTCATCTCTTGCTTTGTAATAAAATGAAAGTGAAGGCTCAGAGTCCCAGATATAGTGACATATTTTTAAAATGTGATGTTGGTGATGCTGACTGTGGAATCTTTTTATTATACCATTTCTCTGCTCAAAGGCCTAAAACATGGGCTAAGAAAGCCCCACAGCCTATGGAATAAAATCTAAACTCCTAAATAGGCCAGTCCTTGACCTCCACAATCTGGATTCCAAAAGCTTGAGCTGTTAATCATCTGTTGCTTCATTTGGCCCTCAAGCATATATTAAAGTGTACTTTAGTTACTTTTAATAATTATCTGTCTTATTTTTAAATTTATTTAAAAGTTCCTTGACAAGCAGACTGCTTTTTATCCTTTAAAAAAAATCCCCAACACCTCACAGCTGTTTTGCACCTAGTAAGTGCACAATAAATGTTATTCAATTCAATTAATAAATTAATAAATTAATGAAACTTTTTTGGGTGGGATACACAGATCCTTTTTAAAACACAAGCAGCTTATGAATCTTTAAATTTATTCTGTACTTATTCCCAACCGTAAAAGAAACATTCAATATTTAATCAGTAACTATGATTTTGGCTGTGAGTTTTTCATAGATGCCCTTGATCAGAATAAGAAATTTCCTCCTGCTCTCAGTTTGCTGACAGTTTTTATTAGGAATGAATGTTGGATTTTGTCAAGTGCTTTTTCTGGACTGATTGAGATAATCATATAATTTCCTCCTTTATTCTGTTAATGTAGTGAATAACTACATTGATTTTCGATTGTTGAACCAGTCTTGCATTTCTGGGATTGTATTTTATCATTTTTCTATTATCCTTAGATATATACATTTCTATGGATAATGAATGGGATTCGCCTGTAAATTTTCTTTTCTGTAATGTCCTTTTCAGGTTTTGGGATTAGGCTTATCCTAGCTTCATACAATGAATTGGAAAGGATAGCTTTAGATTTATATGAAAGTTGCAAGGATGTAACAGAGAATACCCATATACTCTTGTACCCAGTTTCCTCTATTGTAAAGAACTTACTTTCCTATGGTACCTTTGTCACAACTAATGAATCAATATATGTACATTATTATTTATTTGTTTATTTTTGAGACATAGTTTCACTCTTGTTACCCAGGCTGGAGTGCAGTGGCGCGATCTCAGCTCACAGCAACCTCCGCCTCCCAGGTTCAAGAAATTCTCCTGCCTCAGCCTCCCAAGTAGCTGGGATTATAGGCATATGCCACCACACCCAGCTAATTTTGTATTTTTAGTATAGACGAGGGTTCTTCATGTTGGTCAGGCTGGTCTCGATCTCCTGACCTCAGGTGATCCACCTGCCTTGGCCTCCTAAAGTGCTGGGATTACAGGCATGAGCCACTGCGACCGGCTGTGTATGTTATTATTTTTAACTAATGTCCATACTTTATTCACATTTGCTAGTATATAAGAAAGCAATAGACTTTTGCATATTAACTTTGTATCTTGCAACTTTGCTGTAATCACTTATTAGTTCCATGAGTTTTTTTGGTTTGGAGATTTTCTATATAGATGATCATGTCATCTGTGAACAAAGATGGTTTTATTTCTTACTTACCAATATGTCATATATTGGGAAGTAAATGTCTTTTATTTATTTTCCTAGTCTTCTTGAATTAGCTAGGATTTTTATTTTTTTATTTATTTTTTATTTATTTATTTTTTTTTGCGTGGAAGATAGGCTCTTGATCTATCACCCAGGCCGGAGTGCAGTGGCATGATCATAGTTCACTGTAACCTCAGCATCCCGGGTTCAGGTGATCCTCTTGCCTCAGCCTCCTAAGTAGCTAAGATTGCAGGCATGCACCACCATGCCTGGCTAATTTTAAAAATTTTTTGTGGAGATGAGGTCTTGCTATGTTGCCCAGGCTGGTCTTGAAGTCCTGGCCTCAAGCAATCCTCCTGCTTCAGCCTTCCAAAGTGCTGGGATTACAGGTGTGAGCCACTGCACCCAGTCTTTATTTTGATATTGACTAGGTGAGAGTGGACATTCTTGCCTTGTTCTTGATCTTAGAAAAGCATCTATTTCTCACCATTAAGTATGATGTTATTTGTAGTTTTCTTATGGATGTTCTTTATCAAGTTGAGGGAGTTTTTATCTACTTCTAGTTTGTTGAGAGTTTTTATGATGAATGGGAGTTGGATATTGTCAAATGCTTTTTCTGCATGTATTTATATGATTATGTGATTATTGTTCTTCAGACTAATGATGTGACAGATCGCATCAACTGACCTTGGAATGAGGAGCCAGCCTTGCATATCTGAAATAAATCCCACTTGGTCATTGTATATAATTATTTGTATACATTGTTGGATTCAATATGCTAAAATTTTGTTGAGGATTTTTGCATTTATGCTCATAAGAGATATTGGTTTATAGTTTTTCTTTCTTGTAATGTCTTCAGTTTTGGTATTAGGCGTAGTACTAACCTCATAGAATGAATTAGCAAGTATTTCCTCTGCTTCTATGTTCTGGAGGTGATTGTAGAGAATTGATGTAATTTCTTCCTTAATTATTATCATTAAATGTTTGATAAAATTCACCAGGGTACTCATCTGGGTCTGGTAATTTCTGTTTTGAAGGATTATTAGTTATTAATTCTACTTTTTAATAGATATGTGCCTATTCAGATTATCTACTTATCATTGTGTGAGTTTTGGTAGATTTGGCTTTCAAGGTTCACCTCACTGAGGTTACTAAATCTGTCAGCATAGAGTTGTTAAAAATATTTATTATCTTAATGTCCAGAAGATCTGTAGTGATGGCTCCTCTTTCAACTTTGAAATTAGTTATTTGTGCCTGCTCTTTTTTTTCTTAGCAAACCTGGCTAGAAGCTTATCAATATAATTGATACATTCAAGGAAAGTGTTTTGGTTTTGGTGATTTTTTCTAACGACTTCTTGTTTTCAATTTCATAGACTTCTGCTCTAATTTTTATTTTTTTCTTGCTTACTTTGAATTTAATAGGCTCTTTTTTCTAGTCTCTTTTTTCTAGTTTCTTTTTTGCATTTATATTCTTTATTATTTTATGAAGTACATTTACTTGCTTTTCCAGTTTTGTAAGGTGGAAGTTTAGATGATTGATTTTAGATGTTTTAAATCTTTCTTTTTTAATATATGCATTTGATGCTATACATTTCTCTAAGCCATGCTTTCACTGCATTTGCCCTAATTTTGATAAGTTGTATTTTCATTTTTATTTACTTCAAACTATTTTCAAATTTATTTTGATACTCTCCTTTGGTGCATGTGTTATTTGGAAGTATATTGTTTCATTACAAAGTGCTTTGGGATTTTCCAAAGTTTGTGGTCTGAGGGCATTCTTTGCGTAATTTTTATTCTTTTAAATTTGTGAGAGTGTGTTTTATGGCTCAGAATGTGGCTTTCCTTGATGACTGTTTTTTGTGAGCTTCAGAAGAAGGTGTATTCTGTTGTTAGATGAAGTTTTGTGTAGGTGTCAATCATATTTAGTTGATTGATGATGCTACTGAGTTCAGTTATGTCCTTACTGATTTTCTGCCTGCTGAATCTATAAATTTCCAATAATGGGGTGTTGAAGTCCAACTAGAATAATGGTTTCATCTATTTCTCCTTGCAGTTCTATGGGTTTTTGCCTCACACATTTTGATTCTCTGTTCTTAGGTGCATGCATTGAAGATTATTATGTTTTCTTGGATAATTGACCATTTAATCATTAATATAATGCCTCTCTTTATCTCTGATAATTTCCCTTGCTCTGAAGTCTTCTCTATCTGAAATTAATATAGTAAGTACTCCATCCTTCTTTTGAATACTATTAGCATGCTATGCCTTTCTCCGTTTCTTTACCTTTGATCGGTGTCTTTACATTTAAAGTGAGTTTCTCATAGACCACATAAATATTTGGGTCTTGTTTTGTGTTTCACTCTGGCAACTTCTGTCTTTTAATTGGTTTATCCAGATCATTGACGTTTAAAGTGATTATTGATATAGTTTGATTAATATATATCATGTCTGTTGTTGTTTTCTAGTTATTTCTCTTGACATTTTTGTTAAATCTTCTCCTTTTCTGTCTTCCCTCATTTTTATTAAACATTTCATGTGATTCTATTTCTCTTCTCTTCCAATTATATTTAAAAAAATGTTTTTTAGTGAATGCTCTTGAGTTTGCAATATACATTTACAATTAATCAAAGTCCTCTTTCATATAACAATGCCATGTCAAGTGTAGTGCAAGTACCTCATAACAGAGCATTCTCACATCCTCCTTTTCATCTCATATTGACATTGCTCTCATTCATTTCACTTATCCGTAAGCTATCATCACTGAATATATTTGTTGCTATTATTATTTTCAATGAATTTTATCTGCTAGATCAACTAAGAATAACAAAGAAAAAGATTTTTATCTTACCTTTATTTGTTTATTCTCTTCCACTTTTCCATTATTTATGTAGATTTAAGTTTATGACCTATATTAATTTTCTTCTCTCTGTAGAATTTTTTTAAACATTTCGTGCAAAGCAGGTTTACTGGTGAGAAATTTTCTGAATTTTTTTTGTCTGGGAAAGTCTTTATTTCTCTTTCACTTTTGAAGGATAATTTTGCTGGACATAGAATTTTAGGTTGGTGGTTTTCTTTTTTTTTCTTACTACTTCAAATATTTTACCCCACTGTCTTCCTGCTTGCAAGGTGTCCACCTCCTCCTCCTCAGCTTCTTTCAAGGTTTTCTCTTTGTCTTTGTTTTGAATATGAAAAAAATCTAGGGGTAGTTTTCCATATTCCTATGATTAGGTTTTAATTTTTCAGTGAGCATGTGCCCCTGAGCTGTAACCTTCACAGGTGCTTCTTAGTTTTGTGGCCCTTCCTTTAGGTGAGGCAGGAAGGCTAAAGTGAGCTACAGTTGGGTATTTCTCTTCTACCTCATGTAAGTCTAGAGCTGGCTGAAGTTGGGTATTTTTCCCCCCATTGGTTGGTTAGGTTTCAGTGGAACTTCTGTTGGCTAGGCTCTGGTAAAATAATTTTTGTTGAGGGCAGGCCTTATTAAGAATAACAGAGTGCCCTGAGCATATTTCAATAAAAGGGGGCTACTTTCCCCCCTACCCTCTGCCAAAAACATGAGGGGATTGAATTTTTCTCTAATGTTCATTGTGAGATCCTAGTAGGGCTCCAGGAGATAAAATGCACACAACTGCAGTGACCCCCACTAAGACTGTCTGCACTTACCTCCCAGAGTTTTTAACTCTCAGATTTGTCCACACTGAGCCTCCAGCAATTTGTCAATTACATTTTAGAATTTCTTTCTTCAGTACTGGTTCCCATGGAGACTTCTGTTTCCTGGCTTCTGCTTCATTGAGTTCTGATTCTATGTATCTACCTGTCTGTCTTTTCAATTTTGCGGGGAATCAGTGACTTCAATTTCCTGGTGGATATGGAAAGAGTTGTTGATTTACAGTTTGGTCAGACTTTTTCTTGTGTGAGAATGGGAGTGATAACTTCTGAGCTCCTTACATGCTGGACAAGACTTCAAACAGCAATCTTTTGAAACAACATTTTGCCTCAGAGTTTCTAATTGTTTTTGGTACAATGATTAGTTGATTCAAGGTATTACATCATTACCAGTAACAAATTGCTTTCAGTATTATTTTTTAATGATAGAATTTCATCATAATGTTCCATTAGTTATTTTAATCAGTGTCTTGTTATTGAACATTCTGGTTGGCTCCATTTTTACTGTTATAAATACTGCTTAATATCTTTATATATAATGTTTAATTTAAAAAATCGTTTCTTAGGATAAATTCCTGAAAGAGGAATTGCTAGGCCAAATAATAGATATATTTTAAGGCTTCTGGAATGTTGCAAATGAGACGGAGCATGGACCCCTCCTAGGGATCTGTTGGACAACCCCCACAAACATGGAAATAAAGGAAAATCTTGAGTTCCTTAAAGGGAAATTACAGCTAGCCCTGAGAAGTAAAGGAACAACTTGATAAGCAAGAAGGTAATAGTAGCTTAAAGCAATAGCCAAGGAAGTTAGAGTCACAAGATGTTTGGTTTTCTATGGAAACTAAAGACAACATCTTAACATATATCCCTGAATTGTTTTTTAAAAAACCCAGACCCCCATCAAATGGGTTTGCTGGCACATAGACCATAGATAAGGGGGAACCAGGAGTGATCTCTGACTGCCCACTATTCTTTGTCTAAATTTGTTCATAAGGGGTCTGGAGGAGGTCATGCCCATGAGAGCCAGAGCTAACATTCTTTTTTTTTTTTTTTTTTTTTTTTAATAAACAGAGTCTCACTCTGTTGCCCAGGCTGGAGTGCAGTGATGTGATCTTGGCTCACTGCAACCTCCGTCTCCCAGATTCAAGTGATTCCTGTGCCTCAGCCACTGGAGTAGCAAGGATTACAGGCACATGCCACCATGCCTGGCTAATTTTTTTTGTATTAATATTTTGTAGTAGAGATGGGATTTCAGCATGTTAGCTAGGTTGGTCTCAAACGCCTGTCCTCAAGTGATCTGCCCGCTTCAGCCTCCCAAAGTGCTGGGATTACAGGCGTGAGTTGCTGTGCCTGGCTGAGCTAACATTCTTTTCTGCTGATCTCAAATTTTTAGACAAAGCTTTGCTTTCTTAACCAGTTGCAAATCAGAAAATCTTTAAATTCACCTATGACCTGTAAGCCCCCATTTCAAGATGTCCCAGCTTTTTAGATCAAACCAATGTATAGCCTCCATGAATTGATTTATGATTTATAACTTCTGCCTTTAAAAACCCTTACCTATAAGCCATGGGGACTCAGGTGTTAAGCACGAGCTACCTGATTCTCCTTGCTGGTGCCCGGCAATAAGTGCCTCACTTTCTCTCACTGCAATCCCAATATCAGTGCTTGCTTTGCTGCACTGGGTGGGTGGACCCAAATTCAGTTTGGTAACACTAATTCTCTTCCCAAAAGCTTATACCAACTTACATTCCCAAAAGCAGTAAATGAAAATGCCTACTTTCCCATACTTTGGCCAATAGTAGATTTTTTTTTTTATATTTGATAGTTAAGAAAATACCATATCATATGTGCATTCCTTGATTACTATTGAGGGTAAATATATGTATCTATATTTGGTGTGTGTAACTTTTCCTTTTTTTAATTTAAGATCATTTGTTGAAATGTACACTTTGCTTGTTTCTTCACTAAGTTGTTCAATTGAAATTATTTTAACTAAAAATTCAAATCTAATTAATTGAGTTTTATATGAAGACTTCTTACTTAGGCTAGGGAGAAAAAGATATGCAACAATGCAGTTTGGATGCAGACCTGTAGGCTGCTTCGCCTGGTGGGTAGTTAATTAATCTCTGCTGGATCTCATGCAGTTTGACTTTGGAAACTCATGCTCCATGAAGAGTAGCGATGGAATATAAAATTTTGGCTGAAGTGTTGCTTCTCCTGAGCCAAATAATCAGGCTATGAAGTTCCTTCAAGTTCTCTGCATCCTTCCTGTGATAAGATTAACACTTCAGATCTTCTGCGAAGGAAGAATCTGGAATATTCACTTCCAAACAACCCCTTTTGTTGTGTCAGCCTGAGGCCCATCACTTGCCCTTTTCAGCAAAGCGTTTAAATATTTTAATGAATTCCAGGGCGGTTAACTTTGTAAGACTGTGGCAGGAAACCTACCTATGGGGTGAGCATAATTTTGGGGATAGTCCTGGCAACATAAGGATTGTTACCCCTCAGATTTATTTTCTGTGCACTACAAGGAACAAATTCACCTGGCTCAGTCAATCTTAGATGTCGACACTGATAAATGACAGTGAGAAATGTCTCATCCTCAAAGATGAATTTAAAAGATGCTTCTTCCAGAAAATGCACTGAAGCTTGCTTCCTCGTTTGAGTGACTGTGAACGAGGAAGGACTCATCACTCCCTCTAGGGTAGAAGGAGGTATAATCCTGAGAAACAAGCAAACAGGAAGAAGTTACAGATTAAAGCTTCTACGGGCAGGGAAAGCTTAAGAACAAAAAATATGAGTGACGCTGGCATATGCATGGGGATCTCCAGAGAAATCTTCCTTTTTGGTTGAACTTCCCACATTGGTACAAATATGTAACTCAAGAGTTGTGATCAATGTAGGGAGACTTCGTACGCCCACATGTTCTTCAGATCAGTCCTCCCTCCCAACTTCCCCTTCCGCATCCCAGGCCCCATGCCCAAATGATTCCCCCAAAAACCTTTCTGTGGAGTTCCTGGGTCAGGCCTCATTGTCAGGGAGAAGGCTGTGACCCACCCTAGGTTTCGAAGTTCTTCTTACCCTAATAGGTTACTGAGAACTCTTAAGACCAGTTCCCATCTCAGGTTAATAAATGTAATCTCAGACTCCCAGGAGGTCAAAGGCAAGCCAGCTGAGGTGGCCTGAATTAACAGTATTCTAAGGTGGATATAAATCATTTTGGCATCATGATTCATTTGACATTTTAAGGCTGAGTCAATTCTGTTTGGCTTTGCCCTGAAGCTACTATGATGGAGAGGGAGGCTGCTGGTTGATCAGTCATTTACCTTCAAAGATGGTAAAGGATGTGCAGGGAACTCTAGACTTGATGAGTTATAAATGAAGGTGAAGACATGATACCTTCCCCTTAGTCGTTTATAATCCACTGGATGAGTAGGACAAAGATAAATAATAACAGCAAAAATAAAACCAACAACAGTATTAGCTGACCTTTACTGTATGTATACTTGCTATGAAGCAGTCATTCTATTTAGGTGTCTTTTCTTTATTATGGTAGATGCCTTGCCATAGATTAAACCATGGGTCCCACTTCTTTAGTGAAAGAGATGCCAAAGAGTCACCTTTGTCACCCAAAGTTCTGGGCCTGAGACAGAAGGCAGAGAAAGAACACACACAGAGTCTGGTCTATAGGTTGCTAGTGTTCAAAGCATCCTCATCCCATGGGCCTAGCAGTCTGTGGTCTGAAGCAGTGCTGCCCAATAGAAATAGAATGCACAGAACTAGAACATGAGCTGCAAATATAAGCCAAGTATATGCTTTAAAATATTCTAGTAGCCACATCAAGTAAAGGAAAAATAAGCGGGTACAATTAATTTTAATAAAATATTTTATTTAACCCATGTATCTAAAATATTATTTCAAAACATAATATAAAAATTATTTATGAGATATTTTACATTCCTTTCTTTCAGCTAAGACTAAATCTGGTGTATATATGTATTTTTTAATTTTTTTATTTTTTTGTATTTTTAGTAGAGACAGGGTTTCACCGTGTTAGCCAGGATGGTCTTGATCTCCTGACCTCGTGATCCACCTGCCTCGGCCTCCCAAAGTGCTGGGATTACAGGCAATCTGGTGTATATTTTACACTTACAGCACAATCCAATTTGGACTGGCACCATTTTATTTTTTTCTTTTTTTCTTTTCTAAGTTCTGCCTCAGGATCTAAAGGACTGGCACCATTTTAAGTGCTTGAGAGCCACATGTGACCACTGGCTACCAAATTGGACGGCAGACCTAGAAAGTGTTTGTGCCTATTCATTTGCATATCTATGCATATTCATTTGACATCCATTTCACAGATGTTTATTGGGCGACTACTCTGCCAACTACTGTTCTAGGTATTTGGATACATTGGTTCAGTCCCAGAATTTATATTTTACTGGGGGAGAGAGAGAGACAAAAATCATAAACAAATAAGATATCAAAGAGTGATAATGATACAAAGAGAATAAAGCAGGGTAAGAGGAAGTCAGTGATGGGATGGGAAGCCTGCTATTCCAGATGGAGTGGTCATAAGGGACTTCTTGGAAG